>NC_000014.9:54460197-54763228 GCF_000001405.40 Homo sapiens
TCTGCCGTAATCATAAGTTTCCTGAGGCCTCCCCAGCCATGGAGAACTGTAATCCCAGGAGTTTGAGACCAGACTGGGCAACATGGGGAAACCTGTCTCTACAAAAAATACCAAAAATTAGCTGGGTGTGGTGGCACACACCTGTAGTCCCAGCTACTCCAGAAGCTGAGGTGGAAGGACGGCTTAAGCCCAGGAGACTGAGGTTGCGCTGAACCAAGATTGCACCACTGCACTCCAGCCTGGGCGACAGAGTGAGACCCTGTCTAAAAAAAATTAAAAATTAAAAAAAAAAGTCAGCCTGCCATTGTTTTTTGTTTCGTTTTGTTTTGAGACAGAGTCTTGCTCTGTCACTCAAGCTGGAGTGCAGTGGCGCAATCTTTGCTCACTGCAATCTCTGCCTTATGCCTCCCAGTTTCAAGCAATTCTTGTGCCTCAGCCTCCCAAATAGCTGGGATTACAGGTGCACACCACCACGCCTGGCTAATTTTTGTATTTCTAGTAGAGACAGGGTTTCACCATGTTGGCCAGACTGTTCTTGAACTCCTGACCTCAAGTGATCCGCCCACCTCGGCCTCCCAAAGTGCTGGGATTACAGGCTTGAGCCACCGCGCCCAGCCTTGCTACAGTTTTTTGAATACTGGCAGAAGACATGAGACTCCTAGGTCACCGATTAAAGACTTTATTATTCATGGCACTGCAAGCAGCATGATCTTCTGTTCATGTCCGTTGCTCTCACTTCTCATGTCACATCAGAGTGATGGAAAATGGCCCAACTAAATATTGCACATTCCGTGTAGTTAGGTCACAAATGAGAAATCATGAGCTTAGGAAACCCTAATTTATTTATTATTTATTTATGTATGTATTTATTTATTTATTTATTTTAATACAGGCTCTCATTCTGTTGCCCAGGCTGGAGTGCAGTGGTGTGATCTTGGCTCACTGCAGCCTCAACGTCCTGGGCTCGAGCAATCCTCCTACCTCAGTCTCCCAAGTAGCTGGGACTACAGGTGCATGCCACCACTCTGGGCTAATTTTTTTGGTATTTTTTTATAGAAATGAGGTTTTGCCATGTTGCTCAGACTGGTCTTGAACTCCTGGGCTCAAGCAATCCTCCTGCCTTGGCCTCCCAAAGTGCTGGAATTACACAGTGTGTCACCATGCCTGACCAAGACCCCCAATCTTTTATAATGAGTTTTGAGCAACCCTGAACACCTTTGCACCAGAAACAGACATTATACTTATCATTATTTTAGACAGGGTCTCACTCTGTTGCCCAGACTGGAGTGCAATGGCATGATCTCGGCTCGCTGCAGCTTCCGCCTCGCAGGCTCAAGCCATCCTCCTACCTCAGCCTCCCGAGTAGCTGGGACCACAGGCATGTGCCACCACATTCGGCTAATTTTTGTATTTTTTTGCAGAGACAAGGTTTTGCCATGTTGCCCAGGCTTGTCTTGAACTCCTGGGTTCCAGTGATCCTCCTGCCTCAGCCTCCCAAAATGCCATGCCTCAGCCTCCCAAAATGCCAGGATTACAGATGTGAGTCGCTGGACCAGCTAAGACATTATACTTATACTGAACAGTAAACACACCTGTCCCTCATTCCAAGCAGAGACACTGTTTTCTAAGGTTGTTCACTAGTGGAATAACCTTGAAAAGATAGTCCAGAAAAGTCTTGGAAAGGCTGACAATGCTTCCACTTGTACAAAAAGTGAGATGTATAGAAAATGGATATCCATGAAGAATTGTCTCCCAACAGTGAATCAAGGTGGGGGATACAGGGGAGTTCATTACACTATTCTTAGAAATATGATTAATTTTTTTCAAACTAAAATGTTAAAAAATATATTTATGGAGCTTCTACTATGTGACTGTGACAGGCAATGGATTGCTACAAGGATTAAAAGAAATAATGTATGCAAAGCACTTACCAGAGTGGCTGGTATGTAATAAGCACTCAATAAATGGCAGCTGTTTAAAAACAGAAAGAAACCACGGTTTTCCCCCTTTATTTCCGTAAAAACAGAACAAGTTAGAAATTGTTCACCCCAGACATTAGGCAATGACAATTTTCCGAGGTAAATTAGGATGACTAACATCCTTGAATAACAGGCTTAAAAAAACAGTCTAAGATCGGAAAATATGATGGGTGGGTAAAGTATCACCTTAATGTTGAGGGATCTGACATATTACCAGAAATCAATACTGGATTTAAAAAAGCAACATCTGGCTGGGCATGGTGCTCCCACGTGTAATCCCAACATTTCGGGGGGCGGAGGCGGGCGGTTTACTTGAGCCTAGGAGTTCAAGACCAGCCTGGCAACATGGTGAAACTCTGTCTCTACAAAAAAATACAAAAAATTAGCCAGGTGTGGTGGCATGCACCTATAGTCCCAGCTATCCCAGAGGCTGAAGTGGGAGGATCACTTGAGCCCAGGAGGTCAAGGCTGCAGTGAGCCATGATGTCACCACTACACTAGCATATCTAAAACAAACAAACAAGAAAAAAATAAAAACTAAAACTAAAACAAAATATTCTTAAAAACAAACAAACATAATTTCCAACCCAAGGGTGACACCAGCCTGGGAGTACAGGCTAGCTTCACACTTATTTATAGCCTGAAGAGTTAGTTAGGTCTTTAGAGCCACTATCCATTTGAGTTTGGAAATTGACCTATCATTGAAAGCTTTGATACTTTTGGCAAAATATGAAGTATTGTCGATATATACAGGATTTGTCCCATATCAGTCAGAATCCCACAAGAAAAACAGAAACTACTCTATTAATTTAAAACATGGAATTTAACACAGAGAATTAGCAAGTAATGGAAGAGCTGAGACCCCAAAGACAGATGAACGGTAATAAGTAACCACCATCCCTAGGAAGAGACAGAATGATTAGAACCCAGGAGCCAAGGTCTCCCATAGGAAGCTGGAACCACAGTGCGTCTAGTCAGGGTAGGGTGAGCTGGAACCACTGAAGAAATGCAACCTATGTCGGAGAAAGGAACAATGTGGGGAATATTGTGACATCTCCCTTCCTCCCGCTCCCACCTCCCATTGGCTGAAGCCAACTAATAAAAAAGTCCAGTAACTGCCGCCTCCCTACTTTCTCCAAATGTAGTCTCTGGAGAAATTAAACTAGAGAGGTTCTGAATTGAAATACACCAGGTATAGAGATGGGTGGAGATGAGATTCAAGACTGAAAACAGGGTGATTAAACGAAAGTCCCTATATTGAGCTGGGAAACTCTGCTCTCTTCCTCTTCCTGTTCCTTCCCAATGCTAGCAGATATATGCTCTAATCAGACATGAAAATGGACAGAGGCCTCATGCTGGTAGTTAGGGGTCCCCATTGCAAAGTCAATTTCTTGCCCGATCACCCTGCAAAGAAGCAGACTACCCAACAGAGACTCACACACAGATTCTAATTAACCTTTCGATTTAGTCCATAGAGCTCAAATCCAAATGGATTGCCAAGCATAACCAGATGTTTAAGGAAAAGCACGTCCAACATGGAAGGGAGAGACCAAAACAAACAAAACACAAGACACTTTGCCCAAGCAGAAATCATAAGTAAATGCTAAACCCAGCGAGAGAAATACTGTGTATGTGAAATCAGACAGGATGCTATGGAAAAGACACAATCCGGGAACAAGCAAAAGATCTTGTAAATTTAAACTGTGATGACTTTCTTACTTAGCATATAAACTTCCGTACCTGCACATTCATCTTTAGGAACAAATTTTCAGCAAAGAAATTTTTTAAATGCTTCTTTTTTCCTTTCCTTTTCTTTTTTCTTTGCTCCCTCCCATCCTCTCTCTTTATGTGGATGTAAATCGTTGCATTTATGACTATATCTCTGAGAAGCAATGAAGTATTGGTTTTCTCAGGATTTTAAAAATATGATATGGATTTTATGTTTTTTAATACCAGTGTACTAACGCACAATCTTTTATTTGTCTTGGCAGTTTATATTTTCATTTACTATTTTAAAATTAAATGTTTTAACAATTCTTGCCCTTAAAAATTCTTTGCTGAAGAAATTTTACTTTATTCACATCAAAGTTCTATCATTTTATATTATATTTGATTGTACTTGTATAAATGGACCTTTATTTGAAGTGTCTTATAAACAGTGCTTCCAATTAATTGATAGAAATGGATGTAAAGACATGTAGCAAAAAATGCTTTATTTGTATGATAAGTGTCTTTCTAACATCTCTTATACAATTTAAATCAAGTAGAAAAACTATTTTAATAATTTTAAACTAAAAATTTGTTAATAATTTAAAATATTTCCATTTTTATAAAAAGAAAGGAATTTAAGGACATATAGTAGTATCTTTTAAAATGTATTTATAAAGTATTTAAGTTTTGAGATTCTGTTAGTTGCCTATTCCAAGATAAATTTCCTTTCTTTAAATATAGATAAGCATTTTTAAAAATATTTTATGGCTATAAAGAAATTTTAAGTATTTTCTTTGCTCAGTTTAACACTGTTAGTTCTTATCAATAAAAATTATATGGCTTTAAAAACTAACTAAAATTTTTAAATAAACAGGGAGATCAGTAGAGAAAGTTAAAGAAAATCTCTCAGAATAAGAACAAAAGAGTTCAACAATAGAAAAGATAAGAAAATCAGAGAATCAAATCCAGTGGTCCAAAATCCAAAACAATAAGAGCTCTAGAAAGTGAGAGCAATAACATGGAAGTTATCAAGTAAATAATAGAAAAAAATTTCTTGAACTGAAATATATGAATCTTCAGATTCCAATAGTCCATCAAATATCTAGCACAATGAATAAAACCAGATCCACACCAAGTCTCATCAGAGACATTTCAGAATACTAGCAATAAGGAAAAGATGTCAAAAGCTTCCAGAGAGGAGAAGAAAAAAAGGCAACTTACAAAAGCACTGGGCTGGGCACGGTGGCTCATGCCTGTAATCCCAGCACTTTGGAGGGTCGAGATAGGCAGATTGTGTGAGCCCAGGAGCTCGAGACCAGCCTGGACAACGTGGTGAAACTCCATCTCCATAAAAATTAGAAGAATTAGCCAGCTCTGGTGGTGTGCACCTGTAGTGCCAGCTACTCAGGAGGCTGAGGTGGGAGGATTGCTTGAGCCTGGGGAGGTCAAGGCTGCAGTGAGCCGTGATTGCACCACTACACTCCAGCCTGGGCAACAAAGTGAGACCTTGTCTTTAAAAAAACAAACAACAACAACAACAAAAAGAACTGGAGTAAGATTTCTGGCATCAGATTCCTTAACAGCATATGGCAAGCTAAGCAGGAAGAGCAATACCTTTAACAATTCCAAGCGAAAATGATTTCCACTCTAGAATTTAATACCCAGGGATGAGATGATACAATCACTCAAATTAGGATAATCTGAGGAGGATTTGATAATGGGCTATCTCAAAAAGTGAGAAAATACTGCCGAACTCAAAGGCTAGCAACAGCAGAGCTGTTACCATCACTAGGCCCAAGAAAAGATGGGAAGTAGTGGCTCCCAGGATTCAGAAGGAACAGATCATGAAAGAGGGCTGTCTTGAGTGGAGGAGTGACTTTCAATAGAGAGCTGTGGTCAGCCAAGGAGGCCCTAATAGAGTGATTGATGGAATAATTATCCTGTCCTCACTCTCCCTCTGCCCTAGAGATTGGCTGAACTCAAGCAGCAGCCAGATGGCAAGATAACCAGAGTAACAGAGTCGCTAAAGCTCAGCCTCCTGGGAGCAGAAACCAGAGTGGAGAAGGGCAGAAAGCGGTTCTAGACAGGCAAAACAAAAATATCCAGCACACCGGCCAAACCACCAGCCGGTTCTGAGTATGAAGGAAAAACATTTCAGAAATATGAAAGCTCACCTCTCATGTACCAAGAACTTCAGCAGAATTAGTTAATATGATAAAGAATACATGGAATCCAACCAAGGGGCTCAAACTAAGAAAGCAAGTGAGGGAACCTTCAGGACGACAACTGTGTCTCTTGCCTAGAGAGCAATTCATCCAGATTTTAGAAGAAGGATGGAAGGTGAGAAAGCAAAGCTCCAAGTTGAATAAATGAACTGACAGATGATCATATGCACTGAAGTACTGGTAAAATTTGGTAGGCATTTGACAAATATTTTGCAGTATTTGGAAAGAAATAGCAATGAATACATAGAAAACTAAAATGAGAAAAAAAATTATTAATCCAAGTAAAACAAAAATTGTAGAGAGAATAATCATGTATAGAGAAAAACCATGAAAAGCCATCCAGAGATCGATCCAAAAAATAATCTCTAGGAAAGACCCATCATTTGGATACTTGCCCCACTTTTGGAACTTATGGCTAGTGTTAGAAAGCAATAGCATCCAAAAGAATAGCAACCTTCTTTCCAGCAACATGTGTATGCTTACATAATCTTTAACCTGTTTCCTTCCTCTCCTCCCCAACACCAAGGGGATAAGAACATGGCAGTACAAGAGAGCAGGGCATGAGGACATGGGCTTCCCCAGCCCCTTCACCCAGAGCTAAAAGTTTAGCCTGTGCTGAGGAAAGAGGTTTCAGTCAAATATGAGACTGAATTTTTAAAATGAACAGAAGTGAATTTTAGTAACAGAAAAGGCACTTTTAAAAACCGAATGACTGGAATATCATGGAACTATTATATCATGAAGAAGGCTCTAACCAGAGCAAAAAGAGAGGTTTGACAGAGAATAGAAATAGCAGCTTTTGAAAAACAACTAAAACAATGTTGTTACACTATTCTGTTTAAGAGCCCTCAATCAGACCAATTACAGAAATTAGAGTATTAGATGAAGGTAAATGCTATGTAGATGTGATGGTGATGGTGAATGTGTTGCTACCTTAGGTTGTATGTTCAGGAAAATCCCCTATGAGAGGCAACCTTTAAGCTCAGTTCAGAATGAAGGAGCCAGCTACAGGAATATTGGGGGGAAGCATGAGGGGAGAGTGGGTGCTATGGTCTGAATACATGTGTCCCTCTCAACTTATATATTGGCACCTAATACCCACTGTGATAGTATTAAGAGGTGTACTCTTTGGGGCCCCTTGTACCCTCTGCCACATGAAGACACATAGGAGGGTGCCATCTATGAGAAATAGGCCCTCACCAGTCACTGGATCTGCTGGCAACTTGATCTTGGACTTCCCAGCTTCTGGAACTGTGAGTAATAAATTTCTGTTGTTTATCAATTGTCCAATCTAAAGTTTTTTGTTATAGCAGCCCAAAGAGACTAAGACACAAGTTGGTACCAGAAGTGGGGTGTTGCTATAACAAATACCTTAAAATGTGGAAGCAGCTTTGGAATTGGGTAATGGGTAGAGACTGGAAGAGTTCTGAGGTACTTTGTCATGAATGTAGCCTTAAGGATGAATTCTGGTTAGGGCTCAGAAGATGAGAAGAGTGGTAAAGAAAGCACCAGAGGGTGGTTATAATCAGAATGTTTACAGAAATATGGATGGAAAAGACCATTCTGATTAGGTCTCAGAAAGAAATAAGGAACATGCTGTTGGATACTAAAGGAAAGGCTATCCTTGTTATAAACTGGCAAAGAACATGGCTGGACTGTGTTCATGTCCTGGTATTTTGTGTAAGGTAGCACTTGTGAGTGATGAAATAGGACATTTGGCAGAAGAAATCTCTAAGCATAGTGTTGAAGGAGTGGCACAGATTCTCTTGAGTGCTTGTAGTAAAATGTGAGAAGACAGAAGTGATTTAAAGATGAAATCCATCATTAAAAAGGAAGCACAACTCAAAGATTTGGAAATTTCTCAGCCTGGCCCCATTATAAAGAATGAAAAAGCATGGAAGAGAATGCCAAGGGTGTGGCCAAGTGTATGTTTGATAAGATTTGTATAGATAGAAGGGATCCAGGTGCTTTCATCAAGATAATTAAAGAAAGACCCCAAAAACATCTTGGGGACCTTTGAAGTTGTCTTATCCATCACAGACCCAGAAGGCCAAGGCCATCAGGACAGAAGAATTTTAGGGCTCTACTCCCCATATTCTGGTGCAGCACTGTATGGCCATTCCAGCTGTGGCTCAAGTGGCTGAAACTCAGACCATCCCCCTGAAAGGCACAGAGAGTAAACCATGGAGGCATCCACGCAGGGCCATCTCCATGGGTGTACACAGTATACAAGCTGTGAGGGCATGACTACCTCCACCTAGACTTCAAAGGATCCCAAAGAGCCTCGAGGCCCAGAAAGATAATTGCCCCAGGGGTGAGGCCACTGTAGAGAGTCCCTGCTAGGGCAATGTCTAGTGGAGTCATGGCAGCAGGGTCACCCTAGACCTCAGACTGGTGGAGCCACAGGCATGTGACTGCAACCCAGGACAGTTGCTGCACTGGCTTCTCCCAGCAAAGCCATGGGGGCAGGGCCATCAGAGTTTCAGGAGCCCAAACCCTACCCCAGTGTGTCTTGAAAGTGGGACATGGGGTCCAAGAAGATTATTTTGAGGCCTAAGAATTTAATGTTTGCCCAGTTGCGTTTTGGACTTACCAGGACCTGTTACTCCTTTCTTCCTTCCCATTGCTCTCTTTTAGAATAGCAATGTTTATCCTTTGGCCGATTCACCATTGTATTTTAAAAGCACATGACTTGATTTCACAGGCTCGCAGCTGGAGGGGAATTGCCTCTGAATGAATCCCACCTTGAATTTCATCAATATCTAGTTGAGATAATATCCAGAAGAGACTTAAGACTTTAAAGTTGATGCTAGAAAAGATTAAGATTTTGGAGCTATCGGCATGGAATAAATGTATTTTGCATGTGAGAAGGACATGAATTTGAGGGGGCAGGGGCAGAATGTTTGTGTCTCCCCAGAATTCATAGGTTAAAACTTAATCCCCAGTGCCGTATGTTAGGGGTGGGGAGGGCATCTGGGAATTGATTAGGTAATGAGGGCTCTATCCTCATAAATGGGATTAGTGCCCTTACTGAAAAAACAAAACAAAACAAAACAGAAAAGTTTGAGAGAGCTTGTTTGTCTTTTTTACCATGTGAGAACCCAGAAGATGCCCTCTATGAGGAATGGGTCCTCAACAGACACCAAATCTGCTAGCAGCTTGATCTTGAGCTTCCTAGCCCCCAGAACTGTGAGCCATAATTACTGCTGCTGCTGCTGTTGTTGTCATTGTTGTCTGAGACGGAGTCTCACTCTGTCGCCAGGCTGGAGTGGAGTGGTGCAATCTCAGCTCACTGCAACCTCCACCTCTGAGGTTCAAGCAATTCTCCTGCCTCAGCCTCCTGAGTAGCTGGGATTATAGGTGCCCAACACCATGACCAGCTAATTTTTGTATTTTTAGTAGAGATGGGGTTTCACCATGTTGGCCAGGCTGGTCTTGAACTCCTGACCTCAAGTGATCCGCCTGCCTCAGCCTCCCAACGTGCTGGGATTACAGGCATGAGCCACTGCACCTGGCCCGTGAGCCATAATTTTAAAATAAACTACCCAGATTAAGGTATTTTATTATAGCAGCCTGAATGAACTAAGACACTGCAAAGTAGTTGAACAAGGGACCCTGGCCAAGATGGTAGCCTGGAGGAACAAGGTGACTACAACAGAGAGGCAACTGCTAGAAGCCAAGAGCTGGCAGGGGTAGTTGTAAAGCTACTAGCCAGAGGAGGCATGACCCAAGTCAAGGAACTTGCAGCCAAAATTCCCAATGAGGGAATCAGCAAGGAACCCACAAGAGCACCCCATGGAAGAAATCTGCTAGTATTTGACGTTGGCCACATTCAGAGGCCCCAACTCCAGATGACAACTGTACCAGGCTAATAAGTCTTTTTTTCTGTTCACTTAGGTTGCCCCTCCTCCTCCAACCCCAGAGAAACCAGAGACAACTAGCAACGGGAGAGCAAGGAGCAGCAATAATGAGGCATAGACCACATCTCATTCTCCACTGTGGATTCCCAACATGAAGCATATTTTTAAAGAAAGTGGGATGGAGGAGAGGATGGGGCAAGGGAGAGAGCTTTAAAGAAAGTAAGATATTGAAGTTTTAACATTAGACTAGACTGGAATTTTTGTTACCTGAAAAGAAAATGAGTCTAATTCTGTAATACTTAAGGCTGACCAGAAAGACTCTGAGACCAGAGAATTCCTCCAGAGACAGGGAAAGATAATCAAAACCACAGAGTTCTCTGGGTGATACAATTTTTTCTTCTTTTTGCTTATTTGCATTTTCTGATTTTTCTCTAATGATATTTGTTGTTTAAAAATTTTCTTTTTGTTACTGCTTTTTTAAAGAAGGTACTATATTTAGTTCAACAAACAACAGACTTCATGGTTTACATGGCATTTGGGGTGATTTTTGAAGGCTGTTGATTTTGGCAGGCAGCGGCAGCAGCATAGGGAGAAAAGTGCTTCTGTTGGTGGAGGAAGATGAGGCTCAGGACATGTTTGTATAAAAGGTTGTATTAGTCAGGGTTCTCCAGAGAGACAAAACCAACAGGATAGATAGATGATTGATTGATAGAGGATAGGTAGATAGATAGATAGGATTTGTTAAGTAAACTGGCTCACACAATTGTGGAGGCTGGAAAGTCCCAAGACAGGCTTTCTGCAAGTTGGAGACCCTGGGATGCTGATAGCGTGGCTCCAGCCAAGTCTGAAGGCCTCAGAACCTGGGAAGCCAGTGGTGTAACTCTCAGTCTGAGGCTGAAGGCCTGAAAACCCAGGAAGCCACTGGTGTAAGTCTTAGAGTCCAAAGTCCAGGGAACCTGGAATTCTTGTCCAAGTATGGGAGAGGAAGGGTGCATACCAGCTCCACCGGGTAGACTGGCATATTTGCCTTTTCTGTTTTTGTTCTTTCCAGGGCCCCAGCAGATTGGATGGTGCTTACCCACACCGAGGGTGGATCTTCCTCCACTACTCCACTCAGATGCCGTCTAAAATTAACCATCACATTTGTTTAGGCTTATTGCAAATGTAGGGAACAGTGACAGATGAAACCAGAGGTAGCACTGTAGTTAGGCACTTTTGTACACAAGTAAACAGACATGCCCAGGTTAACAGGTAATGGAAGGCTTCTGCTAAGGACGGACATGCAGAGAAACCCAGAAAAAGCTGACCAACCAAGCCTCAGAAAAAGGGGACAATGAAGAGTGGCCTTGTATCAAAGGAGGCTCTAGAAACCTAAAAGGTAGGAGTCGGGCTCCTCAATTTGGGCCTTCATCTTTAACATGATCCAGCTACTCTCTGCATGCCTGCTTTATTCTTTTTTTGAGACAGGGTCTCACTCTGTTGCCCAGATTGGAGTGCAGTGGCACGATCTTGGCTCACTGAAGCCTCTGCCTCCCGGGTTCAAGTGACTTTCATGCCTCAGCCACTCAAGCAGCTGGGATTACAGGCATGCATCACCGCGCCTGGCTACTTTTTTTTGTAGTTTTAATAGACATGCGGTTTTGCCACGTTGGCCAGGCTGGTCTCGAACTCCTGAACTCAAGCAATCTTCCTGCTTGGGCTTCGCAAAGTGTTGGGATTACAGGCGTGAGCCATTGCATCTGGCCAAGCCTGCTTTATTCTACACTATCCCAGCTGGCATCTTCTTTCCCTCTTCTCCATCTATTGGCATTCTTTCAAGGTCAGCCAGCTCGCACTGCTATCTGCCTCACTCAAGAAAGTGATTGGCCCAACTTGTTGTTTGATATCAGTCTGGCAACATCATAGAGGCTGGCTGCCCTTGGGTTCAACTAGCTGGGGCTGAAAATATCAATAGAGTCCTATGTGTACTGAGGGTGGGGAGGAGGCTTAGAACAGGAAAGTACAGCCAGGTGCAGGGGCATTTCCACCTAACAAAGGGTTGTGGGCGTATTTAGCCTTAGCTGTTGCTATGGTCTGAAGATGTCCTCCAAAATTCATGTGTTGGAAACTTAATCCCCCATGCAACAGTGTTGGACGATGGAGCTTTATGGGAAAAACCTTCATGACCGGACTGATGCCGCCACAGAAAGGACTTTCAAGAGGGGGTTCACCCCTTTCTTGTGAGGATGCACCAAGAAAGCCCTTGCCAGATGCCAGTAGCTTGATCTTAGACTTTCCAGCCTCCAGAACTATGAGAAATAAACTTCTGTTCTTTATACATTACCCAGTGTCAGGTGTTGTTACAGCAGCACAAAACGGACTAAGACAACCGTGCAGTGCATGTAAGAAATGGGCCGAAATGTGAAGAGCCTTAAATTCCAGAGTAAGAGAATCTATACTTAGTAACAGTGACTTTGGAAGTCACACTCTCTCCTCCTGCTTTGTCTGATTTGCATGGTGGCATTTGGATATGCAACCAAGGCGTTCTTTCCTTCCTATAATTAAAAGAGGGCAGCAACCTCAGCAGGGAGCTTTCACACAGCCTAGGGGTAGATCTCAAGTAGAAGATAAGAGGATTATCTGTGAAAACTCCCTAGTGCTCAGCAGTAACATCTTTAATTGGCTCCCCAACAGTTAAAACTACACTATACAAGGATACAATATCCACTCAGGGTGTACCCTCATGCAAATGAGTGTAAAACTGCCTTGGCAAAAATTCTAACAATGAGAAAATTAGGACAGTGAGAGTCCTGATCTAATCGACTCCATCTTGCTTCTGACCTCCAAGCTGTCCTGGTTTATTCCCGGGCATAGGCCGAACTAACTTTGGGAAGAATTTAGTTTATAGTTTAACTTTGAAAGAAAGATGATAACAGCCCTTTCCTGAAACAAGCCTCCCTTCTTGCCTAGGGACCAGTCTGCCTTTGTAGGGACTAATAAATTAGCTACAAGATTAGAAATTATAGTTTAGGAGTCACCGCAGCCAAGGCTGCATGATTCTGGAACCTCCCCAAATTGTTCCTGGGGATAAAATCACTGTTGTAAAACATAAGATCAGTGCTTGAGATATTCTGCAGACCCTGTGTTCTGAAGCACCACAGGGTCGAGCCTGTGATGAGCTGGTAATCTGGCTCAACCAGTTCTGTGATCCCACCTAGGAACAGAAGACACCAAGAAAAACCCACTTGACCCCCTACAATTTCATCTCTGATCCAACCAATCAGCACTCCTCACTTCCCAACCCCCTACCCACCAAATTATCCTTAAAAACTTCAATCCCAGAATTTTGGGGGATACTGATTTGGGTAATAAAACTCAGGTCTTCCATATAGCCAGCTCTGTGTGAATTAAAAATTCTTTTTTTTTGAGACGGAGTCTCGCTGGAGTGCAGTGGCACTATCTTGGCTCACTGCAAGCTCTGCCTCCCGGGTTCACGCCATTCTCCTGCCTCAGCCTCCCGAGTAGCTTGGATTACAGGTGCCTGCCACCATGCCCGGCTAATTTTTTGTATTTTTAATAGAGACGGGGTTTCACTGTGTTAGCCAAGATGGTCTCGATCTCCTGACCTCATGATCCACCCGCCTCAGCCTCCCAAAGTGCTAGGATTACAGGCGTGAGCCACCGCGCCAGGCCTAAAAATTCTTTATTGCAGTTCTCCTATCTTAATAAATTGGCTCTGTCTGGGCAGCAGGCAAGGAGAACCCATTGGGTGGTTACAAGAGTGCGCCCAGGTTCAGAGGCTAAGTGCTTACAAATGCTTCTTGCTGCTGAAAAGTGAAAAGGACAAAAAGACAATAGGTATTATTTAGTGAAGGTGAAAAAATTTAAGAGCTGGCTGTTTGAGTAGGTTAAGTGGCCAAATTTGATAAATAAGGAAGATATAAATGTTCCCATGCTTGGGCCAATTTTCCTTGTGAAATTCTTAAAGACAGGAAGGCATAAACTACTCCTTTCACCATCATAACAAATTGTGACTATTACAACATACACAATCACAAGTACATGGCAAACTCTAAAAACTATGTTATTAGTGATTTGTATTCATTCAGTAGATACCTATTGAACATATACCATATAGTACAGTTGGTAATAAAGGTAGGACGGGTTGTCAATGGGTGTTTAATACATAGTGATAAGCTATATTCAATTAAAAAAACCTTCAATTTGATTTCTTACGAAGTATACAGCTCTCCTAACTTCGAATTCTCCCTTTGAAAGCAAGCGTTCATTGTTTGAAATAGCTCTGTCTGTCCCTACTACTGTTTACTGACATTTTCTACATTTTAGCATCAGACCAAGTTTTAGAAATTTTTATAACTTGATTATCTTCTCCTTCCACCAAGCTGCCAAATGACTTGTTTATTTTGCCTCTCAGTTTGTCCAGATAAAGTTTATGGCTCACACAAATCTAGCCAGGTACATACCAGTAACTCCAAAGGGGGAAAGAGGTGAGTAAAAAAAGAAAAGCTGGAAGTCTTTTAATGTTAACATTTTATTTAAACCAGTACAAGCACCATGCTTAACAAAAGACTGTCCAAAATAAACATGCAATATGAACTAGCAGAGACTGAAACCACAGCTTAAGGAGTTGTGTCAGTTGTTGGTTTTGTTAAACGATGACAGAGAACTGTTAAAATTCACAAGACTAAACCATTAATGTTTCAAGCCTCCTGAATGAGATTATCTTGGACCATCTAAATCAGTGGGAACTGCCCTGGCATGTTAATGATCTCAAACAATATTCAAGTAATTATATTTATATGAATTATAATCCAAAAAGCAATAAAATACAATTTCTATCACAAGTTTACTGTATATGAGCACTGATTTGAAATGTCAAATGGCATAATAAAAACAAATTTCTCAAGAATATTCAGCTTGGGAGCATTGGTTTTAAGCGGTCTAGAAGATTACTACATTCTTCCAGAAATACAAAATAAGATTTGTCCAGAAATGTTTGAAACACATCCTCACAAAAGTTGTAATGGCTCAAACTCTATAAATTCCAGTATTATCAGTCTATTGAACAAATAGGGAAAGCAACCATAGTAAGAATACTTGAATTGATAGAATATGAGTTACTCTCTACTTCCACCAAATATCAGCATTTAAACTCTTATGAAAATATCTATTCATCACTAGTCCACATATGGATTAATGACATTGCTCAGGTTTTAAAAGCAGTCCAAACATTTTTTAAGTACACCTTCCTTAATATCTATATGGGTTGGGGGGAACAGCCAAATTTAATTTGGCAATAAACTCCCCTAACTGGAAATTTTTAGCTAAAGTGTCAGACAAGGATACAGTTTATGGCTACATTTGACTCCTGAAAATAGGAGATAAAAAAGGAGGGAAAAGTGCTGACACACATTTTGCCACACAGATTATTTAGTAATGACAGTAAAAAATTTAGCAACACACACTTAAACAAGAGTATGTTTAACTGCACTAGGCATTTAGTAAACTTTTAGAACTAGACAATTTGAACATTTTAGAAGTCAATTAAACAAAAACAGTCAACCAACTTTTTTCCTAATATAATTGCGTCAATACCAGAACAAAGTGATCACTATTCAAAACTCAGACATTTTGGAATTTCAGCATAGTAACCTGAGAAGTTTTCTTCGTATGTATTTTTGTTGTCATGGAAACCACACTAAATAATACTGTGATTACCAGTTGGTTCTATTTTGACATTAGATGCTATGCAGAACTTATGCAGGGCCAAAAATTTCAAAACTAACACTGACTTAGAAGACCACGAAGGAGGATCCCAGGAAAAAAGTTGCTGCTAAAAAGGACTCAGATTTAAGGCTGAATGGGAATGGTTGTACCAGAAAGATAACGGAATGTAAAAACTGGAATTATGAAATCTGGAGTTATTATTTGGGAAATGGCAGAAAAAAAGACAGTAAATACGAAACATACTTGAAAAGAACAATGCAAAATTTAGTAAGATGAAAGGGAAATCTATATAAATGTTTGAGAACATTTTAGAGCACGGGATTTGTAAATTTCCCCATAGGACAGATGGAATAAAAATGTCCTACTGATCCTCTAACCTCAATCTGTTGTCTTGCCAAAAACATGTTATTAATTAGGAGTCAGACAAGCTCAAAAAAGCATGGTTTATCACAGCTCTTTGCTCCTGTTAAAGACAGTAGCGGAACTAAGAGTGCTAACGTATGGCAGGTCAATATTATCTGACATTATGGAGGACCTCCAAATTTAAAAATAAGCAAAACTAAAACATGCAAGACAAAATAAGGAACTTCATTAAAAAATACATTCTTGCAGCACTAGTTTCTCTTACTGCTGCAAAACAGGTGAAACAAAACCTCATTTCCTTCATTCAAAAACATTAAAAACACTCTCCACTCACTTGGATTACATGTGCATTCCTACAGAATTATATGCATGTTATTCTCCAATATCAAAATACCTGTTTAAAGAATTTTTAAACTTCCTGGGTGAGTTTTCTCTTCTCTCTGGAAATTGGAATAAAGAATCTTTTCCCTCCAAGAACCAAAACAAACACCTACTCTAGCACTTCCTCATCTCCAACTTTCTATTGCTTCCTGACTTCTAAATTAGTGAAGCCAAACAGTGTTGGGAACAGAAGATGTTCTATTCAATATCGCAAAAATTCCAACTATCTTTACTTCTCACAGAAACCTCAAAAATAAAATGCAAAGAACATATGAATGGAAAACATGCCAAAATTTAAATTTTGCTAGTTTTGAGATGACTAAGATATTCTTAATATAAGAATACACTCACCAAGTTTGGTTAGTTTTTAGAGTCTCTAGACCTATTATCAAATTAATGTTCAATGGTTACTTATGTATTTGTTTTTACAAGTATGCCAAATATCAGAATCCTCGCTTTATGCCAAGAGTACCATCATCTAACAAGACTGGTTTAGTTAACTATTCAGGCATCCAGTTCAGAATATCTTCTGACATTTAGGATATAAGATGTGATTGCTATTGAAGTGTTAATGTTATTAACTATGGCCAAAGTTTTAAGATAATTTTTTCCTATGGCACAAAACTAACCACAAGTATACCCAAAATTATAACTCTCGACTGCCATATATTCACCAATGCAAGCAGATAGTTGGAATTTTTAAAATATGAAGTTGATTTTATTACAAATTTCAGATATACACATTAGAAAATTATTTTATTTGGACCCTTTAAAAAAGTATTAATTTCACCAAATGTGGAATACTGGCAGTGTAAAAGTCTTAAACTAACTTTAAAGCTAACAAATCAAAGGCACAGTATTAACACATTTAAAATAATTAGTGTTCACAGGACATTGAGGTGCTTTATAAATAAAGTGTTATTAACCTAGATTCAAAACTGTCTAGAAATGACATAAAAGGAATGAAGCCCTTGATTATTACAACCCACCAATTTCTAAGACTAAGATGCTATAAGGAGAAAAGCTAACAGTCATAATTCTATCATAAAATCTAACTCCCGACCTTAAAAATGAGTGACTGATGAACATAGTTTCTAGACTTGATTAAAAAGATACAGGAAACCAAAGAAGATACAGAATTCATCAATGTACTTGTAATACAGGTTACACTAAATTATTCATGGCTCAATACTGGGTCACTCAAGTCTTTGACCCCAAATGAATTTCAATGATTTGACAAGTGATAATACGCTATTTTCATAAATAAACTGCTAATATCCAGTATTTGTCAAAAGGAGGCAACTGTTGTCTCTCACAATCTAATATATCCACTTTCCAATGGTGTCTGTAAATAGTAACAAATTCCGAACCATAAGTTATAGAAATTAGTCACAAGAGTGCAAAAAGTCCCTGGAGAAAAGTAGTCCACCTAACAATTACCAATATAAGGAAACACTTTACAAAGTTTCATTACTATGAAGATGATTTCCTCTTTGTTCAAATTTTGCACAAATGAAGAATTTTTCTTTACTGCAGGAAACAAACTGTAAGTAACAGTGCATTTTTAGGCATAAATAAGTATTTATGTCTGATTCCAGTATGGTCAGGTTAATACATAAATACTTTAGAAACACAGAAGTTCACATTAGTGAAAAAATCCAAGTTTCTCACGTAACCATTCTTCAGTTAGGTCTTCGGTATTTCTTATTTCAAATACCTTTAAAAAAAAAAAAAACTTGGGTCATACTTTGACACTCCAAAAAAAAAGTCAAATATTTGAATTTTTTAAAATATATTTGAGTATTATACACCAAACTATTTTTGGTTATATATTTGAGTATTAAATACCAAATTCTGCTTCCTTTCATATTGTTCATGACTTAACCTGTGTAAATGAGATATACCTTTTAGGTAGAACTTCACTTCTTTTAAATGCTAAGTACTCAGTTACCAAAGTACAGCAATCAAGACAACATGAAACCAAAACTCTCCCAAAAGCACAAATCTACAAATAGTCTAAAAGAGCAGTTCTGTAAATCTTATCTCCTAGAAGACATCCCAAGTAAACACAACTAAAATCAATCTAGTTAGGAACTGAGGAACATACGCTGGTCTTCCAGAGTCTGAATGTCAAATGGAAATATCAGAGGGAGATGGAGATCAGCCACAAATCTCCAGCAAGAATCTGAATCAGGCCCAGAAAGCATAACGGCTATAGAAAAGCAATGTATTACAGCAGAAAGGATAGGATTTGGAGCCAGATGTGAATCCTAAGTCCTAGACAGAGCTAAATCCTAGCTCTGTCTAAATTTACTGTTATGCAACCCTGAGCAAGTCATTCATCCACTGGGTCTGTTTTCCTATCTACAGAATATCTCACAGGGCTGTTGTAAGGATTCAATGAGATTATCTGTAAAAGTAACTGGTAAACTGTAATGTCTCAACTTCAGCACTGTAGGGCATCCCCAGGATTAGAACAGACTTGAGGCCGTTAACAGCTCCTTCTTAACCACCCAAACCGTTAGAGCAACTCCAGTGTCCCTGTGTTACAAATCAGGAAAAAGTAATGTCTATAAAGCAGTGGTAACAATCACATGGGCTAAGGGGAAACAGCAGAGGGCACTTAAAGGCATTCCAGAGTTGATTATTAAGCACCCAAGGGGAAAATACTGATGCTGTTCTTAAAATAAAACTTGAAAGGAAATACTGTCTAACACAGTTTTGGCAATATAATATCCTATTTCAAAACCTTAAGTGCATATACTTTTTCAATTCAAACTAATATGTGGAAGTTAAATAAAGTTTGAGAGCCAAGTACCTCTTACCTTTAACTTTCAAAAATACCATAAAATAGGGACATGTTAAATCTTAAAGCAAGTTCTCATATAAAACAGAATGTTCTAACTTTATTAATATTCTTAACAATTTTATATTTGGAAACAATACAATTAACTGCATAATACTGAATTCCAGCACAGAACTCGGTTCATTTTAGACTATGGTAAAGGGTTCAGAGAAACTTCAATGCTGACCCTTATCTATTAGAAATTACCTTATGGCAGATAAACTAACTCTCAATAGATTTAATAGTTACAGTGGCTTTCTAACACTGCCTATATTTTGAATGTGATTTCTTCCAATCAACTTATTCAAAAAATACACTTTGGTTCAAACGCTTCTATCTCATTCTATTTCCAGTTAACAAAAAGCTTTGGCTAACTTACTAATCTGGTCTAAATAACCTTCACCTGCATAAAAAATACTCCTTTAGACTATTTTAGCTATTGCTTTATAGTCTAAAGGAAAATATTGTCTCAACAAGTCAGTCAAATATAAATACCACCTTGGTTAGTTCAGCTGTCTGGACTAGCTTATTCTTACTTCCAGCATACATCATCTGTTGTTCAGGCTTACATCCTGGAAAAGAGAGATTAGTGTAGAAATGAGACACAGATTTTGAGAAAGGTATGGGTTATCATTATTTTTATTTTTTAAAATGACACATTTAGGATTTCCTTTGCTATTGAGTTTACAGAATATATATGGGTTGTATTTTGAGTCTTACATTGCACACTGCCTACAGAAAGAGACAGTTAAGTTATAAATAAACAAGAACAAGTCTACAGGTTGGCAAAAATAAAGATTCTAGACATTTGTAGATCCTGACTTTTAGAGCCTTGCAAACAATTAAAAACTTTCTGCACTATCTTAACTTTGACACTAAATATCAAGATCAATTTTATGGATGACTAAAATACACAAGGTTTTGGGATGGTAGTGGACCAGTAGGGCAGGGAGATCTGCTCTGATAAAAGTTTCACTCTGCCGATATATTAAGTTAAAAATATACTGCAGTATATTTTGAGTGGGAAGTAAATTATACAAATTATGAAGTTTGGAGAATAGCTCAGTGAATGCAGTTTTTATTGCAGGCCTGAACAGTGGTGATAGAAGTTCTGGTGATAATGAATTCCTTAAATACCAGTAACCCATTTTAATACCCAATGTAAATTACTCTAGGACCATTCTCAAGATTATAAGCATATCACTGTTAACTACTATTTAAAAGAAACACAAATATATGCAATTATATGTGAAGTTCACATTTTTATATGATTAAAATATAAAAAGAAAATACTTCTGCTATATTAGAATGTCATCACGTTTCAAAATCCTTAAAATACATGTATGATTTGAGTCAACAATTACACGTCTAGAAATTTATCCTAAGAAAATAAGTTCTAAGAGATGATGCTTCATTCTTTCTAGGGATGCATGCACACAGGCACATGGACACACATAGACACAGACCCTCCTCAATTTAGGTTATTCAACAATGTTCATCTTTAAAAACAGCAGAAAATTTGTCTAGTATAAAATGGCTTAATTGGATCTAAGCCAAATATGTGTTATTTAAAGAAATTCACTTACCAACAGGACTGGAGAAAATAAAGCACAGAGGATATGAAACTCTTCCATCATCATGTTGATATTTATAACTATACACAATGAAGGTTTTTCTCAAGTTAAAGAAACTAAAGTTACTGCTCTCAGACAGGTATTTACCAACACCTGGGGAGCTACTGAGCTGCAAGTTTCTGTCCTATTCTTTTAGGCCACACCTTCATTATTATCTTTCCACAAAATTAAATGGGTTCCAAGGATAAGTTATAAAATCACATAATCTCTCAAAAAATTTAACTTTTTAAAGTACAAGTTTAATACAGATTATTTTCTCAATTTTTATTGTACACGTTATAATAAAGGAAATAGTTTTAAAAAGAAAATTATTCATCCCACGAATAAACCAACTTTTCATTTTTCTTAGTCTAGTATATGCACACATATTTTAATTTGGCTGTCATCATGACACAGAAGGATACTTTTAGATGTTTAACAAATGAGCTCACAAACAGGTCTGACCACTAAAGAAAATAAATCTTTTAAAGCACTAAGAAAAGGATATCGAGGTTGTCGTTCAGGTAGTTCATCTTTAAGTTCATCTGGTGAAATGCCCTGGCACCACAGAGAAAAGCAACTTTTAAACATTTTCTTACCCATAAGTCCTTAAGAGATACACCAAGCACCCATTCTACTAACAGTTATAAATTTATTACCACATGCTACAAAATAAAATTTTATCTTACTAAATTATACATAAACTCAGGTTACTAAATTCTCAATCCAATCAAAGCCTCCTTCTGCCCACTTGGTTTCATTCCATTTATTAAGTAAATATGGGGCTGGGAGGCACAGATTCTATGCTTATGTCCCAGCTGTCAGGAAATACTGAATGACATAAGCCAGTATCTTAGCGGAAAGAAACAATGTCTGATTTCAGAAAAAAGAATTGAATTCTTTTTACTCTAGTTACTTAATTTGACAAACCAGATATTTAAATTGTAGGGTTTCAGGTTTTAAGTACTAGTCAAGCAACTTAGAAGCAAGTTACAAAGTTGACTCACTTCTTACTCAGTATATGACCCCAACTTATACCACTTATTACACTGGACTTCACTAATGCTTTTAAACAAGGTAGTTAAATTAGCAATATCACAAACTACACAATTAGCACATGCTTTTATGCATAATGAGCATGTATTTAAAGGAGGTTCAAGATTCGTTTTAGAAGCATATGTAACTAATATAGCATCTTTTGAGAAATAATAATTACTTAACTATAAAATTGTATTTAGTTCATTGAACAAACCTCAAGCTCCTCATCCAGTACCACCAGGCGTTTATCCTTGTCAATCTTCACTAAAATAAAAATCAAGTATGAGTAAGCTGGGATTCTAATGTGACCCTGATCTGCCCAACCCACACAATCTCAGCCTTTTTTTTCGGACATCTAAAATTAAAACATCAAGAAACAGAAGCATATAACTAATTCACAGTTTTAGTTTACGGTTTATTAGCTAGCTTTGCTTTTCAAGCTGTCAGCTTTTAAAAGCTTTTACCCATAATTCCCAGTACCTAATTTGCTTATTTAGAACTTGCTGTTAATTTCTTACATTTCCTGTGTATATGAAAGAACTTTGTAACTCAAATCCAACTTCTAGATAATAAGAAAAAGCCTGAAAGGGTAACTGTAACTGATTGGTCTATATGCAACATGGTCAGAACTGCAAGGGAAAAAGTGCCTGATCGGGGATCAAAATAGAGAAACCTCAAAATTCCTGGCTTCTCCAAGGTCAGGATTTCATGGCACGGTATCATTATTCTAAGAAAGTGAATAACCAAATAGAAGTGATATCTACATTCAAATATATCTAATGTAATCCAAAGCTAAATCAAAATAAGTTTAGATACTCTATGCCTCTATCCTTTCCTGTTAGTCTGGCAAAGTTGACCATGTTTGGTTTTGCACCAATTTGATAGTAAATCTTGTGAGATATAATGTAATCTCAAATAGTTTCAGCTTTTGCAGTAAATGGCACTAACACACATTTTCACTTTTATTTTTTTTTCACTTTTAAGAACCATATGTCGACATTGCAGTATTTATTTATAATGAAATCAGAATTCATGACAAGTTGTCATGACCTCTGATTAAATCACATCTGCCAGATGCATCTCTGTTAAGCATGGTCTCTAGAGTTTTACATTTTCACCCCCTCATCCTTTCCTCATCTTTCTAAATCACTACCTACATATTAAATACTGCCTATGAATACAAGGGAAATCTGCATAATGTCAGATATAGCTCACAGTGGGAGGAGCAATATGCAAATCACTTTTTCCATTTTCAGAAGATAGTGCCAGTGCCACTTAAAAGTACTCTTCCTGAAACCAGAGTTCAAATCTACAACTGGAATAATGCCCAAAGTCACTATGTACACAATGCTGAACTTTGTCATTTTAGGTGTAGGCAAAGGTTTCTATTTGAGGATGAATGGCCAGGCTATTTTTAGTCCCCCAAGAAGGATGGGTTGGATGGGTCACTGCAGATGGGAATCCTCATTACCCAAGGACCAAGACGACCGCCTTCTCCAGAGCTGTACAGGCAGCTGATAAAAGGACTATGGGGGAGGTGGGACAATCCACCTCTGTTCTGTGACATTAGAATTAGCTGTTACTTATTTTTTAAAGTGATCTAAAGGTGGTGGTGGGGAAATGAAACAGAGGAAGTAACATTGCTTTCCAACGGTTCAGTTCATTCAATGTAGCTACAAGATTAAAAACAAATTAAGACCATGTAACTTTGAGGCAATCACTTTTAGCTTACTTATAATAGCAGCGTTGTTCGTTTCTTTGCGAAAACGAAACTTTCTCAGCTTTTCCACTAAATCTTCGGCAACATCACAAACAACCAAAGACTCACTCTATAAAAGAAAAAAAACACACATAAAATGCCATGACTTCAATATATGTACATGTTAAAGTTATGAAACCTAATACCTTTATAATGCATACTGACATTCACAAATGTCAATTAAGTGAAAGCATTAAATACATGAACACTTAAAAGAACTTTAAAATCAACCAACCTTTGGATCTACATTGCTTAATCCTACAAATTTGTTCATCTCATATATGTAAGGTATATTTTAACTTTCTCTTTGGCTAATGAATGTCTCAAAAACCACACACATAATAATGTGCAATGTCATCAGAACTGGAGAGGAAGGGAAGAATATGGGGAAAGTCAAGAATCACTGTCTGCTGTTAGAAAGGGAGTCAAGCATACTATTTTTACACAGTGAAGGAAGAACAAGAAAATAATCTGATTATACTTAGAATTAATAAATTATTTTTTGTCCTCACAATTACAGGGGAAAAAAAATATAAGCAACAAAAGTGTTAAAAACCCCATAAGAGTAAAGACCAATAATATTTTATATTATAATTAAATGATTATAGAGATATAAAAAGGAGCTACTAAGAATGTGCAAAAGAAATAAAAGCAGAGACAAAAAGAAACATTGCGATTGATACCACAGAAATACAAAGAATCATTAGAGACTATTATGAACACTATAACAAAATGGAAAACCTGGAAGCAATGGATAAATTCTTGGACACACACAATCTACCAAGACTCAACCATGAAGAAATAGAAAACCTGAACAAACCAATAATGAGTAATGAGACTGAAACAGTAATAAAGTCTCCCATCAAAGAAAAACTCAGGATCTGAGGGCTTCACTGCTGAATTCTACCAAAGATTTAAAACACCACTTCTACTCAAACTATTCAAAAAAATTGAAGGGGAGAACATACCTCCAAGCTCATTCTACAAGAACAGCATTACCCTGATACCACAACCAGACAAGTATACAACAACAAAAAAAAACTATAGGTCAATATGCTTGATGAACATAGATGCAAAAATCCTTAACAAAATACTAGAAAACCAGATGCAACAACACATTAAAAAGATCATTCACCGTGATCAAGTGGGATTATCCCAGGGATGTAAGAATGGTTCAACATGGGCAAATCAATAAATGTGATACATTACATTAACAGAATAACAAAAATCGTATCATTTCAAGAGATGCTGAAAAAACATTTGATAAAATTCAACATCCTTTCATGATAAAAACCCTCAACAAATTGGGTATAGAAAGAACACACCTCAAAACAATAAAGGCCATATATGACAAACCCACAGCTGACAGCATACTAAATGGGGAAAAACTGAAAGCCTTTACTCTAAGTTCTGGAGTAAAACAAGGATGCCCAATTGTACCACTTTTATTCAACATAGTACTGGGAGTCCTAGCCAGAGCAGTTAGGGAAGAGAAAGAAATAAAAGACATCCAAGTTAGAAAAAAAGAAGTCAAATTATCCTTGTTTATGACAACATGATCTTATATTTAGAAAAAGCTAAAGACTCCATTAAAAAAAAAACTATTAGAACTGATAAATGATTTCAGTAAAGTTTAGGATACAAAATCAACATACAAAAATCAGTAGCATTTATATACAACAACAGGAAACAATCTGAAAAAGAAATCAAGAAAGCAATCTCACTTACAATAGCTATAAAAAATTTAGGAATAAATTTAACCAAAGAAGTGACAGATCTCTACAATGAAAATTATAAAACACAGATGAAAGAAATTGAAGAGAACATACAAAAATGGAAAGATTCCAAGCTCATGGATTACAAGACATAATATTGTTAAAATGTCCATACTAACCCAAAGTGATCTACAGATTCAATGCAATCCCCATCAAAATACCAATGACATTCTTAAAAGCAAGAGAGAAAAGATCCTAAAATTTGTAAGGAGCCACAAAAGACTGTGAATAGCCAAAGCAACCCTCAGCAAAAAGAACAAAGCAGTACTTCAAAATATACTACAAAACAATAGTTACCAAAACAGCATGATCCTGGCATAAAACCACACACACAGGCCAATGAAACAGAATAGAGAACCCAGAAGTAAATCTACACATTTATAGCCAACTCATTTTGGACAATGATGCCAAAAACATACACTGGGGAAAGGACACTCTCTCCAATAAATGGTGCTGGGAAAACCAGATAGCTATATGCAGAATAAAACCAGACCCCGGGCCGGGCACAGTGGCTCACGCCTGTAATCCCAGCACTTTGGGAGGCCGAGGCGGGCGGATCATGAGGTCAGGAGTTCGAGACCAGCCTGGCTAACATGGTGAAACCCCGTCTCTACTAAAAATACAAAAATTAGCTGGGCGTGGTGGCAAGCGTCTGTAATCCCAGCTACTCGGGAGGCTGAGGCAGGAGAATCGCTTGAACCCGGGAGGCTGAGGTTGCAGTGAGCCGAGATTGCACCACTGCACTCTAGCCTGGCGACAGAGCGAGACTCCATCTCAAAAACAAAAACAAAAAAACAAAAACAAACAGACCCCAACTCTCAGCATATACAAAAATCAAATCAAAATGGATTAAAGACTTAAATGTAAGATCTGAAACTATACAACCACTAGAAGAAAACACTGGGCAATTGCTTCAGGACATTGGTCTGGGCAAAGATTTTTTTGAGTAAGACCTCAAAAGCACAGACAACTAAAGCAAAATAGACAAATGAGATCATATCAAGCTAAAAAGCTTCTGAGAGGAAAGAAAACAACGAGTGAAGAGACAACCTACAGAATGGGAGAAAATATCTGCAAATTCTCCACTCAACAAAGGATTAATAATCAGAATATACAAGGATCTCAAACAACTCAATAGCAAAAAATTCCCATTTAGTCCTAATAATAGTTAACATGTATCAGACCCTATGAGAGAAACACTGTTATATCCTTTACATAGATTTCCTTTTATGTTCAAAACAATCTCACGAAACAGATACTATTATTACTCCCATTTTGCAAGAAACTAAGGTTTAGAGAGGTTAAGTATCTTTCCCCAATTACATAGCTAGTGGAGCCAGGATTCAACCCAGGCAGCCTATCTTAACTCACTCTCTTAACCACTACAAAGGAGGTGGTGACAGATTGGATATTGGGGGTGGGGGTGGGGTGTGAGTAAGCAAAAAAAAGGGTTACCAGATATACTAGGCTTCTGGCTGGTATAACAGATTGTCTTGTATAACAGACAGAAGACTAGGTTTGAGGAGAAAGGGCATGAGTTCTACTTTGGACAAACTGAGGTGGCTTTGAGGAGACCAAGTGGAGGAAAAGCTTCCCAGGGGAATGGTAACTAAATATTGAAATATTAATATATAGATCTGGGGTCAGGCGCGGTAGCTCACGTCTGTAATCTCAACACTTTGGGAGGCCGGGGCAGGTGGATCACTTGAGGTCAGGAGATCGAGACCATCCTGGCTAACATGGTGAAACCCCGTCTCTACTAAAAATACAAAATTAGGGCCGGGCGCGGTGGCTCACGCCTGTAATCCCAGCACTTTGGGAGGCCGAGGCAGGTGGATCACGAGGTCAGGAGATCGAGACCATCCTGGCTAACACGGTGAAACCCCGTCTGTACTAAAAATACAAAAACAAAATTAGCCGGGTGTGGTGGCGGGAGCCTGTAGTCCCAGCTACTCGGGAGGCTGAGGCGGGAGAACGAACGGCGTGAACCAGGGAGGCGGAGCTTGCAGTGAGCGGAGATCGCGCCACTGCACTCCAACCAACGCGACAGAGCGAGACTCCATCTCAAAACAAACAAACAAAAAAACAAAATTAGCCGGGCGTGGTGGCACATGCCTGTAATCCCAGCTACTTGGGAGGCTGAGGCAGGAGAACTGCTTGAACCTGGGAGGCGGAGGTTGCAATGGGCCGAGATCCCGCCATTGCACTCCAGCCTGGGCCACAAGAGTGAAACTCCGACTCAAAGAAAAAAAAGTACATACAGATCTGGATTGGATCTCAGAAGCAAGGTCTTCTGAGCTGTAAATTCACAAGTCATCTGAATATAGATGGTAACTGAAGCCATAGTTTAGGATGAAGAATACAGAATGGAAAATGAAGGATTAGGATGAAACCTGGGACTCCTTCGAGCATTGTCCAGGGAAAGGAGAATAGTCTGAAAGGGAAACAGATGGACCAATAGGAGAAGTAGGAGGAGCTCTGTATCCCAGAAGCCAAAGGGGAAGAATGAAGGAAGAGAATGCTTCAAAAACAAGAGAGTATAACACTCTGGAATGCAGCTAAAAGGTCAGAGAAGACGAAAACTGAAAAGAATCCATTCGATTCAGTGACCATGACAAGATCTATTCGATGAAAGTGGGCTGAGAATTGAGTGGATGGTCACAGAGAGCAGTGTTTTGTTGTTTCTAATGAAATTTACCCATATTTTAAAACCTAATGGGATGGATCCAAAAGATCCTTGATGGCGATTTATTTAATTTTCCACTTTATTTTTATGCTTGGGGTCCATCCCATGTAAGAACAGAAGCCACAGCCCCCAGAACCAACAAAACTAAAGTTATTGACAATTACTTTAAGGCCCAGTGCCAAAGCTTTGGGTCGAAAGGTTTCCAACTGCCATAGGAAAGCAAAGATAAGGAGAAATCCTCTGTAGGAAGCTAGGGAAAGGAGCAGAGAGAAAGAAGCTAAGGTGAGGCCGAGAGAATTCAATCGGAATTCGAGTCCTCCCCCAAAACGCCGCCAGGTGGAAGATGCTCGGGGCCCACCAACCCCTGGAACCTGGCCACGGCCCTGGCAGGGAAAGCAGGAATTGAGGGAGCCCTCCGATGGGGCAGACCCCTTTCCCTCCAACCTACAGCTCAGAAGCTGAAGCCCTCCAACCAGAAGGACCTGGCGTGGGGCCTCCCCAACCCCCCTGCTCGTGGCCGCACCCTAGTCCCATGGCCCGCTGGGCGGGTCCACCCCGGGCCCAGCTGGAAGATGCTGCCCTGAGGCGTGGTGGCGGCGGCAGAGGCCAAGTACTCTAGCTATGGGCACTGGCCAGCTGCTGGGAGCGGAAGCGGCCGCCGAGCCCTCCTGGGCGCTGCCCGCCGCCGCCGGCTCCGGAAACCGGGAAAACCCGGCTGGCCGGCTCGCCCAGCCCTCCGGCCCCCGCCCTCCCAGCGGCAACTCACCATTTTCCTTCCGGCCGTCAGCGGCCTGTCGCCTACACTCGGGCGCCTTTAAGAATGGCACGGCGGCCGCCTCCCTTCCTGCCCCGGCGCCTGGCCCAGTCGCCCCCACCTATCAACGCGGCCTCAGCGGGCCGGCACGTGATGGCGGACGGCAAAAGGCGCGGCTCAAAATTAGACAGAATGCGATCGCCTGATTTTTTTTTTTTTTTTTTTTTTTTTTTTTTTCTTTTCCCTGCTCCCTCTAGAGGAGGACGCTCTGCCTGGCTGCAAGTGAGAAACAAACCCAAGGTGCATACTTAAAAGTCATGCCAGTTCTCCGGACCTTTTTCGCAGTCTTCAAGCTCTGAGAGCATGTTAATGGTGACATCAATGTTTTCAATGGTAAATGTGTGTACTGACCGCAGCCTACCTTCCAAATTTGATCTCCCTCAAATCTAGGCACACCTCCTTTCCTCCCACCCTCTCCAGAACCCCACTTCTGACCACGGCTGCCTTCCAGGACTTGGTTAATCAATCTCTCTCTCTCTCTCTCTCTCTTTCTCTCTCTCTCCCTCCCCCTTTCCCTCTCTCTCTTACACACATTTCTTCTCTCTCACACACACACACATTTCTTCTCTCTTCTCTCACACACACACATTTCTTCTCTCTCTCTCTCGTCTCGCTCTGTTGCCCAGGCTGGAATGCAGTAGCACGATTATAGCTCACAGCAGCCTCAAACTCCTGGGTTCAAGCAATCCTCCTACCTCAGCCTCCCCAGTAGCTGGGACTACAGCCGTGTGCCACCACACACCCGGCTAATTTTTAAATTTTTTTGTAGAGATAGAGTCTCCCTATATTGCCCAAGCTGGTCTTGAACTCCTGGCCACAAACAGTCTTCCTGTGTGCCTCCCAAAGCGCTGGGATCACAGGCGTCAGCCACCATGCCCAGCCTCTTTTCTCCATACAAGTTATTTATTGAAGTATGAATGAATGATGATTGGTGTTTCAATGAGCACTCTTATGGGCCACTGCCTAAGTAAACATCAAGAAGTCTCTGTACCAGATGCAGACTTAGTGGAACAAGTCCAGTTTTGAATGCATGAAGAAAGTGGTTTGGGAGAAGTAAAGTTTAGGCTCTAGGATTCAACAGGTACCTTCAATAAAACAAACTGCCTGGGGCAGTACCTCATTTTGTTATGACCATGGGTTCTTGGTCTCTCAATGCAAATTGACCTGAGGCCAAAAGAGTTTCTCCAGGCAAGGCTTCATTGGAGCTTATGCCGGAGCATAAGGGAGGCAGCATAAGAGAATGAGAGAATTCCCTGACTGACTCTCCTAAAAGAGCACAACAAATTAGGGGTAGTTTATGCAGGTCAGCATTATCTGTTTGCCAGGGTTGTCTTGAGTAATGGGCCACCCAATGGTCTGGTTTGCGGCAACAAGGCTGTGAATCAATTGTTCAACATTCCTCTCCAAGGTGGGACACTCTCAACCTTGGTTATCTCCTAAGGCCAGTCATTGGAATTCTTTAAATAAAAGGACTATTAGCAGTAAGGTAGTGGTGTGGGTTTGTCATGAGTGGAAATGCATGAAAAAAATGCTCTAGTGTGGGTGAGCTGAAGCCAAGCCCCATTTCTACTGTTTTTCATTTCCCCTTATAAGATTTTACCTTCCTTATTCTTAAGGAGAAAGGGCCAAAGATCTTATCTTCTAAAGCTACTTCCTGCTGAACAGGGTTGTCATCCCTGCTTAACCCCGGGGGGCATGGAAATCTCTCACCGACTGTTCTACAGACTTGAAGGGACTTGGAATAGTTGAAGCCTGGAAGACATAAACTTTAACAACTGTACCCCTATTGAATATAACAAATAATTATTTTAAAAGCCAAATAGCACCCAGTGATAACTAATAAAATGCTTAAGCTCAGTTTAATAATGATTGTAGGAAGAGATTAGATGCCATTTGGAATCTAAGTGAATAGTCTCCTGTTGTCTGAAATATAAGGCAACAGACTTTTAATAAGAGGCATTTCTATGGAAACAGAAGAAAAACAAACGTTAATGGTTGGTATAATCTATCCAGATGTTAGACTCAAAGCATCTTTAGTTACAGAGGAGGAAGGCAGTGGCAATGTGACATGTTCTTCTTGCTTGTATCACAAGAAATAAGCTTCAGCTTGCAGGGCCTCAGAAAAAAAGGTAGTAGGAATTCTATTGAGTATAAGTCAGAAAAATGGGAGAAAAATTTGAAAACATTATTTTGGAGACTTGTAGCCCAGAAAGGTTTTAAGATCAAATCCAAATTGTAGAAAATAATATTTTATTTTTATTTATTTTTTGAGACAGAGTCTCACTCTGTCGCCCAGACTGGAGTGCAGTGGCTTGATCTCAGTTCACTGCAGCCTCCACTTCCCATGTTCAAGCGACTCTCATGCCTCAGCCTCCCAAGTAGCTGGGACTACAGGTGTATGCCACCATACCTGTCTAATTTTTTTTGTATTTTTAGTAGAGAAGGGGTTTCACCATGTTGGCCAGGTTGATCTTGAACTCCTGACCTTAGTGATCTGCCCACCTCAGCCTCCCAAAGTGCTGGGATTAGACGCATGAGCCACCACACCCAGCAGAAAATAATATTTTAAAAATACTCAAACACAACAGACAAGACTAGAGTCTACCAGCAGGTGTATTATAATATTTCTCTCTCCAGTCTCTCATTTTTATCAGAGACGAATCAAGGTAGGACCAATTTGTAAAATAAGTTTTAGTTTTATTATACTTGGCCTTATTATGTGTATAAAGTGCAGCAAGAATAATTATCTTTTAAATTGGCTTTGTTGGAACTTTTTCCATAAGGAATCTCAGATGAGACTTTTTAAAGCCTTGAGCAGGCTGGGCTGCAAATACCTGTATAAACTGGGTGAATTCCTCTCCTCTGGACATCCCAGGATAACTTGGAGCTTCTGGGCCTGTTAGAAAGTGACATTCTTGGATGAGTGCAGTGGCTCACACTTGTAATCCCAGCACTTTGGGAGGCCAAGGCGGGCAGATCACTTGAGCCCAGGAATTCGAGACCAGCATGGGCAACATGGTGAAACCCTGTCTCTACAAAAATTACAAAAAAATAGTGGGGCATGGTGGTGTGCACCTGTGGTCCCAGATACTCAGGAGGCTGAAGTGGGAGAATTGCATAAGCCTGGGAGGTGGAGGTTGCAGTGACTGGGTGACAGAGTAAGACCCTGTCTCAAAATAAATAAATATAATAAAAAATAAAAAGAAAGTGACATTCTGTACATACCACAGATTGGGAACTCTGTATAGGGACTGCATAGACTATGAGGCCAGTTTTCCTAAAGGACTCTTATGGGCTCTATAAGTCAACTTTGATTCCCTAGTCTATTTATATTTGAAAGCATGTCATTTCAGTGAAAGCCTTGGTAAAATAACCAGTGTTTCCAATTGTGTTCTGTTATCAAAGAAACAGATTCTTATTGCAATTATGCAAATAATTATGCAAATAACTGTATTGCCATAAGTTAAGAATACTCAGGAATAGTTTCCAAATTCTGGAGAAGTCAGATAGAAAGAAATATGCTCGGGCGTGGTGGCAGGCACCCATAGTCCCAGCTACTGGGGAGGCTGAGGCAGGAGAATGGTGTGAACCTGGGAGGTGGGGCTTGCAGTGAGCAGAGATTGTGCCACTGCACTCCAGCCTGGGTGACAGAGCGATACTCCATCTCAAAAAAAAAAAAAAAAAAAGAAATATGCTTCAATTTTTGTTCACAGGATTATACCTTACTCAATTGTTAAAAGCCGTAAAAAGCTCAAAAGAAAAAAAAAGTTTTCTTGACTCCAAAAATCAAAAGGATCAGCAACAGTTCAAGCAAAAAGTCATAAAATGATTGTTTTAATCTTTTATTAGTTCAGTCCACGTAATTAACTTCTGCTCTTGATATTTGACACCTTAGCTCTCCAAGAGAGCCCTGGAAGTTTTTCCCTCTATTCTAATGACCCACTCTCCAAAGTGATCAGAGAACTATATTTAAGAGTATCCAGTCTTATAGCTGATTATAAACTGCCTTTTGAAAAGGATCAAAACAAAATAACAGACCAAGTGAGGTGGCTCAAGCCTGTAGTTCCAGCACTTTGGGAGGCCAAGACCAGAAGAAAGAATTCGACTGAGGGGCAGAGACAGAAGTAGAAACCGAGGCAAGTTTCAGAGCAGGAGTGAAATTTTATTAAAAAGCTTTAGAACAGTGAGGAAAGAAAAGAAAAGAAGGTAGGTACAACTTGGAAGAAGGCCAAGCAGTGTTCAACCTTGATCCTAGGGCCTTTACAGGCTGGCTCCTTTCCCACGATTCTTCCCTTAGGGTGGGCTGCCTACACCCACAGTGTCCCCCTTACCCCTGGGAAGTGCGCACACACGGTTTGCTTAGGATGTTGTGTACATGCCCATCTGAGGCTTTCTTCCCTTTTCCGGGGGAGTCCCCCCTCCTCCCAAAGTAATACTCTTAACATTTTGTCTCTTTTTTTTTTTTTTTTTTTGAGATGGAGTCTGGCTCTGTCGCCAGGCAGAAGTGCAGTGGCGCCATCTCAGGTCACTGCAACCTCCGACTGCCTGGTTCAAATGATTCTTCTGCCTCAGCCTCCCGAGTAGCTGGGATTACAGGCGTGAGCTACCGTGCCTGGCCGCCATTCTGTCTCTTAATGGGCGTGCCTAGGAAGTTGTTTCTCCCTGGCACCCGCATTCGGTTAACACTTTAGTGGAACAGGTGGGGACCATTAGGAAATAGTCTCTCCCTGGCATCAGCTCCCAATTTATCACTTTTAAGAGGCAATGTGATAATTGTCAAACCATCACTCCAAGTTCCTAGTGGGTGGGGGAGAGCCCTCTCCTGCCCCACCCATGCCTGTCTAACTACCTGTAGCGAGAGGAGTTCATGACTTTAAACATCTAGTAAAGACAGTATCATGACTTTAAAGCATCTAGTAAAGACAGTATCTGACCTGCCTAATTTAGATCAAATACCTAAATTTTGAAGATGTTTTATTAATAATTTGTAAAACTGTACCAAAGATTACTAAAATAATGTGGACTAAAATCCATTAAAGCTTTTTTTTGACCAAATATTTTATTTAAGCACTGAATTTTCTTCAAGCCAATTGATGAGAGCTCTTTTATATAAACATTACACACACTGCATATAAGCACAGACACAGACAGGCAGAAGCAGGTCTGGTAGGGTTATACATTTTTCATTTGCCAGGTAAGTTTTTCTTTCCCATTTTAGACTATCAGTGTCTTGATTACCTGTTTTCTGCCTTAAACAGTTGTCAGCTAGGCAACTCTAAATTTGCATTTTTCAAAAGACAACTCAGGTAAACAAGATACAGAATTCACATTTTACTCAAACCAAGAAAAAATGGCCTGACTAAAAGTTAAGATGGCCAGGAAAAGCAGACATTCTTACACATCAAGATTTCCTTAAAGATGTAAATTTTTAAAGTTGGATTACTGGATTTAGAGTGGAGCCTTTTAAGGAACAGGGCCCAGAAAGCATGCAGTTTCTAAGACCTAATAGGTCTTAGACCTATTAGGGCACAGATGAAAGGCAGAACAGAACCCCAGAAGCCAAGGAGCTCATTTTTATACCAAATTTTAGGTTCTCAAAAAGAAGAAACCACTACAGGATGCGACAGTGTAATGCTTTCACAATGTATTTCATTGTTTTTTGTTTTGTTTTGTTTTGTTTTGTTTGTTTGTTTGTTTTGAGACAAAATCTCCCTCTGTTGCCCAGGCTGGAGTGCAGCGGCGCAGTCTTGGCTCACTGCAACCTCCACCTCCCAGGTTCAAGTGGTTCTCCTGCCTCAGCCTCCCTAGTAACTGGGATTACAGGCTCATGCCACCATGCTCGGCTAATTTTTTTGTATTTTTAGTAGAGGCGGGGTTTCACCATGTTGGCTAGGCTGGTCAACTCCTGACCTCAAGTGATCCGCCCACCTCGGCCTCCCAAAGTGTTGGGATTACAGGCCTGAGCCACCGTGCCCGGCCCACAGTGTATTTCATTGTAAGGACATTTTCTGAAGCTGCTGGATAACCAAATGCCTATCAGCGAGCTCTGTAATCAGCCCATCTCACATTTCATACTTTCCAGGTGCACAAGAGCCTGTTTTTCTCATCTAAATGTGCAAAGAAAGGAGTATTACCTTGTAATAATAACTGTTCACTGTAAGCAACTGTCATTAGCCATCCCTAAAAGTGTATTTCCTACCTAGCTATTACATACAAAAGCTAAAAGTTTTCTCACAAAGCAAAATAATTTTTGATGTCCCCAAAAGTAAAACAGGTCAGGTAACACAATGCAAAACAGAGCAAAGCCTTCGATTTTAAAAGGAAACTGTCTGCTTACAATTCTTGGGGTTCCACGAGGACAACAAAATTTTCTCCCAAAACAGGGTCGGTGGCACCTCCCATGTTTCTCCCAAGAAGTCCCAGGCTGTCAGAAATTACCTTAGGTCATCTCTTGTGGACGTACAGGGTGGCAAGAAGACAGAAGTAAATGGAGAAATGATTCAGTCAACTGAGAAGGAAAAAAACACTTTTTTTCCCCCAAAAAACAAGACCTAAGAAGAGAAAAAAGCCTAAAAGCCTTATAAAATTAGTTGACTTTTAACCATAGAACTCTTAAAAACAAAACAAAACAAAAAACTTGGCTAGATGTGGTGGCTGATGCCTGTAATCCCAGCACTTTGGGAAGCCCAGGCGGGCAGATCACTTGAGCCCAGGAGTTGGAGACCAGCCTGGCCAACATGGTAACACCCTGTCTCTACTAAAAATACAAAAATTAGCTGGACATGGTGGCATGCACCTTTAGTCCCAGCTACTTAGGAAAATGAGGCAGAAGAATCACTTGAACCTTGGAGGCTTAGGTTGCAGTGAGCCGAGATCATGCCATTGCACTCCGGCCTGGGTGACAGAGTGAGACTCTGTCTCAAAAAAAAAAAAAAAAAAAGCCAGAGGTGTCAGCTGTTTGTCCCAGATAACAAAAGATTTTAAAATATAAGTATACTTTTTGAGAAGGAGTCTCTCACTCTGTTGCCCAGGCTGGAGTGCAGTGGCGTGATCTTGGTTCACTGCAATCTCTGCCTCCTGGGCTCAAGCGATTCTCCTGCCTCAGTTTCTGAGTAGCTGGGATTATAGGTGCACGTCACCACGCCCAGCTAAGTTTTTGTATTTTTGTAGAGATGGGGTTTCGCCATGTTGGTCAGGCTGGTCTGGAACTCCTGGCCTCAAGTGATCCACCCACCTCGGCCTCCCAAAGTGCTGGGATTACAGGCATGAGCCACCATGCCCGGTCACCTCTGTCTTTTAAACCTTTCATATATATGTATATGTCCCCCACCCCCTACTCCCCCTTCTCCAGTCCCTGCAAAGGTATTTTCCCTAGTGAAACCAATAAGCCTTAACTAAAGCTATGACTTAACCACGAGTGTATGAGGTGTCTTCAAAGAGATGTCAAGTGGTTTTTACATGATTTAGAATCTCCCCAAAGGTAGCTTAGAGAAAGGAAAATTCAAGACAGAAAGTCAGAAGTTGTTTATGGAGGGGAAAAGAATCAATAAATAGCAAAGATCACACAAATAACAAACCAGAAAAGATTAATTCCCTGGGAATATGAACCCAGGCAGCCCCTAGTGAAGGGGGAAAGCCCTAGCTACTGAGCTAACGCATGGGGTTGTTACCATGCTCTTCTCTGAAGGAGACTAGAGCAGTCATTTTCAAGCCTACACAGGATTTTAACTGCTTGACACAATTTTTTTTTTTTTTTTTTTTTTTTTTTTTGGGAGAGAGTCTTGCTCTGTCCCCCAGGCTAGAGTCCAGTGGTGCGATCTTGGCTCACTGCAAGCTCCGCCTCCTGGGTTCACGCCATTTTCGCCTCAGCCTCAGCCTCCCAAGTAGTTGGGACTACAGGCGCCCGCCACCACGCCCAGCTAATATTTTTGTATTTTTTAGTAGAGACGGGGTTTCACCGTGTTAGTCAGGATGGTCTCAATCTCCTGACCTCATGATCCGTCCCCCTCGGCCTTCCAAAGTGCTAGGATTACAGGCACAAGCCACCACGCCTGGCCACTGCTTGACATGATTTTTAAGGCTAATCATGACATTATTATACATTCTTCTTTTAATTTAAATCTTTTTGAAAAATTGTTAAGAATACGCGATCTCTAAAGTTCTTTTTCTCTTAATGGTGTACTCAGTTCTGATAGACACTCAATTCAAAAGCCTTTTAGAGCCCAGATGGTAATCTTTCAGGTTTTGTTTTTTTTTTTTTTTTAACTATATAAGCTAAAGGTATTTCTAGAGAGATGGTAAAGGAGGCATCTTCATGGTCCCCAAGAATTAACTCTCAGAAATGAGCTTAAAATAGCAAAAGATGACAAAAGCCCCATAGGGATGGGACATCTTAAGACAAAACTCACCCCAGGCCTTGACACCTTCGGACCAAGAGTGTGCTGACTCATCTCAACCTCCTGGTCCTTTCAGACTGGCCTCCTGATATGAACCTGATAATTCCTGCCCTCTGGATGGAAGAGACCACGAGAGAGTATCCCCATATGGTAACAAGGTCATGCTCCTAAGGACATAAAACAAGATGAGAGGGAAACCTCATCCACTTTTTGTTCAGGGATCCACAGCAAAGTTTGTAACTAACCAGTTTGCCAGGCTGCTGAAAGCAGCAGGCTTTTATAAGTCCTAAGCCTGCGTTCTATCCTGTGGTATGCTTCTCCTTGATAGAATTACATAGAAAGACAAATTCACAGCTCAAAGTACACCAGATTCACTACAATCTAAAACTTGTCACACAAATCCCTGTTCCCATTAATTAAAACCTTGCAGAGGAGACAAACAATGATTTTCACTATTCACTTAACTGGTTTGCACAGAGAGAGGGAGGCCAGAAGCCTGGCTAGTAAGTAATCCTTACCCTTTTACAGGCATGCCAGAGGTTTGGGTTATCTTTCTCTGAATGGCTCAGGTGACCCTGCTCTCTGTGCCATACCTGTGGGGGCCAAGATGCCTACAAAAGAAAATCATCTTTTCTGTTTTATGGAACCATAGGCGAAAGCCTCTCAAATTTAAATTTATGAAGTTAAGTTTACTTATCTCTATAGTTGCAGGTTAACCATTTGAACTCTGAACTTTTCCTGTTATGCAGAGAACCAATACTGGCAGTCGCACCCAGGCATCCCTGGTGCCTTCCTGAAGACTAGATGGGCGTCCCCAGCACTGTGTCTCAGGCAGTCTCCCCAAACCGACAGGACTATACATTTGTACAGACAGAAACTCTAAAAGATTACAGGCCTAGGGAAGTGACATAATGAGGGGTTTCAAATAGTTACAGGATCAAAGTTCAGGGTGCCAGAGAGGGAGAGAGGAAAAGAGAGAGAGAGAATTTTTTTCTTGGGATTTGAGCCAACAACAACTTAGGCCAGGGAGGGATGTGACCTGTCCCAATGCCGGCTGAGTTAATCAGACCTGGATAGTCAACTGTTTTCATCCTTCCTGCATGGGTGGCTATTCAGGTGACCCAGACCAGTAAACTAGGGAGGCTGTTTCAACCCGTCCCTCATAGATGTCTATTCAAGCAACCCAAACCAGTAAGGATTAGGAGAGGAGAGGCAAAGCGCCCTGAGTGACAGAAAAGATAGGAAGAGGAAAGGAGACAGAGGGAGGAAAGGGAAGGGAGAAAGGCATCGTCTGTGTGGGGAAGGTGAGGAGTTCCAGGAGGCTGGAGAAAGACTCACCCATTGCGGTGACACTGAATCAAAACTTCAGGCAGCTGCTTGTCAGCCATAAAGGGATCTTTTCCAGCAGTCCCGTCACCTCACAAGTCACCCTCTCAGATAGAGAAAGGCTCTCCACGTCCTGTGATCTTGGATGAGTCCCCAAAGAATATGTTACTGACCACGAGTTTTGGGGCTCTCAATGCAGTAGGAATTGACATGAGGCCAAAATAGTTTCCCCAGACAAGGCTTCATTGGAGTTTATGTCCAGGCATAATGGAGGCAGCACGAGACAGACAGAGAATTCCCTGACTCAACCTCTGAAAAGAGCTGGTGGGGCTTTTTTATTAGGCAATATTAAATACATTTATATAGCCTATCTCCAATTAATTTGCCTTTTGTCAGTTGATTTTTCAGCAAAACTTCAGAGGGCAAAGGGGAAGTTTCCTCTTGGCTCAAACACCCTTTTCCTTCTGTTTTTGTTTTTTTTTTAATGTTTTCCAGGCCAGGCACGGTGGCTCACACCTGTAATCCCAGCACTTTGGGAGGCCGAGGCAGGCGGATCACGAGGTCAGGAGATCAAGACCATCCTGGCTAACACGGTGAAACCCCATCTCTACTAAAAATACAAAAAATTAGCCAGGCGCAGTGGCAGGTGCCTGTAGTCTCCGCTACTGTGGAGACTAAGGCAGGAAAATGGCATGAACCCGGGAGGCGGAGCTTGCAGTGAGCCGAGATTGCGCCACTGCACTCCAGCCTGGGGGACAGAGCAAGACTCCGTCTCAAAAAAAAAACAGAAGTTTTCCAAACAGTATAAGCTATAAAATGGCTGGTCTCATACAGACCCAAAACAGGCTGCAGAGACTGATGTATTCACAATGAGGCCAAATTGATGAAAATGTGATTTAGTATATGAGAGGAGTGAAATGAATATAGACTATTTGCACTCAGTCTATAGAATATATTTAATCAGAAAAACATATTTTTATTTACAATGAGGTTTGGGAATGCCATTCTGGCTTGGGTTATTGTAGGGTAAGGAGCAAGTTCCAGAATGTTTTCCAGCACTTTTCTGCCATGGAAATAGCCCTAGCTCACCTCTGTAACAAACACAAGAATCCATCAGTATTAAGCCATGTCGAGTTCACCAAAATGTGCTTTATCTCACGAAAAGATTTGACGTAAGACAAGATCAGGGTAGAAAGAAAAGGAGTATTCTAATTAAAAACTGGGGAAAGATCAGAATTAGATTAATCATTTCCGGCTTGAACTTTTCTAAGTTCTTCATTCTCTGAATTAGCAGCCTTGCTGGTATGTTTGTATTGTCAACCTAAAATAATGTAAAAGATCAGGATCCAGTTAAGAGTTTATTCGAGTGCAAGGTATGAGGGTAACAGACTGTCCATGGGCACACAGACACCGAAGAATGGTGAGTAGTTCTCCTATGTGGGGAAAGTGAAGATTGTTTGCCTAGGCAAAAATTGACATGCTGAACAGAATTATAACATGTTCCATAAAAAGGGTAACATACAGACATAAGATTTGATTGGCTACTACTGATTACTCTCTAAAGGGGTTCCTTCACATTCTATTGGAAAGAGGTAAAAATCACAAAGGTGTCTATCTCCAACGTCATTTAGTCTAGGTTTGAATGAAGAATAGGGATTCTGGTCAATGTATAACAACTCAACACAAAGGTCAGGAAGCAACAGTCACGCACTAAAGAAGAAAAACAGCTGTGTTATGTGACTCAGTTTCCAGGGCTGAGCTTTTCTTTTTGGCATAATAAATTTGGAAAGTCCTGAAATTTTATTTTCTTTTCACAATTTTCTTTACATATTCCCACACATTCATTAGTTCAACAAATAGTTTTTTTGTTTTGTTTTGTTTTGCTTTGTTTTGTTTTTGTTTTGTTTTGAGACAAGGTCTGGCTTTGTTGCCCAGGCTGGAGTGCAGTGGCGTGATCTCAGCTCACTGCAACCTTCGCCTCCTAGACTCAAGTGATCCTCCCACCTCAGCCTCCTGAGTAGCTGAGATTATAGGCATATGCCACCACTCCCAGCTAATTTTTTTGTATTTTTAGTAGAGACAGGGTTTCACCATGTTGCTCAGGCTGGTCTCGAACTTGTGAGCCCAAGTGATCCACCTGCCTTGGCCTCCCAAAGTGCTGGGATTGCAGGCATGAGCCACCGTGCCCAGCCAACAAATAGTTTTTGAGGGCCTATTATGTATCCTTCCTGGATGCTAAGGTCCAAAGCCCTTTTCTCCTGGAAGTAACATTCTAGTGGAAATGAGGAAGTGACAGACAAGAGCGTAGTAAGCAATATTGTATGTTAGAAGGTGATTAGTGCTATGGGAGAAAAAATAGGAAAAGGGAGGTTGGGAGTGCAAAGAAGGAGGGATTTGCTATTTTAAATAGGATAGTTGTAGTCCTCACCAGGAAGGTCATGTCTGAGCAAATATTTGAAACTGAGAATAAAAAAGGGGGGACTGGGTGCGATGGCTCATGCCTGTAATCCCAGCACTTAGGGAGGCCAAGGCAGCAGGATCCCTTGAGTCCAGGTGTTTGAGATCAGCCTGGGCAACATTGTTAGACTCTGTCTCTACAAAAAAAACGAACAAAATTATCTCAGCATGGTGGTGTGTGGCTGTAGTTCCAGCTACTCAGAAGGCTGAGGTGGGAGGACTGCTTGACCCCAGGAGGTCGAGGCTGCTTGCAGTAAGCCAAGACTGTGCCACTGCACTCCAGCCTGAGTGACAGAGAAAGACCATGTCTCGAAAAAAAAAAAAAAAAAAAAGAGAGAGAGAGAGATTTTGAAACTGTGGGAATTAGCCATGTGGATATCTGGAGGAACATCCTATGCAGAGGGAACTGCACTGCCAAGGCCATAAGACAGAAGCGTGTATGTTGTTTTAGGGAACAAGAAGATAGTCAAATGACTGGAGCAGAATGAGCTGGGGGTGAGTTGTAGGAGGACATGAGGTCATATTGGGATTGGAGGGCTGGATCACGTAGAGCCTCCTTAAGTGATCACAAGGACTTTGTCCACCCTAGGGTTATGGGGATGGCTGAACACACCCCACCTGACACTGGACAGGTGAGATCAACAGCAGTTTATTGGTCTTATATACTTCCAGCAAAGGGGAAGAGGACACAGCATGGCCCAAGGGTGCTGCACTTGGGAACGGAATGAACAATCAGGAGCTGTGGAACCAGGCTTTGTAGTGAGTGGGATACTCAAGAGGGTGGGATACTCCAAAGGAGTTCAGGGAATGCCACCCCCAAATATGATGCTTTGGTATGCAGATTACTTTGAACTGAGGACACGTGGGGAACAAGAGTTGCAGGCAGAGGCTTTCTCGAAGCATCCTCCAATCTGCCTGAAGATGAATCCTCCAAAAGGAATTCGATTGTCAAGAATCCCCTTTCTGGGAATCTTATTAACCATATCAACCAGGGAAGATGAACTTGGATTGCAGTGGAGGAGACTAGAGGTTGACCCATGCCCAGACAGACTATCACCTATGTTTTTGAAGGCTGCTTTAAGACAACTTTTTTTACCCAAGGGACTTTTTATCTGTATAACAAGACAACATTTATTCAGCAAAATTTCCTCTCCTCGCTTTTCCATAACTTATATCATTATCACCCCTCAGAAGCCCCGAGTCACTGTTCCTTTCTGTAGCTCAGGATGCTATATAAGCTTCAATCATCTGACTCTTCTTCGAGTCTCATATTTTGTGGGATTCTCATGCGTACATCCATTATTAATTATGGCTTTTCTCTTGTTAATCTGTTGCATGTCAATTTAATTTGAGGCCAGCCAAAGAACCTAGAAGGGTAAAGGGAAGCTATTTTTCCCTCCTCTACAGCTCTTTGGTTCCTGCAGTAGGAAGTGATGGGCTTGTTTAAATAATCCTGTGGGCTGGCAGGGAACTGAAACCCACTACTCAGGGATAAGCAGACACCGTGCCTGGTACTCCTGATAAGGAGGGCTGTTTGGCTAGGGGACTTTATCCATGGGAGCGGAGTGGAGAAAGGAACTTGAGGTTAAGCCTTTCCCAATTTCACCAGATGTCAAGACAGCACATAATATTAGATCCTAACTTCAGGGCTTGCACCACAGGAAGTCAAAACTTGTAGAATGACTAGAATGACACCCAAATTTTCTAGTTCTTTTTTTTCTCCTTTACTGTCTGACTCTGACCTAAGCAGGCTGAATCAAAGAAGCTGACTCAGAAAGCAAAGTAGAGACTTTGAAAACTGAGCTGCCCTTCTGTATCTTGATTGTGATTACAGTTACATGACCTCTATACATCTGTGAAAACTCATAGATCTGTACACTAAACATGGTGAACATTACTGTATATAAATAAAAAATTAAATTAAATTTTAAATAAGTTTTTTTCTTTCTTTTTTTCTTTTTTTTTTTTTTTTTTAGACGGAGTCTTGCTCTGTCACCCAGGCTGGAGTGCAGTGATGCGATCTCAGTTCACTGCAACCTCTACCTCCCGGGTTCAAATGATTCTCCTGCCTCAGCCTGCTGAGTAGCTGGGATCACAGGCACACACCACCATTCCCGGATAATTTTTGTATTTTTAGTAGAGACGGGGTTTCACCATATTGTCCTGGCTGGTCTCGAACTCCTGACCTCGTGATCTGCCCACCTCGGCCTCCCAAAGGGCTGTGATTACAGGCATGAGCCACTATGCCCGGCCTTAAATAAGTATTTTTTAAAAAGAAAAAGACTAGACTGTGGAGAGCAGAGACAGAAGAAGGACACTATTCAGGAGGCTACTGTGGTAACCCCGGAAAAGACATGGCCTGGACCAAGGTGGAAACAGTGATTTGGTGCGAAGTGCCCAGGGCCAATAGAATTTTCTGTACCAGGGTTTCTCAACCTCAGCAATATTGACATTGGATAATTGGATACATTTTTTGTTGTGAGTAGGCTGCACTGTGCATTGTAGGATGTTTAGCAGCATTCCTGGCCTCTACCCACTAGAGGCCAGTAGCAACTTCCTAGTTGTGACAAACAAAAATGTCTCCAGACATTGCCAAATGTTGAAGTGGTAGGGAGGAACACTCCGAGTTGAGAATCACTGTTCTAGATGAATGTCCTAAGCTTTGGGCCACAGACTAAATACCACATTAATCATCAGTGTCAGCTCAGTTGGAGCAGGCTTCAGGTAGCCTCCTACCACTTAGTATGTACAGACAACAGAAGCCCAGCATCTGAAACCATGAGAGTTTCAGGAACTTGGAAGTTCAATGGGCTATAAAGAGTTAAGCTGTTAGGTTCTGCCAAACTACTATAAGATTTTTCACAATTCCTGTTATCTATGATGTCATATCAAAATTGCACATTCAGTTCCATTTGCCAGTTTCTCATGTTTGAAACTCAAATTTAGGACCCTTATTATTTATATTCCTACCTATTTATATTTCCAAATTGAGATCTGACCTTCTGACCTTCCAGGAAAGAATGTGGACTATAGAAAGACAATATGAATGAAAGGGTTGGCAGCTCCAAGGCAAATAACATAAGGGAGATTATAACTTTCAAAAACATGTTAATATTTTTGCATTTCTTGGCCAGGCTCGGTGGCTCACACCTTTAATCCCAGCACTTTGGGAGGCCAAGGCGAATGGATCACCTGAGGTCAGGAGTTTGAGACCAGCCTGGCCAACATGGTGAAACTCCACCTCAACTAAAAATACAAAAATTAGCTGAACGTGGTAGCTTGCACCTGTAGTCCCAGCTACTTGGGAGGCTGAGGAAGGAGAATCGCTTGAACCTGGGAGGCGGAGGTTGTGGTGAGCCAAGATCATACCACTGCACTCCAGCCTGGGTGACAGAGTGAGACTCCGTCTCAAAATATATATATATATTTTTTGCATTTCTCTTATGGGACCTTCTCCTTGGTCAGTCAGAAGCATCTATCAGCATCAAAGGATAAATAGAACTGTGATGTCAGAAATTAAAAAGAAAAAGCTAGGCTGGGTGCGGTGGTTCGTGACTGTAATCCCAGCACTTTGGGAGACCGGGGCGGGCAGATCACAAGGTTAGGAGATCGAGACCAGCCTGGTCAATATGGTGAAACCCCGTCTCCACTAAAAATACAAAAATTATCTGGATGTGGTGGTGGGCACCTGTAATCCCAGCTACTTGGGAGGCTGAGGGAGGAGAATCACTTGAACCCAGGAGGCAGAGGTTGCAGTGAGCTGAGATCATGCCACTGCACTCCAGCCTGGGCGACAGAGCAAGACTCTGTCTCAAAAAAAAAAAAAAAAAAAAAAGCAGCTTTTGACTTCTAAAATAAGATGTTTGAATCTCAAGAAACACAGTCATCTTGAAAAAGCCTGACACTACCAAGAAATAAAGGCTTTATAAACTTTTAAAGTTCAGTTAACATTTCAAAATCAAGACCTTGGCAACAGTAAGAGTGGTATTTAATGTATGCCATACGGCAGGGAAAGTGAGGCTATGACATAAGGAAAGTACCTGCCAAGTAGGAGGGTAGGAAAGTCTTCTGCTTGTGATCTGCTGGAGTGTGGAGAGGAGAAAGGGCTAGAGCAGGTGCAGCATCATATCCACCCGTTCTGGCTTCCGCCTTGTTCCGTGAAAAGGCCATAAAAAGCTGAAGGAGCAGAGAAACCAAAGAAGGAGGCAGACAAATCCAGTTTGTTGGTTTTATGTGATTTATTAGGGAAACTTACAGACAGAAATGTTGTCTTGGGCAGCCGCAAGACAATTAGATCTTCGCACTACAACACCCCAGACCCAGGGCTTATATCTTGGGAAAAGAGCATATGTGCTCTGGAAGGAATGTGTAGGTGGCTATGGGTGTCAGAGGAGAGCCTATGATTTCTGTAACAACAAGGGTTGTTTTGGAGGAAACTTAAAATGAATAGATGTTCCTGTTAGAGAAACCCCTGCTTTTCAGGCCTCTGGTTTAATAATGCATGAACAGAGGGACTCCATCTTGAGTGAGTAACTAAGCACTCACAAGGCTTATAAGGTTAATACTTCTGGTCGAAAATAGTCACATCTCAAGCTGACCACCACTTATAAATGCAGAGTATTTATAACCATACAGAGCATCTCCCACCAAGCCTTCAGAATGCCCAGATGTCCTAAGAGTGCAGCCCACTTTGCTTAAAGATACCATTAACTAAGAGGCTTGGGTTGAAGGATTGATTAATGGTCACCTGTAACACCAATAGCCCCTACCTTTAGTGAGCACATCTGCATGTTCCAAGTTTAATATTGCTCCTTTTAGTTTCTTATAAGTATAGAGGCACTAAAAAAGAATGGAATGTTCCTTCTCCTGCTGAAGACTCCTACTTTGTAACAGAGTAGTTTCCAATAAACTTGCTTATTTCACTGTTCTCTCTGACTCGCCTCAAAATCTTTCCTACACGAGATCCAAGAACCTGCTCTTAGGGTCTGCATCGGGACCATCTTTTCCAGCGATGTTTCTACATAAAGAGTAAGTAATCCCAGCACTTTGAGAGGCAGTGGCAGGAGAATCACTTGAGCTCAGAATGTTGAGGCTGCAGTGAGCTGTGATCATGCCACTGTATTCCAGCCTGGGTGAAAGAGCAAGACCCTGTCTCAAAAATTAAAATAAAATAAAGACAGTTTTGTCCCCACATCCCTCCAGGCTGGAATCTCAGGGAAGCAGGTGGTTGTAGCGGAAGCACCCAAATAGGTGGGGTATTGGGGCTGGGTGCAGTGGCTCACGCCTGTAATCCCAGCACTTTGGGAGGCCAAGGCGGGCAGATCACTGAGGTCAGTAGTTTAAGACTAGCCTGGTCAATGTGGTGAAACCCCGTTTCTACTAAAAATACAAAAATTAGCCAGGCATGATGGCGGGTGCCTGTAGTCCCAGCTACTCGGGAGGCTGAGGCAGGAGAATCTCTTGAACCCAGAAGGTGGAGGTTGCAGTGAGCCAAGATTGCTCCACTGCACGCCAGCCTGGGCGACAGAATGAGACTCTGTCTCCAAAAAAAAAAAAAAAAAAAAATTAAAAAACAAATAGGTGGGGTACTGGAGAAACTGAAGAGATCGGAGCTGGTAGTCCACTTTCCCTCTAGGAAAGGAGGAGAGGCCTTACATTTGGCTTGCTTCACACCACCTTCACCATGGTGCTAGAGCAATGGCATTCAGTGGCAGAGGTAGCCTGATTGGGCATCCTGAGATAACTGCTGCTTCTCAGTAGCCTGCATGTGACATATGTGAGAATCTACATGTTTACATATTGCCCCAGTAAGTAACATTGGAGATGGTAAGCAGTCTGGTGAGCTAGTGGAGCTAAGGAGCCATAGCTTATGAGGGTTTTACAACCAGAGGTAAATGGCTGGAACCCTGGATCTCCGCAGTGAGGGCTGGCCTGGTACCACAAAAAGCCAGATGAAACCCGCTTCCCCTTAGTGAGGACCTACAGGTGTCATGCAGAGCTGAGGTCTCATTTTCCTGACCTCCACCATCAGGTCATATGAACACCTTGTACAATCAGATACTGTCTTGGGAAGAATCAAGAGAAGAGAGAGGAGAGACTAAACATTTTCCTAAAGGAGACCAGCTTCCTAAAAGGTGCAATTAAACTTGAAGAGTCTAAGATACTTTTTTTTTTTTTTTTTTTTTGCCGGAATCTTATTCTGTCGCCCAGGCTGGAGTGCAGTGACACAATTTCAGCCCACTGCAACCTCCACCTCCCGGGTTCAAGCAATTCTCCTGCCTCAGCCTCCTGAGTAGCTGGGATTACAGGTGCCCGCCATCATGCTGGGCTAATTTTTGTATTTTTAGTAGAGATGGGGTTTTGCCATGTTGGCCAGGCTGGTCTCAAACTCCTGACCTCAGTTATCTGCCCACCTCAGCCTCTCAAAGTGCTGGGATTACAGACGTGAGCCACCATGCCCGGCCTAAGATACTTTTTATTGATAAATTTAAGCTCACATTGTCTTCTCTTTTTACCCCGTCTAATAGTAGGGTGGGGCTTCTTTCTTTTTCTTCTTTTTTGAGACAGGTTCTTGCTTTGCTTTTTTTTTTTTTTTTTTTGAGACAGCGTCTTGCTGTGTCACCCAGGCTGGAGTGTAGCGGCACAATCGTGGCTCACTGCAGCCTCAACCTCCCTTGCTCAAGCAATCCTTCTGCCTCGCCCAGTTAATTTTTTAATTTTTTGTAGAGACAGGGTCCCACTATGTCGCTGACGCTGGTCTCAATTCCTGGGCTCAAGCCATCTCCCTGCCTTGGTCTCCCAAAGTGCTGGCCTTGGTCTTCCAAAGTGCTGGCATTACAGGCATGAGCCACCATGCTGGGTCTAGGGTGGGGTTTCAAGCTAAACTAGATCAGTTATAGATAATAAAGAACAGTCATTCTTCCTGTTCATCTGAGAGTCAAACTTTTTTTTAAAAAACTCTAATATAGATACTTTGTGCTTCCAAGTAATCTCATGGAGAAAAGCTTATTTCATTTATTTATTAATTCAGTAATATGACTACCCGACATATACTAGGTACCGGTGGCACAAACATCAATTATGTGTCATTCCTGTGCTCAGAGAGCTGGGTTCCTAGCAGGCTAAATACACTAGTGAGCAGGTGCTCACACCAGAAATAAGAGGGCTCCCATACAGTTACATACTGGGTGCTTTGGGAGAGGCATCTCCCCAAGGGTTTGGAAGCATCCAGGAAGGCTTGCTGGAGAAGGGAGCCTTTCAGATTGGCCAATATTTTTGTTAAGTGACAATATCAAATGATGGCAAAACTGTGGATGAAAAACTGGGAATACAAATTGGTACATTTCTGGAGAGCAGTGTTTTTACAAAATCTTTAAAATGTACATTTTTTAAAACCATAGTTCCACCTCTAGTAATTTATCCTAAGGAAATACTTTAGCTGTAGGGATGTTCATTGCAGTGTTATTTATAGCAATGAAAAATTCTCCAACAGTTGAGGGCTGATTAAAGTATATATTTTCACAAATCAGATATATAGTAATTAAAAATTGTGTTGTAGAAGCAAGCTTCTCAAACAGTGCTGCTCCAGAGACTACGTGCTCATTTGCCAAGGAATATGTGAGGCCATAGGACAAACTTAGTTCATCTTTCTCAACACGAATTTTACTGGTGATTTAGGAGTGTGACAGAGGCTACTAGTTAACTATCCCAATGTCCATTCTCTTTCCTCCTCAGTAACAAAACTCTTGATTTGTACCAGGGTGTGTTGCTGCTCACGAATAATAAGACTACATATCCCCATTCTCTGATGTGGCTAGATGTGGCTTTAGGAGTAAATGCAAACCAACGAGGTGTCAATGAACTGTTATGAAAGACTTTCAGGGAGGCCACCTTGATGGAGCTGACTCACAGGGTTGAGACAAGGGAGTGACCATTTAGCTACTTTCAGTAATTTTTAAAAAGCTTCTGTGTGATTTAAAAAGTTTTTTAAAAATTATTCTTAAAGTGGAAACAAATACAGTTTCAAATGTTTGGCTAATTCTAATTTGAGGAGTACAAGAAGAGGAGAAAAGGAGGGGGATGTGGGAGGAAGCGGATGCTTTATTTCTAAGAGAATCTTGGATAAGCAATGCTGATTTTCCTCTATGATTAAGTCCAATCTGAAAAGGCTGACAAGTCTCGTATAAATTGCTTGTGGTAGAGACTCCTTTTTTTGTGTTTTCACTGTGCTTATGGTTATTTCATTTTGTAGAATCCAAGATGCCCGCCCTCCTCCTCCTCCTCCTCCACCCTCTCCCAAATTTGCCTAAGATATAATAGGCAGGGTTTCAGGATTTAGAAACGATGCACGTAGATTTCAGACTGCGCCTCTCTCTGACATCAGAAAACCTACATTGCCTAAGGCTGGCACAGAGTTGGCCCCAAAGTCTACTTAGAATTTGCCGGCGGAACAGCAATGACCACTGGGCCACAGCGCTTAAGACGCCCGCTGGGTACCAATCCTGGGAGTCGGGGGCGGTGCGAGTCGGGCCCCCCCCATCCCAGGTCTGCGTAGCCAATAGCTCGGGACGGGAGCGGGAGGGGCGTGGCGTGTCCGGCAGGGGGCGCCGTGATTGGCACGCCAGCTCCCGCTGTCCGCGAGGCTGCCCTAAAGTCTAGCTCATGAGAACCCCAGGCAAGTGCGGACCTACAAAGTTTGTCCGCTCCGGGGCACTGTAGTGGCTTTTACCCTGGCCGGGCGGGCGGGGCTCAGCCGGGCTGGGCTGGGCTCCGCGGCTGGAGCCGGGCTCTACCCAGAGCAAGACCCTGATGGCTGCGGTGTTTCTGGTAACGCTTTATGAATACTCGCCGCTTTTCTACATCGCGGTGGTCTTTACCTGCTTCATCGTGACCACCGGCCTGGTATTGGGATGGTAAGTGTCCCAGGGGTGAGAGACGAAGGGGCGGATACCGCCAGAGTGGGGTCGCGACGAGCAGCAGGGGGCACCGGAGCCGGAGGGCCGCGGGCCGGAGGACGTCGGGGATTCGGTGTCCCCGGGTGCCTAGAACTCCGACTTTCTCTGGGAGGAAAACAAGGTGGACGCTGCACCTGCGTCACTGCCCTGCATCACCGTTTGGTCCGTGTCGCTGGGGCATCTTGGGGTGGTACCGCATTGGGGTGTTTTACTCAGCTTTGTTTCTAGGCGATAAAGCAGCCAGGAAGGGCTTGGGCTTGGGCTTGGTGTTGGGAGAAAGTGCTTCTCTAGTAGGCTTCTGTCCCGGATTCGGGCCTACTGTGTGTCCTGGATGAGTTAGTCACCTGTGCTACAGTGCACAGACTGGACAGTAAGCGAGGTTAACAGTTGTGATTCTGACCTGAATGGAGCCCTTAGCCTCAGATCTTTCAGAGTAACTTGTAACTGAACTGTTACCGTTTGAGAATTTAATGGTTTCTGTATACATTCCACACCTTTTGAAGTAATATTTAGTCGATAGAATTGTAAAATCATAATTTTAGAGCTGGAAGAGACCTTAGAAATATGTAACACCGAGGGTAGGACAGTTGCCTATTGGAGACAAGGAGAATGGTCTGTTAGATAACCGCTGAGCAATTCTTCTAGCCTAGAGGTTCAATTTCTCTCTTGAGGAGATGCTATTGTATCATGTTTAGACAAGCCTTGTAAATAACGAGTTGAAACCGTGTAACTAGCCCACAACAGTTTTTCTAGGCTGCAGCCTCCAAAATCCCTTTGAGATGATAATAGTTACAAAAAGATCAAACAGCAGTTCTAAGTGGATAACAGCCATGGTCTGAAGAGGTCAGAGGGGACTCTGTTGAAGAGGGACATGAGCTGGATTTTGGAGAATGAGCATTTTGAAAAATAAATGGAGTTAAATGTATATAGTAGGGAAGAAAAAGCATCTCAGAGAAGACAGCATGAGCATAGGGGCAGAGAACATGTTAGTGAATAAAGAAGGCTACGTAAAACGAGTTTTAAAATAGCCTTTGGTCACATATATGTGATTGCCTTAAAGAACACGGGCCCTTGTCGGTTTCTGAAAATATATGCCATCTTTAGGAAGTGACAAAAGTTTTAACCTGTCCACACTGCTCCTCACCCTACCAGCAATAGAGCATAGAATTCCTTGCCTTGTATGTGGGTGAGGATTGGAAATACAAATTCCTTATTTGTGGGGGTAAGATTGGAAAACAAAGACCAATCTTACACAATTGGTTATTCTTGACCCATCAGATTTTATTGCTAATGTTCATTACACAAAAGTTTGTAATTGGAATGAGGAAGGTGTTGCCCATGTGAGAAAAGCAGTCTTAACACAAGATTTTTAAATGACTATAATGTTAGTGTTATTCTCTTAATGAAGCATAATTTTCCTCCACTAAGGAAAATAGTAACTAGTTGATAATTGCCTTATGTGCTTTAATTTTTATTTTAAATAGGCCAACTAATTAGATATCTTAGATATCAATCTTTAGTATTGGGAAGAGGGTAGTCAGGAGCCTCATGTTTGTAGTGGTTAACAGACAGACTTTGGAGTCAGTCAGACATAGGTTCAAATCCTGGCTCTGCCAGCTTTAAGACTTGGTTTGAAAATTTAATAATTGCCAAATCACCCCATTTAGGTAAGACTTTTTACAAGAGTGGAAGCCCATGTAATTATAGAACGTTTGGAAGTCTGGGCTAAGCACTGCTGAGGCCACAAGACCATGTAAATCCAGTCACTTCCATCCTAATTTAGGCCTAACCAGTCATCTTGTGCCTAACCCAACCATTCTCTCCATCCGAGTTAGTTTTGCCCACGTAGATAAACTTTTTACTATGTTTATTTGCAAACTTAAGCCAAGGCCATGTATTTATTGACTAGAAATGATGAAAACTTGGACACCATCTAAATCGCATAAAAACATCTTTCTAATAGTACCAATAGTACCCCAGTCAGAAGGGTAAACTAGTTAATACGCATGTTTTTCACCCTTGTCATTGTTTTGTTTTGTTTTAACCTCCCATAATACCATCTCTACTGTTCATGTGTTTTCTGTCATGGTTTTTCCCTTGGTACTTCTCTGAGTTTTTCACTATTTGCTTCTTTCCACTGTTTGCCATGTCTGCCTGCACTGTGTGGGAGTGGAGAAAAAACAGGAGCATATGATTATTGGAATCCCAATAGCAATAGCAAAGAAGCATGCAACTGGAAATATAGTATTTTTCTTTCACCATGTGGTGGTTTCTGTGATCTCTGATAGCTTTCTGCAGGCACTGAGCACAAAGAAGCCCAAAAGTCCATTTACATCCTTTAACAGTTTCAAATAATCAGGGACCATGACTCCAGTAGCTATTCCCGGCCTCCTCTTGACCACAGTTTATTAAGCTGTTGACCTCAACTTCATACCACCCTCTGCTTTGTGAATCTAGGGCAGAACTCTAAACTACATTTCTTCTTTGCAAGCTGACTGCCCATTGGGCTTTGCCAACAAGGGAGGGAGACTGGAAAGCTGGAAGAGGATGAAGGGACTTGCTGCTTCCTGTTGATTCCTTTTCTTGTCTGTCACTTGCCACAATAGTGCCTCACTCTGGCATTAATAGTTGGTCCCACTTGTTCCAGTTTATGCTTTCCTACTCTGCTAGAATCAGCCTTATGCACTTCCTTAAAGATACCAGTATCCTTTCCTCAGATCTGAGTCCTGAGCTCCATAGAGTCTCTCCTCCACATTTCTAAACTATAGTAAATTCTCTTTATTCTCTTTTCTCTGTTCCCTTGTCCTAGGAGTGATAGCTGCTTCCTGCTGTTACTACTTCTTATCACATAAGTAGGACTCAGTGTCCTCTTTTTGCCTTTTCAGTTCTTCAACATATGGTTAACATTTTTCATATGAAAATTTCTCTTGATGTTGATGCTGACAACTTTAAAAATCAAGTCCAATCTCTCTGTTAAAATAACGGATGCATTTTCAGACTCCTGCCTGGACCCTGACTGATAAAGAAATTGTCACTAAGAATGGGATCCTGGTGAGAAAACTTTCAAAGATAGAATTTGGGGGCATCGGTTTGGTAATTTCTTTAGCTCTTTGCCAATGGGAAATAATCTAGTAACCCACAACATGTAGTGGCATCACAATCAAATTGATACATTTGGTTGATTGTGATAAAATTATTTCTGAAGCTGTGTGCTGGAGGACCAAGTGGCTAAAGCGCTTGACTGTTAATGGCAGTAATGATGACTACAGGGACTGAGGGAGAAGTGAGAAGTGAGATAGGTGCTTCTTTGTTCACTGGAGCACTGACAGAAAGCAAATGACAAACTCAGGTCTTCAAAGCGTTAGATCGGTCAAGTCTTAGAGAATCAAAAAGTTTCCATGGTTCTAAAGCACTTCATTTTGTGTAGCCACGGAAAGACTTGCTAAAAATTGGACACAGTTTTATGTTATGTTATGTTATGTTATGTTATGTTATGTTATGTTATGTTATGTAATGTTATGTTATGTTATGTTATTTTTGAGACAGAGTCTTGCTCTGTTGTCCGAGCTGGAGTGCAGTGGCATGATTTTGGCTCACTGCCTATAATTCCAGCACTTTGGGAGGCTGAGGCAGGAAGACTGTTTGAGCCCAGAAGTTCAAGACCAACATGGGAAATATGGCAAAACTCGGTCTCTACAAAAAATAGAAAAATTAGCCAGGCATGGTGGCAGGTGCCTGAACACAGTTTTAACTGCGATAGTAATAGAATTACCTAGCCTTTGTCAGTGTCTCATTTAGAATATTGTTTGGAAAGAAGTAGAACCCTGAGACTTGGAATGGGGACATCTAGGTAGACATGGACAGAGCTGAGAATCTTGAAAAAAACTCCAGTCACTCTGAGCCTCCATTGTTGACAGAAGCTGCTTACTTTTGAAAATTAGCCTTCTCTTGCTTGAAGATCCTGTAATAACCTCACCTAGGGTAGTTTCTTTGCAAAGGGCTATCCACACTTAAGAGCTACCTCTATTATCTTGTCATGAGGCCCAGATCTCTGCATGTTGCCTAGTATAGGGACAAAATCTGATCTGACTAGAAATAGTCTGTCCTTGAAAAGAATTGCAAAATTTTGCTAATTTATATCTGTGGAATCCTGAGGAATATATGTGAGGATGGATTGTAAGCCGGAGAATAGAATGTAACACTAGATCAGATCATATTTATTCATCTGGGTATATTCTCAAGAAATTCTGCATCTAAAGCGTTAACTCATACTTGTTTGTTTGATGGAAACTTGGACTCATTGGTGGCCTGTATTTTATAACGTTGAGATTTCTGTTGTTGTTGTTTTTAAACATTTAGGTTCAGAGGTACATGTGAAGGTTTGTTACATAGGTAAACTCGTGTCATGGGTTTGTTGTACAGATTATTTCATCACCCAGGTATTAATCCCAGTACTCAATAGTTATCTTTTCTGCTCCTGTTCTTCCTCCTAACTTCCACCCTCAGGTGGATCCCAGTATCTGTTGTTCCCTTCTTTGGGCTCATGAGTTCTCATCATTTAGCTCCCACTTATAAGTGAGAACATGCTGTATTTGGTCTTCTCTTCCAGGAGATGGAACAGAAATGTTGAGTGCCTTCTAATTTCCTTGTAAGTACTGCTTTATCAGCATTCCCCCACATTTTGACACATATGTCTTCATTTTTATTCAGGTCATAATTTAAAATAATTTCCCTTTTGATTTTTTTCTTGACCTCTAAGTTATTTAGAAGTTTGTTATTGAGTTTCCAAATATTTGGAAATTTTAAAGATATCTCTGTTACTGATTTATAATTTGATTCCATTGTGGTTAGCATACTTTTTATGATTTGACATCTTGTAAATTTATTGAGACTTGTTTTATAATCCAAATATATTCTCTCTTTGGTAAATGTCCTAATGCACTTAAAAATAATATATATTCTGCTATTATTGGGTGAGTTTTTTGTTTTTTTTTTTTTTTTTGAGACAGAGTCTCGCTCTGTCACCAGGCTGGAGTGCAGTGGTATGATCTCGGCTCACTGCAACCTCCGCCTCCTGGATTCAAGCAATTCTCCTGCCTCAGCCTCCAGAGTAGCTGGGACTACAGGTGTGCACTACCATGCCCAACTAATTTTTTTTTTTAATTTTTAGTAGAGATGGGGTTTCATCATGTTGGCCAGGATGGTCTCGATCGCTTGACCTCATGATCTGCCCGCGATGACCTCCCGAAGTGCTGGGATTACAGGTGTGAGTCACCGCGCCCGGCCGGGTGAGATGTTTTATAAGTGTCAATTAAGTCAAATTGGTTGATAGTGTTATTCAAGTTTTTGATGTCCTTACTGATTTTCTATATATTGGAGCTATCAGTTATTGAAGTTGTGGGGAGTATTAGAATTTCTGACTATAATTGTGGATTTATCTATTTCTCTTGGCAGTTGTATCAGTTTTTGCTTTATATTTTGAAGTTCTATTAATAGGTACATAAACATTTAGGATTATTTTGTGTGCATGATGAATTGACCCTTATATCACTATGAAATGGACCTCTTTGATCCTGGTAATAGTCTTTGCTCTGAGATCTACTTTGTCTGGTATTAATGTAGCTACTTCAGCTTTCTTTTGATTAGTGTTAGCATATACATCTTTTTTTCATCCTTTTACTTGTAAACTCTTTTTGTCTTTTTATTTAAAGTGGGTTTCTTGTATGCACCATATAGCTAGGTCTTATGTTTTTATCCAATCTGATAATCTTTGCCTTTTAACTAGGGAGTTTAAAACATTTACATTTAATGTGATTATTGATATTGTTAGATTTAATTCCACCATCTTGCTATTCGTTTTTTGTTTGTTTTGTCTGTTCTTTGTTTCTTTTCCCCTCTTTTATTTTACTAGTCTGTTTTTTGTTTCTTTTTCCCCTTTGTTCAGCCATCATTTACATTAGTTAAATAATTTATGTGATTCCATTTTATCTCCTTTGTTGGTTTATTAGCAATAACTTTTTTTAGTGGTTGCTTGAAAGTTTATAATGTATCTCTAACTTATCACCATCTACCTTCAGGTAATATTTTAAAGAGATATAAGAAAAGCATTATAATTCCTCACGTAGTTACCATTTCACTGCTATTTATTTCTTTGTATCAATCCAGATTTTTATTTGGTATCATTTTTCTTCTTCCCAAGGCATACTTTAATTTTTCTTGTTGTGCAAGTCTGTTGGTGATGAATTCTTTTAGCTTTTGTTATGTTTGAAAAAGTCTTTATTTTGCTTTGGAAAAATATAGGTATAGAATTCTAGATTGACAAGATTTTTTTCCTGTTAGTTCTTTAAAGATATTCTGCCTTCCATTGCTTCTTATTAATATTAAAAAGCTACTGACATTCTTATCTTTGTTCCTCTATGTGTAGTATATCTTTTTTTCCTTTTCTTTGGCTACCGTAGCATATCTTCTTTCTTTTTCTTAGGATTTTCTCTATATTACTGGTTTTAAGCAATTTGATTATTATGTGCCTTAGGTAATTTTCCTTGTTTCTTGTGCTTGGAGCTCATTGAGATTCTTGGGTCTGTAGGTTTTTATAGTTTTCAACATGTTGGGGAAGGTTTTCGCCATTATGTGTTCAAATACTTTATCTGTCCTCTGCAAACTTCAGTGATATGTTAAGACTTCAGTTACATGGCTGACTAAAAGTTGGCTTACTGATGCTTTTTGTTGTTGTTGTTGTTCAGTCTTTTTCCTTTCTGTGTTTCAATTTCAGTACTTTCTGTTATGTTGTCTTCAAGATTACTAATCTTTTATTGTGCAATACCTAATCTGCTGTTAATCTCATCCACTATATTTTTTATCTAAAACATTATCTTTTTCATCTCTAAATATTGATTTGGGCCTTTTAAATATCTTCCATGCCTCTATATCATATGTGCAGTCATTACTTTTCTTCTGAAACATATGGAATATAGTCCTAGGAGCTATTTTTATATCCTTGTCTACTAATTCAAGTATCTGTATGATTTCTGGATCTATTTCTATAGAGTTTTGCTCCTCATTGTGGGTACTGTTTTCCTGCTCTTTGCATGCCTGTTAATGTTTTTTTATCAGATGCTATACTTTGTGAATTTTACCTTACTAGGTGCTGGATATTTTTGTATTCCTCTAAATATTCTTGAGCTTTATTCTGGGTCACTGTTAAGTTACTCAGAAATAGTTTAGTCTGTTAGAGGCTTGCTTTTCAGCTTTGTTAGGCAGGACCAGAGCAGTCTTACCCAACTCTTTTATAAAATCAGAGTCATCAAAAGTGAATTTTTATTTCATTTGTTAATTTTATTGGTTATCTTTCAGTGTTAGACTTGTGTGTTTTGAAACTTTAGTTTTCAACCTAAATTTTAGTGGAAGATTCGTTTTGTTTTGTTACTTTTCTCCCTTTGTTATCACCCTCACTGTTTATCCACTTTGCAATTATTATTATTATTATTATTTTTAGTTGAGTATTTTATTTTATTTTTTCCTTCAACTTTTAAGTTCTGGGGTACATGTGCAGGATGTGCAGGTTTGTTACATAGGTAAATGTGTGCCATGGTGGTTAGCTGCACAGATCAACCATTCACCTTGATATTAAGCCCAGCATCCATTAGCTATTCTTGATGCTCTCCCTCCCCCAGCTCCCACCCTGATGGGCCCCAGTCTGTGTTGTTTCCCCTCCATGTGTCCATGTGTTCTCACTGTCTGCTCCCACTTACAAGTGAGAATATGCAATGTTTGATTTTCTGTTCTTGCATTAGTTTGCTGAGGATAATGGCTTCCAGCTTGACGCATTTTCCTGCAAAGGACATGACCTTGTTCCTTTTTATGGCTGCATAGTATTCTGTGGTGCATATGTACCACATTTTCTTCATCCAGTCTATCACTAATGGGCATTTGGGTTGATTCCATGTCTTTGCTATTGTGACTAGTGCTGAAATTAATATATGCATGCATGTATCTTTATAATAGAATGATTTATATTCCTTTGGGTATATACTCAGTAATAGGATTGCTGGGTCAAATGGTATTTCTGCCTCTAGATTTTTGAGGAATTGCCATACTGTCTTCCACAATAGTTGAACTAATTTATATTCCCACCAACAGTGCAAAAGTGTTTCTTTTAGGCCAGGCGCAGTGGCTCATGCCTGTAATCCTAGCACTTTGGGAGGCCGAGGTGGGCAGATCACCTGAGGTCGGGAGCTTGAGACCAGCCTGACCAACATGGAGAAATCCCGTCTCTACTAAAAATACAAAAAAAAATTAGCCAGGCGTGGTGGTGCATGCCTGGAATCCCAGCTACTTGGGAGGCTGAGGCAGGAGAATCACTTGAACCCAGGAGGTGGAGGTTGCGGTGAGCTGAGATCATGCCATTGCAGTCCAGCCTGGGCAACAAGAGCGAAACTCCATCTCAAAAAAAAAAAAGAAAAAAAAAAGTGTTTCTTTTTCTCCACAACTTTGCCAAGATCTGTTGTTTCTGGATTTTTTTAATAATTGCCATTATGACTGGCGTGAAATGGTATCTCATTGTGGTTTTGATTTGCATTTCTCTAATGATCAGTGATGTTGAGCTGTTTTTCACATGTTTGTTGGCTGCATGAATGTCTTTTAAGAAGTGTCTGTTCATGTGGTTTGCCTACTTTTTAATGGGGTTGTTTTTTTCTTGTAAATTTGTTTAAGTTCCTTGTAGACTCTGGATATTAGACCTTTGTCAGATGGATAGATTGCAAAAACATTTTATATTCATTTATACCCAGATTCCTAGACCTCCAGACCAGGACTAGGTTTTTGTTGTTTTGTTTTGTTTTGTTTTGTTTTGTTTGGGACGGAGTTTCACTCTTGTTGCCCAGGCTGGAGTACAATGGCATGATCTCGGCTCTCTGCAACCTCTGCCTCCTGGGTTCAAGCAATTCTCCTGCCTCAGCCTCCCAAGTAGCTGGGATTACAGGCATGCACCACCATGCCCAGCTAATTTTTTTTGTATTTTTAGTAGAGACGGGGTTTCTCCATGTTGTTCAAGCTGGTCTTGAACTCCCGACCTCGGGTGATCTGCCCACCTTGGCCTCCCAAAATGTTGGGATCACAGGCGTGAGCTACTGTGCCTGGCCTTTTTTTTTTGAGACAGAATCTCTCTGTGTTGCCCAGGCTGGAGTGCAGTGGCACAATCTCTGCTTACTGCAGTCTTGACCTCCCAGGCTCAAGCGATCCTTCCACCTCAGCCTCTTAAGTAGCTGGGACCACAGGTGTACACCACCATGCCCAACTAATTTTCCATTTTTTTTTTTTTTTTTTTGTAGAGATGGGGTCTCGCTATTGTTGCCCAGACTGGTGTCGAACTCCTGGGCTCAAGCATTCCTCCCTCCTCAGCCTCCCAAAGTTCTGGGATTATGGGCAGGAGCCAGTGCACCCAGCCTAGGACCAAGTCTTATAACGACAGTTCTGCGTATTTTTGTATTGACCTAATCCAGCTCCTGGTTCCAAGTTATAAACCTGGCTCTGGCCCTTGTCTGGAGAAGACAGCCTATGCTGGTCTCCTTAGTACATGAAGGCTTGGTTGCCACTGTCTGCTGCCAGACTGAGAACCATGAAACCATGGCATAGCCTTACTCATTACTTTGTTTCTTTGCTTTTTTTGGATCCATAAAGGTATTTGTTCCCAGCATTTTATTATAAAAATTTTCAAACATACAGAATACTAGAAAGAATTACACAGTGAACACACATCTGCCCATCACTTAGATTCTACAATCAGCATTTTACTGTAATTTCTCTATTACATATCTGTCCACATTAATCCACTCTTTTATCCATACATTGGTCTATCTTATTTCACGATGCCCTTCAAAGTGAGTTGTACTCTTCACCTGTAAGTTCTAAAACATTACATATTACTGATTAGAGTTCAGTGTTTGTTTTCGTTTATAGTTTTTTGAAGTAACATTTACATATAAGATACACAAATCTTATTTTTTATTTATTTATTTTTTTTGAGATGGAGTCTTGCTCTGTCGCTCAGGCTGGAGTGCAATGGCGCGATCTTGGCTCACTGCAAGCTCAGACTCCCAGGTTCACGCCATTCTCCTGCTTCAGCCTCCCGAGTAGCTGGGACTGCAGGCGCCCACCACCACGCCTGGCTAATTTGTGTGTGTGTGTGTATGTGTGTGTGTGTGTATTTTTAGTAGAGACGGGATTTCACTGTGTTAATCAGGACGGTCTCGATCTCCTGGCCTCATGATCCATCCGCCTCGGCCTCCCAAAGTGCTGGGATTACAGGTGTGAGCCACCGCACCCGGCCAAGATGTACAAATCTTAAGTGTACCATTTACCAAGTGTTATCAAACACATCATCTATACAGCTTAAGCCTCTGTCAAGATACTGAACGTTACCGTCAATTTTCTTATGCTCTTTCCCAGTCAGTCCTACTCCTGTACTTCCGGAAGCAACCATTGTTCTCATTTTTATTTCTACCATAAATTTGTTGTGCCTGCTCTAGAATTTTATATTAGAGAAGGATACAGCATTTATTCTTTTGTGTAAGGCTTCTTTTGCATAGCACGATGTTTCTGAAATTTATCCATTTGATTGTAGTAATAAGTTGTTCCTTTTCACTGCTGAATACTTCTATTCTTTTCTTTAAATATACCACAGTTTGTTTACTCATTTCAGCGGAGTCTTTCTTTTTTCTTAAAGCATATGGGACTCAGGTATCTGTGGGGTCTTTTTAATTTTTCTTTTTCTTTTTTATCTATCACTGATATGTATTTGGAGAGAAGGGAGTGCATCAAATAGGCTCCTAACTGTGCCGTCTTTAACTAAAATTTCCTAGTTTAACTGGTGTGTATTAATTTTAGATTATTTTATGTAAATTGAGTAAAGTAGCTGTTTTTTAATTTTATTGGGAATTGAATTTAGCCCCTTTCATTTTCCTTTTAATTCTGTTCCATGGGCATTGTCAGAGTTTACATTTTTACATGAAATTTAAAAGTAGAAGATATATAAATGAAGAGCTATAGTTGGTGTTTTAAAAGTTCCATTGTCCTGGCTGGGTATGGTGGCTCACGCCTGTAATCCCAGCACTTTGGGAGGCTGAGGTGGGCGGATCACCTAAGGTCAGGAGTTCGAGACCAGCCTGGTCAATATGGTGAAACCCCGTCTCTACTAAAAATACAAAAATTACCTGGGCATGGTGGCACATGCCTGTAATCTCAGCTACTTGGGAGGCTGAGGCAGGAGAATTGCTTTAACCCGGGAGGCAGAGGTTATAGTGAGCCAAGATCACGCCATTGCACTCCAGCCTGGGCAACAAGAATGAAACTCCATCTCAAAAAAAAAAAAAGTTCCGTTGTCCCATAAATCATATTAGTCTGCCTCTTTTTTCTTTTGAGAGACGAAATCTTGCTCTGTTGCCCAGGCTGGAGTCCAGTGGCACGATCTCGGCTCACTGCAACCTCTGCCTTCCGGGTTCAAGCCAGTCTCCTGCCTCAGCTTCCCAAGTAGCTGGGTCTACAGGTCCACGCCACCATGCCCAGCTAATTTTTGTATTTTTATTAATGACAGGGTTTCACTATGTTTTGGCCAGGCTGGTCTCGAACTCCTGACCTCAAGTGATCCTCCCACCTTGGCCTCCCAAAGTGCTGGGATTACAGGCATGAGCCACCACACCCGGCCAATAGTCTGCCTCTTGAATATATATTTCTTTTTCACATTTAAAAAAATTCAATAAGTTCATCATGTGTTTGCTGTTAAATTAAGTATAATTTATCTATAATCTCCATACTCCTTTGGTGTTATCAACAGTATTAACAATAGAACTCTTTGTTTTCAAGAATGTGTTGATTCAGCCAGCTGAACAATACCTAGTCCTTCCTTGATATCTGAGGGGGATTGATTCTAGGATACCCACCCCCCATATTCTAGGATGCTTAAGTCCCTTATATAACATTACATAGTATTTGCATATAACCTACACACGTCCTTCTGTACACTTCAAATTATCTCTAGATTACTTACACCTAATGTAAATGCTGTGTAAACAGTTGTTATACTGTATTGGTTTTGAATTTGTAGTATTTTTTATTGTTATTTTTTATTCTTCCCCCTCGTCCCCAAATATTTTTGATGTGCACTTGGTTCATACAGAGGGCCAACTGTTTTGCAGTTCTGTGGGATCTCTAAAATAACGTAAATTGAGAAATTTAACCTCTTTCTGACACTTAATGCTAAAAGGAATCGCTAATGAAGCACAACAGATTTTACACATAACATAAAGTTTCAACATTTGTTAAAATAATATTTTATTTTTTACCTTTTTTTAGGTTTGGTTGGGATGTTCCAGTAATTCTGAGAAATTCAGAAGAGACCCAGTTCAGCACAAGAGTTTTCAAAAAGCAAATGAGACAAGTCAAGAATCCTTTTGGCTTAGAGATCACTAATCCATCTTCAGCTTCAATTACAAGTTGGTGGCTGTTTTCCAAAGATTTTCTCTCATTGTTTGCCCTCTTTTTTTAGCCCTTTTATTTTCTTTCTCTATTTCTTTCCCTTCATTAGACTTTTAACAAACATTTGTTGGGCAACTATGTTGTTCCAGGTGCTGTACTGTATATGACAGATACAAAGATTAAGAAGTTACAAACTTTACTCCTGAAGAATTTATCACCTAGTAAACAGAGGTAGATGTGTATACAAAGGAGTAGAATGAAGTATTACAGGTGTTAATAGTGAAGTCTCTTAGGACACTATGCCATTTTTATTGGTCTGTAGTAAAGTGAGAAATGATGTGTTATGTCTAAATACAGTTAACGTAAGGTTGCTAACCTTTTGAGGAACAATTGCCTTTTTATTTTTTTTGAGACAGATTCTTACTCTGTCATCCAGGCTGGAGTGCAATGGCACAATCTCGGCTCACTACAGCCTCCACCTCCCGGGTTCAAGCGATTCTCCTGCCTCAGCCTCCCAAGTCACTGAGATTACAGGCATGCACCACCACACCTGGCTAATTTTTGTTTTTTTAGTAGAGACAGTGTTTCACCATGTTGACCAGGCTGGTCTCAAACTCCTGACCTCAGATGATCCACCCACCTCAGCCTCCCAAAGTGCTGGGATTACAGGTGTGAGCCACTGCGCGCGGCCAGAATGATTGTCATTTAATCTGAAACTATGGTATTTTGGTATAAATTATTTTGATATAACATGTTCTTTTGTAGATGGTAGGTAATAGATGGCAGTTGTTTGCTTTTGTACTTGCTTGGAAAAATAAGTTGTCTGCAGGACCATATAGGAACCATTAGAATTGTAAAGAAAGAGATGCTTAAATTTGTTAAGGTGAAGAGGCATATTCAGGAAAGCCTTCATAAAAAAGAATATGCTGAGTCTCTCTTACTTTTTTTTTCTTTATTCCTTCCTCCTTTTTTTTTTTTGAGTAGAATCTTGGAAGATAGGTGTTTACTTCGTGGATGAGAAATGGAGTGATACATTAAAGAAACAGTAGTTATGGCTAAAGCATAGGATGGGACAGGTAACAGAGGAGTCTAAGAAGACTCAGGTTCTTCCTATGGGTCCTCCATAGCCAGATCCTGTTAGAAAAATGAGGAGTACAGAAAGAATAGCAAGTTTCCAAAGAAAGGCAATGAATTCAATTTTGAACTTTTGGACTTTGAAATTCTTTCGTGACAGTTCAATAGAAATAAAGAGTAGGCAGTCCTAGATACAGTTCTGTAGCTTTTTTTCTGGGCCGAGACCCTGTCCCTTCTATACTTGCTTACATTTCTGGTTTCTTGAAAACAAATAAGCCAGATCTTTCTCTGCTTTTCATCCTAGTCTAGCTACTGCCGTATTTCTCTTCTTCCCCTCACAGCCAGCTTCTTAGAAGCTGTTTGCATTTTCCTTCTCTTAGCCTGCTTCATTTTTACTCCTCAGTGCAGTGCAGTCTGACTTTTCCCTGTATCCCTTTACTGAAATGGCTTTCTCTGAGGTCACTAATTACGACTTCTGCCCTGCACTTTTGACCCCCAGCAGTCATCAAATCCAGTGGGAGCCTTTCAGGGCTGAGTTAATGCTCTCTCTCTAGTATTTTACAGAGTTGACCTTCATTTGCAACGTCCTGCTCCCTTGCGTCTATGGACCATTCTTGTCTATTCATCTTTCCTGCCTCTAACTCTCAGAATCTAATAACTGGTCAGAAATCAGTTTACTTAGTCAAATAGATCATCAGGCTTAAGTAAATCTTGATTTGTAAGGAAAAATATATGTTTTTTTTTTTTTTTTTCGAGACAGGCTCTTGCTCTTCCACCCAGGCTGGAATGCAGTAGTATGATCATACCTCACTGCAGCCCCAATACCCTGGGCTCAAGTGGTCCTCCTGCCTCAGCCCCCTGAGTAGCTGGGACTACAGGTGTGCATGACCGTGCCTGGCTAAATAAAAAAAAAAATGTTTTTTGTGGAGATGGGGTCTTGCTGTGTTGCCCAGGCTGGTCTCAAACTTCTGGCCTCAAGCAGTCCTTCTGCCCCAGGCTCACAAAGTGCTGGGATTACAGGCGTGACCCACTGTTCTTGGCCCCAAAAAGTACAAAATTTCTTATTCATCCTCTTTAGCTGTAAATACTATTACCCTATGAATTGATGGAAACTAGGATCTCGGCCACTCCCCTCCCCGCTCCTTCCCTATAATAGATAACAGTTCATTCTGATATTTTTTACTTGAGAAAACCAAATTTTGAGATATGACACAGATAAAACTAATTTGTTTAAAAGATAGTAGGTTGTGCATGCCTGATTAAAGTGTACACCCAGCTACCAGCTACTCGGGAGGATGAGGTGGGAGGATTGCTTGAGTCCAGGAGGTCGAGGTTGCAGTAAGCCGTGATCACACCACTTCACTTCAGCCTGGGTGACAGAGTGAGACTCTGTCTCAAAAAATAAAATAAAAAATCAAGTGTACAGCATAGTGGTGGTTCAATAACCTCCCACCTCTGTGGCCATAGGCTAGAACCTGCTACAATGTCACATCTGGCTCTTGAGCAGGACCCGCAATGAAAAACCTACCAGCTGCAAGGCCTTCCTTCCTGCAGTACAGTTCCACAGGTCTGAAAATACACTGAAAAACTAAGAAGAGCTGATACATTGTGAGCAAAACACAGGGCACTTGTGAGGCAGAAAGTGTGAGGAAATCCATCAATCTGCTTTTCAGGCAGAAATAGTCACAAATAGAACCAGCCTTGCGAATGTTTGAGGCAAATGAAAAGATAGCCAGTAAGTAGCCCTCTTAGCTATGCCTGCACACTAGTTGCTAACCAACAGTAGTATTACTGAAGTCATGAAAAATTATTTAAATGTGTGGATGTACAGCATGAATACTGAAATATTTTAATTTTTAAAATACCGATGCATATCATTTATTATCTTTCTCCTATGGGGAAATAGAAGGATTTTGATAGGAGTTATACTCAACAGAGTAAAATTCATTTGTTTAAACTGTGGAAAAGTGGGTATCATTAAAGATGTCTATACAGAACATTAAAATAATATTGTAACAATATTTGTGACATTTAAAAAAGTTATTTCATTTGATGTGTAGATAGTTTAAAAATCTTTTTTTCACCACTGTACCCAAACTGCCTGACATATAGCAGAAGAGGGTGAATAATCTAGAGACCTGATTTAACTTGAAAATAAACCAGAGGCTGCACGTGGTGGCTCATGCTTGTAATCCCAGTACTCTGGGAGGCTGAGACGGGCGGATCCTTGAGTCCAGGAGTTCAAGACCAGCCTGGCCAACATGGCGAAACCTCATCTCTACTAAAAATACAAAAATTAGCTGGGCGTGGTGGCACATGCCTGTTAGTGCCGGCTACTCAGGAGGCTTAGGCTGGAGGATTGCTTAAGTCTGGGAGGTTGAGGCTGCAGTGAGCTGAGATCATGCCACTGCACTCCAGCCTGGGCAACAGAGTGAGACCCTGTCTCAAAAAACAAAAACAAAAAAACACACATGCTTTTTATTTATATTTAAGATTTTTTTTTTTTTTTTTTTTTTTGAGACGGAGTCTCGCTCTGTCGCCCAGGCTAGAGTGCAGTGGTGCAATCTTGGCTCACTGCAACGTCTGCCTCCCAGGTTCAAGCAATTCTCCTCCCTTAGCCTCCTGAGTAGCAGGGACTACAGGTGCATGCCACCATGCCCAGCTAATTTTTTGTATTTTTAGTAGAGACAGGGTTTCACCGTGTTATCCAGGATGGTCTCAATCTCTTGACCTCATGATCTGCCCACCTCGGCCTCCCAAAGTGCTGGGATTACAAGTGTGAGCCACTGCGCCCTGGCCATATTTTAAAATTTATAATTAAAAAAAAAAGAAAACCAGAGAATCGATTTTAATCTGAGTCATTTAGTTCTGTTTACTAGGGGTGGGTTGCTGGGATTTTTTTGTTGTTGTTATTATGTAATGATATATTTGGATTTGCGTTTCCATGTCTCCAATATAGAGTCTTTAATGAAATTGAAAGTTAGATACTCAGTGTATATAAGTTGAGTTGAATTAATTTGATTCAGGAATTCTGCTTTTTGTAAATAGCTTCCTTATATTTTAGCTTATTCACTCTGGTAAGAGCTAACATTAAAGCAAAAGGGTTAGAAAAAAACACAATGTACATGGCATGTTTGGAGGCGTTTGTGAACCTCCATTCTCTACAACCTAAAACTTTCATCTCCCAATACTCTGGCTTTATTATCCTCATGAATGGTCTCCTTGTTTTATTACTGCTTCTCTCACAGGGATCCTTCCTCAAGAAGGTTTGTGGCTTTTCCGCCCCATCATTTCTCCCTTTTTAGTGGCTTAGCATATTTTCTACAGTCCTTATTTTTTTCACTTTTTTGCAAGGCTGTCTCTTACACTCCGCTTTATTTGCTTGTTATAGATAGTCTGGGTAAGGACAGTTTGAGAGATACCACACCCATGTGCTTCACTTATTTTGATTCTGAATTTTCTTACAGCTACGTCCCAATTCTGTTAATGCTATTGATCTAAAGTGATGTCATGTGTGTACTGAGTTTTAGAAGGCAAAAAAATACATAAAAATTGAAACTCTTTGCAAAAAAAAAAGTGGAAAAGGTAAAGGGAGAATAGTTTTGATGGGGGTACTGACACTGTCTTCAGATAGTGGAAATCATTACATTCTCCCCTCAGTTTATGTAATGGACAAGTTTGTAAAAGATTATAGAGATATACCTAATGCTAAATGACGAGTTAATGGGTGCAGGACACCAACATGGCACATGTATACATATGTAGCAAACCTGCACATTGTGCACATGTACCCTAAAACTTAAAGTATAATAATAATAACATTAAAAAAAGAGATTATGGAGAGTATAATTTTATAGATTCTGTAGTTTTTTTAAATTAATTTTAGAGACATTTTAAGATCTGATTAATCTCCAGTTGTCAAAGGTCTCTGACACTCTTCCCATTTTAGTTAAGTATACAAAGTCTATAAACGAGTCTCTTAAGTAGCTCTGAATCTTTGGGGCTCTGGCTTTTTTTTTCTTTTTACAAAGCAAATAAACAGGGTAGTTTTATATGTTCTGTAAGCTGTAAGTTGAGTTTTAAAAGGCTTATCCTTCCATTGTTCTTTTTTTTTTTTTCTTTTTTTGAAACAGGGTCTCACTCTGTCATCCAGGTGGAAATGTAGTGGTGTGATCATGGCTGACTGCAGCCGTGATCCTCCTACCTCAGCCTTCCAAGAAGTTAGGACCACGGGTGCGTGCCACCATGCCCAGCTAATTTTTGTGTGTTTTGTAGAGACATGGTTTTGCCACGTTGGCCCAGGCTGGTCTCAAACTCCTGGCTCAAGTGATCTGCACATCTTGGCCTCCCAAAGTGCTGGAATTACAGGCATGAAACACCACACCCAGCCTGTTCTTCTTTAATGTAAACAAACACATATATGGGTATCCATTCTTGTGAGATAAACAGTAGCATATATATTTAATTTTCTCTACCTTGCTTTTTTTTCATTTACTAATATATTCTGAAGATCATTTCATAATAGTGTGTGCAGATACTCTGATATACCTCAATTCTTTTTTTTTTTTTTTTTTTTTTAAGAGACAGAGTCTCACTGTGTCAGCCAGGTTGTAGTGCAGTGGCACGATCTCGGCTCACTGTAACCTCCGCCTTCCTATTCACTTTTAATAGCTTCTTAGTACTTTATTGTAGAGTACTATATTTATTCATTTAATCCGCATTGATGAACATTTGGGTTTATTCCAGCATTTTGCTATGATAACTAGTGCTATAATGAGTAGCCTTATACATATATCTTTTCACATTTTTGCTAGTAATACAATAATAAATAATCATTTTGTGTTTCTTGTTTTTTCTTTTTCAATGTTTTAAAATATGCATTTTCTATTTTTTCCTTTCGTATCTACCTCCAGCTTTTTTCTTCTGCCTCATGTTATGTGGTTCTACAGTGACAAAGGGAAAAATATGTGTGATTTTGTATGTGTGTGTATATGTGTGTATATGTATTTGTGTATGTATAAATAAAATGTTTTCCTTCAGCTATTTAATATCAAATGGAATTTTTCATTCTTGAGTTAATACCTGATGATTGGAATCATAAAAATTTGAAATCAAAGCCTGCTCCAATTAACCTATGCAAAGTTCCTACCAATTAAAATTTTTCCTTAAGTATGATTAGAAATGGCCATGTATCAATGCTACTCAGACTCTCAGACTGTGTGTACATACTACTAAATACTGAGAGTAAAATTGGAAAAATCAGTTTTTGGTATCCTGTGGAGCATCTGCTTGTATTTGTGTATCTTCTTCTAACATATACTCTTGATCACATTTTAAAAAATAGGTAATATATCAATCAGAATTCTTATTAGCAAGCAACAGAAACAACTTCAATAAAAGGATATTGGGTAGCTTACAGAATTGCTGGCAGGTTTGGAGAGCCAAAATCAGATGCCAAGGCTGTTGAGCCAGGAACAATGACCAAAACCAGGCCCTTTTTATCTAGTCAGTGTATCAGTGCCAAGGAGTACTACACGTTACAGTTTGCGCTGCTACAGTTTGCACCCCCAGCAGTATGAAAGGCTGGATGTTGCTACCCTTGAATGTGATATTGCTACAAATACCACTAGGAGGGGGAAATCACATAGGTGACACAAAGTAAGTCCTATACAAGTGTTAAATAAAACTGTATAATTTCACATCTACTTACAATTTGTATATCCATTTAATCAGGTCTACTCAAATTGTTATATCTTCTTAAGTTGAAAGTGAACAACTGAATTAAGATACCACTATTAAACTCTTTATGTTTTGGAATCCCCACTCTTTTCCTCAGGATATTTTGCATATTACATGGGACATTAAGTCTGTGACAAGCCTGTATGTTAATGTTGTCAATGTATACATTAATGTTAGTAAAGCTCAGTTTCTTTTTAATATTTTTCTTACAACAGCGATCATGTTGTGGAGCCTATAGGTTGTACATATCCCCTTTAGAGGACAGCTGTATTCTGCTGCACTGTTTCTTGTCGTTAGGATCATATACACTATGAGAGTGGTAGGTTATCAATAGTGAACTGTATTTTAGTTTTAAAAATCTAGATGGGAAATGTCTTAGAGTCGCCAAAAAAGAAAATTAACAGTTTCTAAGCTTTAATAGATAAATAGTAAGAAATAGTTTTTTGATAGCTCTCAAAAAATGTGTAGACATTGAGCTTTTATATCTCTTGTTACAGAGGCCAGTTCCTTCGTTTATAGGAGGCATACCCTTTAACAAGTTCTTTTAACTGCCATCATCCTGGCCAGCATCCAAAAGGAAGCTTTTGTTACTCACCCTGTATGATTGTATTAGAAGTTACATTAAATCACTTTCATTCTTTCTCCTTTGTTTTTTACAGCTGGCATAACCTTGACAACAGATTGCCTTGAAGATAGCCTCCTTACATGCTACTGGGGGTGCAGTGTTCAAAAATTATATGAAGCTCTGCAGAAGCATGTTTATTGCTTCAGAATAAGCACTCCCCAAGCATTAGAAGATGCTCTGTATAGTGAATATCTCTATCAGGAACAGTATTTGTATCCTTTCGTCTGATATACCCATTAGCACTGAAAATTAGACTTCTTATGGATAAAGTGTTGCTAACTTATTGATCATTCTTGGTATACTAGAAGCATGTTTATTGCTTCAGAATAAGCACTCCTCAAGCATTAGAAGATGCTCTGTGGAGTGAATATCTCTATCAGGAACAGTATTTGTATCCTTTCATCTGATATACCCATTAGCACTGAAAATTAGACTTCTTATGGATAAAGTGTTGCTAACTTATTGATCATTTTTGGTATACTAGAAGCATGTTTATTGCTTCAGAATAAGCACTCCCCAAGCATTAGAAGATGCTCTGTGGAGTGAATATCTCTATCAGGAACAGTATTTGTATCCTTTCATCTGATATACCCATTAGCACTGAAAATTAGACTTCTTACGGATAAAGTGTTGCTAACTTATTGATCATTTTTGGTATACTAGAAGCATGTTTATTGCTTCAGAATAAGCACTCCTCAAGCATTAGAAGATGCTCTGTGGAGTGAATGTCTCTATCAGGAACAGTATTTGTATCCTTTTATCTGATATACCCATTAGCACTGAAAATTAGACTTCTTATGGATAAAGTGTTGCTAACTTATTGATCATTTTTGGTGTATTTTTGTTCTTATGGTTATAGTGGCAATTTACCTTTACATTTTCAAAAAGTATTAAAAAGGATAGCAAAGAAGAAATATATTGCCAGTTACCAAGAGATACTAAAATTGAAGACTTTGGTACAGTACCCAGATCTCGCTATCCATTGGTAGCGCTATTGACCTTAGCTGATGAGGATGACCGGGAAATTTATGATATTGTAAGTAATTGAAAATTTTGAAAGCATTACCTTTAAGTGATTTGAATGGTGGTTCTTCATTATTTGATAAATAGAAAAAGTTTTATTTTAATTTCTGAGGATGTGCATTTGGCCTACAACAACTATATACCTATTTGGTTTTTATATGTGAAACAGTACCTTCAGATTATGACTCATTTCTTGCCTTATGGGTCACAGTAATATGACTTTATTTGGAAAATAAAAGATATATAATGGTTGAATTAAGTTAGTTTCATCATTAACACCTATTTGGTTGTATACACCTATTTAGTTTTTATATGTGTAACAGTACCTTCAGAGTATGACTCATTTTTTGCCTTATGGATCACAGTAATATGACTTTATTTGGGAAATAAAAGATATATAATGGTTGAATTAAGTTAATTTCATCATTCTGTATTCTGTCATATTTGCTGTATAGAAACAGTCTGTTGGGAAGCATGTTTATTCTGAACATGTTTAGCAGTGAATAAATAAGCACAATAATGATCGAAAGTGCTCAATTTTAAGATAGTATCCACTCTTTTTTTGCCTGCTTGCAGTCACCTTGTTTCCATCAAAGTCCCTGCTGCACCTATATCTTATATGTCTGGTCCCTGTATTTTCAGTAATTATAATAATCTCCTTTCCTCATTATGTGCTAATTATTTTTTCAGTCTGATAGTTGATTCCTATTAGGAAGTTAAAAGTATCTTAGAGATCTAAGAGGACTGAAACTTTGACAATCATCTGAGTATAATAGAAACTTAGACATGAAATAAACTTTTGATGAAATTGTATCATGGTAAAAATGTCCTTACACACAATTGACTACTTTTCTGAAGTATTTAATATAGATTATTCATTAATAAACATATGGTAACATTGTTTTGTGATATTCGTAATATGCAAAGTACGTTCACAAACATGAACTTATTTTTTTCTTCTAACAACCTGGTTTCTTAGGACAGGGCAAATATTCTCCTTTCACAGACTGAAACAGAGTCAAGAAAAATCCCAGTCATTCAGGCAGTAAGAGATGGAACAAGAGCTTGACTCTGAGCTTTTTGTGTGTGTTTGTTTGTTTTTGTTTTTTGAGTTTATTTTTTTTAGCAGGAATATCTTCCTGCAACAAGTGTACATTGAGCTTTGGAAGGTAAAGACTCTTTGGGAAATCTAGACCCTTCTTACTCATTTGCAGTTAAGCACCTAGGTTTTTGGTTTTTAATATTTTCAAACTGAAGTTCCATTGAGCTGAGGTCAGCTTATTTTTTCCAAGTCATGGGGAGCAGAGGGGAAGGAAATGGGGATATGTAGGTCACTAGAGACAAAGTTACAGATACATAAAATGAACAGGTCTAGAGATCTAATGTACAGCATAAAGACTATAGTTAATGTGGTATTGCTTTTGGGATTTTTGGTGCTCTTGCCACATGCAAAAAAAGTGGAAGTAACTGTGTAAGATGATGCGTAATTTGCATTATAATAGTAACCATTTCACTAGGTATATATATATCAAAACATCCTGTTGTACACCTTAAATATATACAATAAAAATACAAAATACAAAAGTCATACCAGCAGTAGTGTATTTCCAGAACCTAGTACAGTGCCTAGGATATAATAGGGGTTCAATAAAGATTTGATAAGTAAAAAAAAAAAAAAAAAGTCATACTAGACAATGTTAATGAGCCTCATAGAGCTTGACAGCGAAACACCTTAGCTGTACATCCCATGCACCTTAGCGTGCATGAGAGGCCTTCTGGCTTCCTCCCTCCTTTCTCTCAGTTTCAGTTAGAGATAAATAAAACCTGTTAAATTGGTGTCTCCTATTTCTAGCTTCTTTGTTCTTGACCCTGTGTACTTGGGCAAGGAAGCCCTTCTGCCCCCACTGTGTGCCCCATCTCTGCTGAGTTTCTTGGGTTCTGTTCTCCTTTTTCCTTTGGTTCAGCACAAAAGGATCAGATCGCAGTCATTTTCCCTCCCAGCTTCCCCATTGCATTCCTTTTCCCTTCACTGATAGTGCTCTCTAGGTGCTCAGGGTCTTTTTTTTTTTCTAACTTTCTTCCCCTGTCCAAACAGGGAGTGATTGTGTATCTGTGTGGTAAAATATATATATTTTATATATAAAGTTTACCATTTTAACCATTTTTGTGTGTGTGTTTTCAGTTCAGTGGCCTTTTAGGCCAGAGAAGAGTTTGCTCTCAGGTCCCTGATCACACTGGATGAAGACTGTGTGGCCCAGCTGTAGTTGTGGGAGGCTTGTTCCCATAGGGAAGCCTGAGTGTCTCCCAAGGGTTAACAGCCATCTTCTCTTGTGCTTTGTGTATGTCTCTGTGTCTGGGTCCTTTTGAATGTCTTTTATTCTCATCTGTGGGCTCCCTCCTTTTTTCCTGTTAATCCTTGCTTCTCGTCTTATTTCTTAGATTGGGGGTAATATTGGCACTCAAATATATTTATTAGTGTATTTTGTATTAATGTTCTCTGTTTATAATTTTAAAAGCAAATGGACCATTTCCTATTTCTTTTTCATATGTGTTTTTTCAGTATTGTATGTGCGTGTCAGGGACTATATTTTTTTAAAAAATTTATTAATAAAATCATTTTTATTTTAACAGCAAAGAATTATATTTAGGTAGTACAGTTAGGAACCACTTTGTTGTTTTAGATTAAAAAAAGGAAAGCAGGAATTGTTACTACAAAATTTTGACTTTAAAATTTTTTCATTTTTAGTTAATTACATTGGCTTTTTTTCAGTATTATTCAAATAATACATTTGTGGCAGGAAAAAAAATTAGAAAGTGTAGATAAGCCAAAAGGAGAGAAGTATAATAATCTGTATTCTATCATCCAAAAATAATCACTGTGAATATTTGTCTGTATCTTTCCAAATCTTTATATATGTAATTAAAAAAGGGATAAAATTATACATTTTATACTATTTTGTGACCTGCTTTCACTTAGTAGTATATTCAAACATTTTTTCCATATCAAATATTTACCCACAACTACATATATAACTAGTATGATAATAGCTTCAGAGACTTTTAATATTAAATCAAATGACAAAATTGGTTTTTTTTTTGTTTTTTGAGACAGAATCTCGCTCTGTCGCCCAGGCTGGTGTGCAGTGGCACAATCTCAGCTCACTGTAGCCTCTGCTTCCTGGGTTCAAGCAATTCTCCTGCCTCAGCCTCCCGAGTAGCTGGGACTACAGGCACGCACCACCACGCCCAGTTAATTTTTGTATTTTTAGTAGAGATGGTGTTTCACCATGTTGGCCAGGTTGGTCTTGAACTCCTGACCTCGTGATCGACCCGCCTCGGCCTCCCAAAGTGCTGGGGTTACAGGTGTGAGCCACTGCTCCCAGAGGACAAAATTGTTAGTATGAAGTGATAACTACTATTTTCTACTAACCCCATCATTTTGATTTAGTATTAAAAGCCTCTGGTGCCATTACTAAATTAATAAATCTTTATAAACTTGTAAAGAATATTGTGTTTTTGCAACTAATGTAGGGTTTTAAAACTTTTTATTTGTACATAATTTCAAAAAGTTGCAAAAATAAAAAAGTAAAAGATCACCCATATACCCTGCACCTGGATCTCCTATTGTTAGCATTTCTGTCCTTTGCATTATTGTTCTCCCATTTATGTATGTATGTGTGTATTGATTGATTGGTTGAGATAGGATCTTGCTCTATCACCAGGCTGGAATATAGTGGCACAGTCATGGCTCACTGCAGCCTCAACTTCCTGAGCTCAAGTGATCCTTCTGCCTCAGCCTCCTGAGTAACCGGGCCAACAGGAATGTACCACTGTGCCCAGCTAAGTTAAAAAAAATTTTTTTCTAAAGACAGGATCTTACTGTGTTGCCCTGGCTGGTCTCAAACTCCTGAGCTCAAGCAGTACTCCCACTGTGATCTCCCAAAGGGCTGAGATTACAGGCGTGAGCCACCACACCCAGCCTACCCATATGTTTATACATACACATATATATGATCGTATATATATTTTAAATCAATGATTTGAGAATAAGTTGCATACGTGATGATTCTTTACCCCTAAATGCTTCAGTGTGTATTTCCTAAAAATAAGGATGCTTTCTTATATAACCACAGTATAGTCATCTGCTTTATAAATTTAACATTGATACAGTATTTTATCCAATTCACAACCAATTTTCTTCTCCAGTTCAGGTTCTAGTCTAGAGCCAGATTTTGTATTTGTCATGGATCTTTAGCTTCCTTTAGCCTGGAACATTTCCATACTCTGTCTTTTATGACATGAGCATTTTTGAAGGGTATAGTCACACACACACACACACACACACACACACACACACTTTTTGTAAATTAAAACATTCTCATTTTGTTTGTCTGATTTTTCTTATGATCAGATCAAAGTTTTACATCTGCAGCCAGTGAGCTGCCCGGGTGATGTGTCCTTTTCAGAGTGCCACCTCTAGAAGCATGCAATGTTCTTTTCTCTAATTGGTCATGTTAATTTTGATCTCTTAGTCAAGGTGTTATCTAATTTCTCCACTCTTCTGTTTTTTTCTCCCCCTTGATCTGTGAGGAGGCACTGTAAGATCATGTAAATATCCTGCTTTTTATTAAAAAAAATTTTTTTGTCCTAGATTTAACATCCATTGATGATTCTTGCCAGATTTCATCTTTACTGTGATGGTTGCAAAATTATTATTTTCCAACTGCAGCCCTCCCTCCAGTCGGTTCTTGGCATTCTACAACAAGCAAGAGACTTCCTGTCTCTCCCATTTGTTTGTTTGCTTATCTGTTGTCTCTATGGCCTCATGAATTTTTCCCCCAGTGTTTTATAATTCATGGCTGAATTTAATTATTTTGACGCTCAAACTGCCATTTCCCTGCTTCCTGCCAAGACTGAGGGTTTGTAGTCAAACTGTGCCCACAGATTACTTGGATTAGTTCTCTCAAAAGTCAGAAAACCATATAAAGAAATATACTCATGTTGTTTTCTTCCGTATCCCTTCCACGCCATTCCCACACACCCCAGTCTTTAGAGATAGTTGTTGTTTTCTGATTTTTCCTCCCTGTTTTTTATTTTCTCTTTTTTCTTACACAAAAGATAGCACATACTCTATGCTACATATGCTGTTTTGTACTTTGCTCTTTTTCATTTCAGAAAATCTGGAAATCACTGCACACCAGTTTGCAGAGATTGTCTTCACTTTTTTTTTTTTTAATAGCTGCATGGCACTGCACTGTGTGTATGCTGTGCATATTCCATAGTTATTCTGCCAGTCTCCTGTGCTTGGACATTCAGGTGGTTTCCAGTATTCTGCAGTAACAAATAATCTTATGCTGAATAATTCATATATACATATCTTAATATTGTTGGAATTGTATGGTTGAAGTGTAAATGCATGTTGTTTTGTTAGATATTGCCATTGGAATTGTACCTTTTTGGAAAAAAACATTTCCACCAACAATATATGAGAGTGTATTTCCACAGAGTGTATTGACAAGCTTCTGGATTTTTGTTACTTTGATGAGTGAATAATGGTGCAGTATTAATTTTAATTAAACATCTTTTAATATGGTCAAGGCTCATGTTTATATCTTTTTATGAATTGTCCGTTCATGTCTTTTGCCCATTTTTCTATAGGATTTTGGCCATTTTTCTTCAGTTTTTAAAAGTTCTTCATAAATTAGGAATATTAACCTTTAATTTGTGACACACCTTGTGAATATTTATTCTAGTTTGTCATGTGTTTTGACTTTGTTTATGGTGCTTTTTATCATGTATATTTTTAATTCTTATATAGTCAAGTGTATTTCCTCTGGGTTTTGAGTTGTAGTTAATGTCTTTCCTTACACTGAGACTAAAATGGAATTTGTTGATTTTCTTCTAGTACTTGTACAGTTTTATTTTTTACATTTAGATCTCTTATGTTTCTGGAGTTGATTCTTATGTATGGTATGAGGAATGCATCTAATTATATATTTTTCCAATAGCTATCCAATTGTCCCAATACTGTTTATTAAAAAAACTCTTTGGTGATTTGACATCACACCTTTATTATATTTTTGTACATAATTACGTCTGTTTCTGGACTGTTTATCCTGTTTCATCCATCTGTCTATTCATGTGCCAGTACCATACTGTTTTAATTTTAAAGGCTTTGTAGTCTGTTTTATTATCTGATGGGGCTAGTCGCCCTCATAACTCTCTCTTTTCAGTATTTTTCTAGCTGTTCTTTTGTGTTCATTTTTCTATATGAGAATTTTAGAGTCAATGCATGTAGCTCTCTAAGCAAAAGTGTTTTCTCTGGTCCCTTTACATCCAAGTTTCTTAAAAGACTGTTTAATACTGATTTTAATTCCTCTCCATTTCCTTCTTTAGTCCTCTCAAAGATTCCTTTGTCCATTGTGATAGCATTAAATTTGTAAATTTGAGTACAATTAAAATAACTCTGCCAAAAATATGTCAGTAACTGATTCCTCTGCAGTGATTATGATTTAATCAGATTGACGTAAATTTTCTAATTTATCAGCCTTTTATTTTTGAGAAGCATTTTTCTTTTTTTTTGGCAGAAGACAGTGTCTAGAAGCAGTTGAAAAGCATTTTTCATATATTTGTGAAATAATATAAAGATTTTAAGTACTGACCAGTGTTCAATTTTTATTTTAGATTTCCATGGTGTCAGTGATTCATATTCCTGATAGGACTTATAAACTATCCTGCAGAATATTGTATCAATATTTACTCTTGGCTCAAGGTCAATTTCATGATCTTAAGGTAAGCCGTACTCTGTAGTCTTATCTCTGTCTCTTTTGTTTACAGAGTTTCAAAGAATGGCCATTTATGGAAAGGTGATTATATTTTTCAGTTAATAATTACAGAAGATAACTAACTGTTCTTTGCAATTGAATTTGCTAGCTCATAAATTTTAAGCCGCTTCTTATGACCCCCAATTTTAAAGAGTAATTGTTATTTATAATAATCTTTAAATTTATTTCTTTGATTTTCAGCAACTTTTCATGTCTGCAAATAATAATTTCACTCCCTCCAACAATTCCTCTTCAGAAGAAAAAAACACAGACAGAAGTTTGTTGGAAAAGGTGGGACTCTCTGAAAGTGAAGTTGAGCCATCGGAAGAGAACAGCAAGGACTGTGTTGTTTGCCAGAATGGGACTGTGAACTGGGTACTCTTACCATGCAGACACACATGCCTGTGTGATGGCTGTGTGAAGTATTTTCAGCAGTGCCCAATGTGCAGGCAGTTTGTTCAGGAATCTTTTGCACTTTGCAGTCAAAAAGAGCAAGATAAAGACAAACCGAAGACTCTTTGAAGACATCGTAACACTGAAAAGTACACTTTCTACTAAAGATGCAGAAATTGATGATCTTGGAATTCATCATAACATGGAATCTACAGTACTGACCATCAATGAAAATTATATTTTAACTTCATATTTGTATGGTACTTGGATGATAAAAATTAATTATTCCTTTCTGCTTAGTGAATGAATACTGGAATCCATCTGTGTTGATACATAAAAATTCATTCAACTCTTGAAAAGAATCTAAGAGTTTGGCCTTTTATTAGCTAGATTTCCTCTCATGTTAATTAGAAAAATCATTCTGAAAGGCAATCCATTGAAAATTTGAGGAGGTTAAATTCTTAAGATCACTAAATGTTTTACCTTTGATGTAATCGGAGTGCAATTAAGAAAAAACTTAATTCTACTTAAAGTAATTGTGTGTTCCCTAGTTTATACAAAGGAGTTGGAATGAGCTTCTTTAGATCTTTTCCTGAAATAACAGCTTTTATAAATATCCATCTGTTTGGTTTCTAATGTCCCTTATTATAGTTACGTAAATACAGGTCATAGTTTTAAATATAGGTTCTTAAATCATAAATACAAGATATAATTCTTGACTGTTCTCCGTGTATTATAAAATGATACTCATCTATAGGAGGCAGATATATAAAATTCGGATAATAAGATTTTTTGGATAATTAAATTTATTAAATTGATAGTCAAGTGTGATTAGATTAGCAGAATGTGATCTCCAGGGAAGATCTGTGAGACCTTTAATGCCTTACCTTAGATTTCTGCCTGCACAGCAAATCCATCCAGAACTGAGGTGGGAGGTGGAGGTTATAGAGCTAGAAAAATCACTAAAAGAAACAAATAACTATTTTTTTCTAGTGTATTTTTATTCCAAATAAACCCTGTATTCTTCTGAATAGTAAATTACTTTATTCATCCATTGTTCTGTCTGTAAGAATTTTGAAACTTGGTAGGCAGAAAGACCCCACCCTTTTCTCTTTCCAAGATAACTAAAAGAAAAAGGTAAATCAGAGCTTTCCATGTTTTCAGTGAGAATTATCATAACTCACCAAGAAAGCAGATCATGGCAAATAAACTGTGACCTTCAGGGAGATTTTTCAAGCCCCTTTTTGTCCTGTTTGTATTAAGAATAATGCCTTACCTTTGTATCTGCATTTTTATATAATTCCATTCCAACCAGGTATAGCACTCTGAAGAAGACATTATCTATTCTCCATTATATAAACCAAATCAAACTTTCATCTACATTCACTAGCTATGTAATAAATACCTTCTAGGAGCCAGATACTTGTTGAGAGTCTGGGCTACAAAGAATCAGGCAAGACTCCTGATGTCAGGTATTTGAGCATAAAAAGAGCATTGATGGCTAATTAGAACCCCCCGACTTGCCACTCCCCCGCCCCGCCCCGAAGTTCCTAAGACTCTGTTCCAACCCTGCCACTGGAAGCAGGGTAGTCCAAAGCTGCAGTCCCTGCTGCCCTTAAGCTGCAGTCCCTGCTGCCCTTAACTAGCAGTATAACAATCTTGAAAAATCTGTCATGTAAATTGGGGGAATATTCAGACTCCATCCTAGCTCTGCTGCCTCTCTATAGATCTCTTTGTACCTTAACTGTCCTAGACACTTAGTTGGTTTCTCATCAGAAGCAGACTCCACCAAGCCTGCATTCTTATTCCATGTTTCATAACTTCGTTTGTAGTAAAATATACATATATAAAACTTACCATTTTAACCATTTTTAAGTGTAAAATTAGTTGACATTAATTACATTCACATTGTTTTGCAACATTCACCAGTATCCATCTCCAGAATTTTTCATCATCCCAAACTGAAACCCCATGCCCATTAAACAATAACTACCCATTCTCCCTCCCGCCAGCCTCTGGCAACCACCATTCTATTTTCTGTCCCTATAAATTTGACTATTCTAGGTACTTCATGTAAGTGGAATCATACAATATCCTTTTGTGTCTGTCTAAACTTCCTATTTCTTAAACATTCATCCATGTCAGCTTACATCAGAATTTCATTCCTTTTAAGGCTGAATAATATTCCACTGGATGTGAATGCCACATTTTGTTTATCTATTTATCCATCGTTTTCATAACTTAAAGATAACTTGCCTTTAGTTCTTGTTGCAGCTGAAGTAATTGTAAATATGAAGAATTTGGTAGGTTGTCAAGTAAAAACAAGTACACTGATTCCTAGGGGCTTGTGTCAGAATTTGTCAGTAGATGTGAGTAGTGACATTTTGTGAGAACAACTATAAATTTATTTCAATGGATTATTAGATAAAATATTTGCTTTATATAGATGCTATTTTTCAAAACTAGCAGCTTTTGGAACCAGGGCAACATCTAAGCAGACTTGACAGGTGAGTAGCCACCTCCTCTTTCAGTGACCCTTTCTTCCCAACTTAATGGAGCCCATTGCAAAGCCATATAGTTTAATTGCACCAGGCTTCTCAACAATTCTTTAGTTTAATGGACTCCCTACTGAACTCCCAAATAGTTATTTCAGACCTCTCCTACTTTTTTCAAGTTCTGTATCCCACCACTATTATATCACCCTCGGTAAAGAACCTTCGAGATGTAGTATGGTGTGGAGGTTATGATGGACCCCAAAGTCAGATAACTTGATTTTAATTCCAGCTCTGTCACTTAATGGCTAGTTGCCTTGGAGAAGTTACTTAACCTCACTCTGCCTCAGTTTCCTTATCTATAAAGTAATGATAATAGAACCTGCCCACAGGCAGTTGAGAGGATTACACCCATGAATATGTGTAAAGTGCTTACACTTGTGACCTCCATAGTAAGCCCCATGTAAGATTGGTTCTACTGTCATTTCTTTGCTTAGATGTTCAAAATCGGTAGACTTTTTTTTTTCTCTTCCCGAAGAGATGTATTATATCTCCTTTTGAGGCTAACACTTTACTTATTGTGTTGATTTCATCCCTGCTTGCCCCCGAACTCATTTGATTACTCATTCAATAACTAAACAAATAATTATTGAGTGTCAAAGATATTATACATCTTTGGTCATTGGGGATACAGGAATGAATAAAGTAGGCAAAACTCCTTTCCTTCATGGAGCTTACATTCTAGTAAAGACAGAAAGAGACCAATTAGTAAAAGTTAGAGGATCAGGTGGAAGTAAGTGCTGTGGAGGAGATCAAAGCTGGGATGGGTAGGTAGGGAATGTGAGGGACACAGACTGAGTTACACTGTATTTGAAGGCCTCTTTAGGAATTTTGGTGGAGACCTGAAGGGGGCCAGGGAGTAAGCCAGTTTGCAGTGAAGAGGTCTTAATGACTGCAAGGCTGGGAGTTGGAGTTTACTGAGATGGGGATGATTGGAAAAAGAGCAAGTTTGGAGGAAAAGAACAACTGTGTTTTTGTTAAGTTTTAGATGCCAGTTAGAAGTCAAGTAGAAATGTCAAATAAGCAGGTGAATATACTAATCTAGAGTTCAGAAAAGAGGTCCAGGCTGAAGATATAAATTTGAGGGTCATTAGCATGGTATTTAAAGCCAAAAGACCACGTGAGAGCGCCAAGGGAGTGAGCATAGGAATAGAAGAGGCCCCTGGTTTGACACTTGGGATACTCCAACATTCAGGGAGATTAGGGAAGAACCCATAGACTGAGGAGTAGACAGTGAGATAGGAGGAAAACTGGTGGAAGAGTGTTCTTTACACGGATCTATTTCTTAACAGAATTGAATGGGTAAAACAACCACCATTTTATTATGCTCAGAGATTCTGTGGTCAGGTATTGGCACAGGCTGTGGCACAGATAGGCTTGCCTGGAGCCTTATTTGGGAAGACTTGAATGGCTAGTGGGGTAACCCAAAGGCCTGAAGGCTAGAATTATCCGAAGGCTTCTTTACTCAGGTATTTGGTGCCTGGGCTGTGATGATGTAAAAGCTGGGCTGAGCTAGGACAACACATGGCCTTTACATGTGGCTTGGGTTTTGTGACAGTCTGGTGGCTTTAGGGTAGTCAGACTTTTTTAACGGAGGCTCAGGGCTCTAAGATCAAGTGTTTGTGGTGAACAAAACAAAAGCTGCATGGCCGTTTTTGTCTTTTTTAAAAACAGCTTTGTGGAGATCTAATTTACATACCATACAATTCCCCCTTGCAAACTGTACCATTCCGTAGTTTTAATGTGCTCACAGAATTTTATAATCATCACCACAATCAATTTTGAACATTTTTATTACCCCCAAAAGAAACCCTATGCCTATTAGCAGTCATCCCCAATCCCTCCATCCTCCCAGCCCTAGGCAAGCACTGACTTTGTCTTTATAGATTTGTCTGTTCTGGACAGTTCATGGAATGGAATCAAATGTAGAATCATAAATTGAATCACACAATATAAGATTTTTGTGACTGGTTTCTTTTAGCGTGTTTTCAAGGTTCATCCATGTTGTAGTGTGAATCGGTATTTTATTCCTTTTTATTGCTGGATGAGACTTCATTGTGTAGCTATACCATATTGTGTTTATCCAGTCAGCATTTGATGGGCTTTTGGTGTTTTCCACTTTGGGGCCATTATGAATAATGCTATGAAGATTTAGGTACAAGTTTTGGTAGAGATATATGTTTTCATTTCTCTGGGTATATACTGTGGGGAAGGAAAAACTTTTAATCTATTTCTTAGATTCAGTCATTGGAGGCCTGCAAATTAAATTGACAAATGAAAGATTAGCAAAAGAAAAGACATTTTAATCACATACAGACAGGAGTTCACAATGGAATGTGACTCAGGGATGATTATTTGGGGCTTATATGCAGTCGTAATAGGGGAAGGCAAGAGGGAGAAAGACACTTGGGGGAAAACAATGACTTTCAGGAAAGATAAATGGGCCCTTAGGAGACTACATGGAAGAAATGATAGATAGTTTTCATAACAAACGTCTATTTAGGTGTGATATGGAGACATCTTATCTCTGGTGATAATAGTTAATCTTCCCTGGTTGTTCTTGAGATGGGGATTTATGATGTTTCGGTTATTTTGACTTCTTTTGGGAGACTCTCCTTTTAGGTAGAAAAGAGATTTCAGGAACTCAAATATCTTCTGCTTAAAATAATTTTTATGTCACAGCGGCTTATTCCAGACCTATTCAATACCTACAAGTGAAATTACTGGCTCATATGGAAACTCTTATGTTGAAGCTTTTGAGGAACTTCCCAATTGTTTTCCAAAGCAGCTGTACCATTTTACATTCTTACTGGCAATGTATGAGGGTTCCAGTTTCTCCACGTCCTCCCCAACACTTGTTATTATCTTTTAATTATAGCTTTCCTATCCTAGTGGGATAAGATACCTTTACCACCTCACTTCACACTTGAATACCCTTGAAGTGGTATAATTGTGGTGTATTTTTTTTTAATTTTATTATTATTATACTTTAAGTTTTAGGGTACATGTAAATTGTGGTTAGAAAAAACACACATAACAGAAGTTACCATCTTACTCACTTTTAAGCATACAGTTCAGTAGTGTATTCACATTCTCGTGCAATAGATCTTCAGAACTTTTTCATCTTGCCAAACTAAAATCCTGTATCGATTAACGCCCCATTTCTCCCTCCCCCAGCCCCTGACAACCACCATTTTATGGTATAACTGTGATTTTGACTTGCGTTTCCCTGATGGTTAATTATACTGAACATCTTTTCATGTTTTTATTAACCGTTTGTATATCTAGTTAGTTCTTTAACCTTTTGTTTTTCAGACAGAGTCTGGCTCTGTCACCCAGGCTGGAGTGCAGTGGCGCGATCTCGGCTCACTGCAAGCTCCGCCTCCCGGGTTCACGCCATTCTCCTGCCTCAGCCTCTCGAGTAGCTGGGACTACAGGCGCCCGCCACCACACCCAGCTAATTTTTTGTATTTTTAGTAGAGACGGAGTTTCACCGTGTTAGCCAGGATGGTCTGGATCTCCTGACCTCATGATCCGCCCACCTCGACCTCCCAAAGTGCTGGGATTACAGGCATGAGCCACCACGCCCGGCCAACCCATTTTTAAATTAGGTTGTAACAGTTCTCTATTATTGAATTGTAAGAGTTCTTTATATATACTAGACACAAGTCCCTTTTGGTACATGATCTACAAATATTTTTCTCCCATTCTGTGAGCTATCTTTTCACTTTCTTGATAGTGTCCTTTGAAGCACAAAAGTTTTCAATTTTGATGAAATCCAACTTATCTATTGTTTCTTTTGTTACTTGTGTTTTGGGTGTCATATCTAAGAAGGCTTTGCCTAACTCAAGGTCACAAAATTTACACCTATATTTTTTATAAGGGTTTTATAGTCTTAGCTTTTACATTTTGATCAATTTTGAGTTAATTTTTATATTCGGTGTGATAAAGTGAATTCCGCTTCATTCTTTAACATTTGGTTATCTAGTTATCCCAGTACTGTCTGTTGAAAAGACTACTGTTTCTTTATTGAATTGTCTTGGTACCCTTGTTGAATCGACTATAAATTTGAAGGTTTATTTCTGGACTCTGAATTCTATTCTATTGATCTATATGGCTATGTTTATGCTAGTACTGTAGTTTCTCACTTATAGAAGCTTTGTGGTAAGTTTCAAAATTGGTAAGCAAAAGTCCTCCAACTTTGTTCTTTTTAAAGATTGTTTTGGCTATGCTGGGTCCCTTGAATTTTAGTATGAATTTTAGGATCAGCTTGTCAACATCCGCAAAAAAAAAAAAAAAGCCTACTGGGATTTTGATAGCAATTACACTGAACCTTTAGATCAATTTGGGGAATATTGCCATATTAACAATATTAAGTCTTCCAATCTATGAATATGGGATTTTTTTTGTTTATTTAGGTCTTTAATTTTTTAAAATAATATTTTAAAGTTTTCAGAGTGTAAGTTGTACTCGTTTTATTAAATTTATTTCAAAGCATTTTATTCTTTTTGATGCTATTGTAAATAGAATTGTTTTAATTTCATTTTCAAATTATTCATTACTGGCATATAGAAATAACTTGATTTTTGATTATTGATTTTTGGATATTGATATTGTACTCTTCAAATTTTAGAACTTGTTTATTAGTTTTAATAGTTTTTTAGTAGATTCCTTAGACTTACATACAAGATCATGTCATATGCAAGCAGAAGTAATTTTACTTTTTCCTTTCCAGTTTGAATGCCTTTTATTTGTTTTTCTTGCCTAATTTGCCTGGATAGAACTTCCTGTCTAACCCTTTCCTCCTAGTCTCCATTACCCTTATATGTCATTTACACATGTCAATGTTGAATTGACATGGGCAGAGTGGACATCCTTGCCTTGTGCCTGATCTTAGGGGGCATGTCCTTTAATGAGCCACCCTGGGAAGTCACATAGTATCATTTCTATTGTACCCTGTTAGTCAAGCAGTCACAAGCCCATGCAGATTCAAGGAAAGCAGACACAGACTCCACCTCTTGATCGAAGAAGTACAAATGAATTTTCACCCATATTTTAAAGCCACTACTATTTAGTTTCTTAGACACCAAGTGAATAATGTATTTCAGAGAGGAGAGAGTGATCTATGTCAAATGATACCATTAGATTATGTGAGATATGAGAATTGGCCATTGGATTCAGCAATGCAGAGGTCACGTGTGGCCTGGATAAGCCCAATTTTGGTTATGTCTGTGGTGAAAACCCATTTGGAATGAAGTCAAGTGAGTATGGGCAGAGAGGAATGGGAAGCAGCAAATAGAATCAACTCTTTTGGGAATTTTGTTATAAGGAGAAACACAGAAATAGTGTGGTAACTGTCAATATGGGTTTACCAGTGTTTAGTTTTAAGATGAGAGAAAACAGCATGTTTGAATGCCCATGAAAACAAATCAGTGGAGGGGAAAAAATGATAATGCTGAGATACTAGGAGTAATTGCAGGAGTGATGTCTTTGAGAGAACAAAAGAACACTAGCATATCTCCTATCTCTTGTATCTTCAGTCTAACTTATTTCCTTCTGCCTCATATTATGCTAGATATTACCAGTACTAAAGAACTCCCCCACCCCAGCCCTGTTTCTCATTCCACCCTATTACTCCTATTTAGCTTCCATCCTGTTACTATTTCTCTTAGTTCCAGACATCTTGAGAAAGTCTACAACAATGATTCCCCAGTGCTGCTACTTAGCAGAATCACAACTCAGATCTTAGACATATTGAGTCAGAAGTTCCCCAGATAATGCTAATACTACTAAGTCTGGGACCCTCTGAACCCTACACTATGGTCATTTTTGTTTTCTTGTTTCTTATTCACGATTAATTATGCCTCCTCTTTTATATTCTGATTATTGACTTAAACTGATTTCCCAAGGGTGCCCATTAAGCTCCTGTTTACCCCATGCCATGACCTTTCCTTGCTCCTCATTCTTCATGGCCCCGCTTTGAAGGATTCTACACATAACTAGTTTTCTCCTCCTAGAAAGTTACTTGTCCTGGCTTCTGAGTCACCATGTTCCATTGCATTTCAATGGTGCTTAAGAACTGCTTTTAGGGGAGAGGTAAAAATGCAGACCCCCAGATCTATCTCTCTTAAAATACTGATTTAATAGGTCTAGGATCTGGCCCAGGAATCACCTCTCTAACAAGCCTTCAGACGATTCTTTTTTTTTTTTTTTTTTAGATGGAGTTTCACTCTTGTTGCCCAGGCTGGAGTGCAATGGCGCGATCTCGGCTCACCGCAACCACCACCTCCCAGGTTCAAGCGATTCTCCTGCCTCAGCCTCCCGAGTAGAGTAGCTGGGATTACAGGCATGCACCACCATGCCAGCTAATTTTTTATTTTTAGTAAAGATGGGGTTTGTCCATGTTGGTCAGGCTGATCTCGAACTCCCGACCTCAGGTGATCTACCCACCTCAGCCTCCCAAAGTGCTGGGATTACAGGTGTGAGCCACTGCCTGAAGCAGGTGGTCCACAGATATCACTGCCATGAACTGCATCTTTCCCTAGGTCTCTACAGGCCCTATGCATCATTCATGGGACCAATGTCTTGTTAAGCACCATTTCCGCGGTGTATCTGGCAGTGCATGGAATAGACACTGAGGAGTCAAGCATAGACCTGCTATTATCAAAGAGTGCACCATCTATGCTCTCTCTTATTTATTGCAATCAGCCCTTACTTCTAGACTGATTCTTCTCAAATCAATTTTTCTATTTTTGGTCTTTCTGCTGAGTTTGAAACTTTCATTGCTAAGTGGCTAATGGATGTTTCCACTCATGTTTCCCACAGGCCCCTCCACCATGTCCAAGTAGAACACATCTTCCTACAAAAACTGTTTCTCTCTCACTTTCCCCTCCTGAGTTAGCGACATTGCTATCTTCCCAGAATCCCACATTCCCCTTCTTCTGGCCCCTCGTCTCTCCCCCAATATTCGATCAGTCAGCAAATCTTGATTCCACTCCTGTATTATTAGTTTCTGTGTCTGTCCCCTTTCCCTGCCTGCTAAACCTGACTTACTCCACACTCCTAGTCTCCATTACACCTTCCTCAGCCTGGTTCTTTAAAGGTAGGTGTACCTCAATGCTCAGTCCTGAGCAATCTCTTCTTACCACCCATCCTTTGGCTGATTCCATCCATTCCCATGTTGGCAATTCCTAAACTCTCTATCTTCAGGCTAGAACTTTCTTTTGAACCCTAGACCCATGTATCTCCACTCTGTCTCATAGGTTCATCAACCTCAACATGTCCAAAGCTCAACTCAGCATGTTCCCCATAACTCTGTTTTGCTTCCTGAGTTCCTCATCTTGATGAATGATACCATCCCCAACCTTGTTGGCCAAACCAGAAACATGGCCATCATTTCTTATCACTCCTGTTTTGTACCCTCTTCTAAATATCTTTCAAATCTTGTCTTTACCCCTGCCTCTCTTCCCACCTCCATGCTAGGCTTCTCACTACCACCATTAGATGACTTTGTAGCCATCTCCTAACAGTCTCTTTGCCTCCTGTTTGAGTCCTCCCATCATACCCATTCATTCTCCACATCCAACCAGGTAGCTCTTTATAAAAAACTAATCAAGTTACTTCTGATTAAAACCCTTCAATGACTCCCATTTACTGTCAGGAGAAAAGTTTAAATCTTATCAAGCCCCTTCCTGATTTTGCCTCTGTTTATGTTTGCAGCCTTGTTACCTCTGTTTTCCCCTTTCACACTCCCCACTCCAGCTAGCCTGTACCATTTCCATGTCCCATAACATACCACGGTTTTTATTTGTTTTTTTCTTTTTTTTAGAGACAGGGTCTAGCTCTGTCACCCAGGCTGGAGTGCAGTGTCGTGGTCATGGCTCACTGCAGCCTCGAATTCCTGGGCTCAAGTGATCATTCTGCCTCAGCCTCTTGAGTAGCTAGGACTACAGGCATATGCTACCATGCCTGGCTTTTTTTTTTTTTTTTTTTTTTGAGACAGATCTCACTTTATTGCCTAGGCTGGAGTGCAATGGCGCAATCTTGGTTCACTGCAAGCTCTGCCTCCCGGGTTCAAGCAATTTTGCTGCCTTGGCCTCCCGAGTAGCTGGAATTACAGGCACATACTACCATGCCCGGCTAATTTTTGTATTTTTAGTAGAGACGGGGTTTCACCATGTTAGCCAGGTTGGTCTTGAACTCCTGACCTCAGGTGATCCACATGCCTTGGCCTCCCAAAGTTCTGGGATTACACACGTGAGCTACCACACCCGGCCACCTGGCTTTTTTAATTTTTTTTTTTTTTCAGTAGAGAGAGAGTCTCGCTATGCTGCCCAGGATGGTCTTAGACTCCTGGCCTCAAGTGATCCTCCTGCCTTGGCCTCCCTAAGTGCTGGGATTATAGGCTTGAGCCACTGTGCCTGGCCAACATAACATGCTTAAGCCCATCTTAGCATTTATCACATTGTGTGTTATTTGCTTGTTTACTTCTCTCTGTCTCTCAGTAGACTAGAAACTACTTAGGACAGGAGCTGACTTGTTTCTCCAAGTATTCCCATTGCTTTGTACAGAGTTTACCATTTAACAAATACTTGTGAAATGAATAAATGTATCTTAAAAGTATTGAGGAATCACTGCAGTAATTTTAAATATAGCAATATAATCAGATTTGTATTTTTAAAATATCAGTATGGGAAGTGGTTTGAAGTGTAACAGTCTACAAAGTGATGTGTGGGAAAAGTATTAGAACTCATATTTATTTTTAGCTACATAGAAAATTAAATTTTACTAATATTCGATTAGCATTAGGACATGTCAATCGCTTATCAATAAATGTACAAATTTGGAGGATAGTTTAGTGTTTGAATTGGGGGGATACTTAGAAATAAATATACAAATTTGGAGGATAATTTAGTGTTTGAATTGGGGGATAGTAGAGGTAGGAAAATTAGGATCAAGATGCCACTATAGTAATACAGTTGAGGAACAGTAAGGGCCGAAGGACTTGATTTTTGATAATGGACAGGAGTGGCTTAGGGTAATTCTTACGCTTCTGACTTGGGTAAGGTGAATGATAACAGTCAGTGAATCTCGGAGCACATGTACACTTTTTCTGTTGGAGTGTTGCTCCCTGGAGGCAAGACTGTCTTAGTCATGTTTGTGCCTCTCTCCTGAGAACACCATTTATTCATTCAAGCACTTATTAGTTCATTCAGAAAATACTTAGAAGGTCTACTTTGAATGAGCTGCTGTCCTTGGTGCTAGAGAGAGGATGAACAAGATACTAGAGGTCCTGGCCCTCGAGCAACTCACATGGATGGGTAAGGGTGAGGGGAGACTAACAATAAACAGTAAGCAAAAAATATCATGAAGGCGCCATGAAGGAAACAGACAAGTTAGGGAGTAGTTGTAGATAGGAGAGTGTCAGGGAAGGTATCTCTGAAAAGCCTTCAGTTGAGCTCAGCCCTCAGGGTTAACAGAAACCCAGCTTTGTCAAGAGGCTGTCTGTAGCATTTTGGGTGGAAGGAACATGAAGTACAGTGGCCCAAAGTGGGAAAGAACTTGAGGTGTTAGAGGAACAGAAAAGAGGCCTGTGTGACTGGAACTGAATAAACAAGGAGGAGCAACACGGATGGAGTTGGAGAGAGTACAGGCCTTACTGGCTGTGGGTAGGAGTCGACATTGTCTTCTATGCAGTGGGAAGACATCAGAGTTGAAGCTGGGAAGTGAACTTTTCTGAGTTGCACTTTTAAAAGACTGAGGAAGAAACGTATTTGGAGGAATCAAGTATTCAGTTTCAGACATTTTAAATGTGAGATGCAATGTTAAGCCTACCTTGTTTATTTAACTAGTTGAACCTCCAGGCATTTAATTTCTTCTGTGTTTATCATAGCTAGGTCCTCTAGAATTCTGCAGATATGTACCAGGCATAAGACTGAGTTAATGAGTCAGATTAGGAGGAGGAGGGGGAACAGCCATCATATGTTTTCTCTGCTCTGAGCACTTTGTATTTGTGCCAGTAGTGCAGCTCCAAACCCACCTGTCAGCCCCAAACCCACCCTTCTATACTTTGCTTAGTAATGCTGGGACTAGGCCTCTGCAAACCACATGTATGCTTTCCCAGGTGCTCCCATGAGGCTTTGCAAATCAGAGCAATGGAGGGAGACTGGAAGACAGATAGGAGGAAGAAGGGATTTGCTCTTTCCTGTTTGTTTCCCATGAGCTTCCTGTTTGCTTCTCATTCCTGTGAGCATCACCCCAGCCTCACTTCTGTACCTTGACAGTAGTGGTTGATTCCAGGAGCAGCAGTTGAATCCAGGTTGCAGTTTTTCCAACATTTTCCAAACCTGCCTCCTCACCCCCACCCAGGACCCAGCTCCAGGCCCAGCAGCACCCCCTTCTCAGAGATTTCAGTGTTTCAGATCTGTCGGGCTCCTCTAAACTTCTACATTTTTGTAATTCCAACTTCACTTTGTTTCCCCAGCTCTGTGGATGGTAGCCGTTTCCTGCAATTGCTACTAGTGTTATACCTTAGTGTTTTCCTGTTGATTTTTCAGTTAACAACTCTTTGTGTTAATCTCTGATAAAATAATTGGTGTGTTTTTTGTCTCCTGGCTGGATTTCAATCAATATAATTAGATATTATCTCCTATAATTCTGGCACAATTTCCTAAAGTAGACAGAAAATTGAAACCAAATAAGGTTAAATAATTATCTCATATTACAAAGCTACAAAGTGGCAGAGTTGGGATTTGAATCCAGTTTTGTTTTGCCTGAAGCTTGTGCTCTAAAAACTAGTCACCTTCCTACACTGCCTGAAAAATACATGGTTTTTAAACATCAAACTGTAGGTACAATTTCCAAATTATTTCATCATTTTTATTGCTTTTCTATAACCTATTATCAGCCTCAGCATTTCCCAAAATATATCCCAAGTGACAACAGTACTACAAGAAGACCTGTGAAATGTAGATTCTGTACTCAAGTCAGCTTAAGAACGGTCACACAGTGTACTCTTCGGAAGACTCACGACAAACATTAGCATAAGAAAGGCTCCGAGAAATCTTGGAATAAAATTTAAATTTGCATTCAGTCAGTTTCTTATAAATGTCCTGACTGGGAACATCCCAAGGATGTGGAAATGGGGAGTTAAACAATATCAAATCTCATGTGTCTCTTGCAACAGTAGTGCCTGGTTAGGAGAAACCTGATGGTGCCAGCTATTGTGGGATGCTCTCATCATACAGAAGTTGCTTTTAAAAAAATCTCGGGGAAGGGGATTCTGGTCTTTGTTTAGGTTATAAAAACATGATCTCAGATTGGTACTTGTTTGCATTTAAACTATTTCAACCTGTGGATACATTTCTATTTCACCTTCAGTTGAAAAAGATGTAAGCAATTCTTGGATCAATAACCAAGGTAAGAATAGGTATTTGATGACTTCCAGTATAAGCAACTTTTATTTTGTTTCTCTCCTGTCAGCCTGGGAGCAGGTTATCTCTGCACAAGATCTGAAGTCCCACTTTTGTAATCCTGACCTGTATAAATCCTCTAAATAGGAGTGGTTTTGCAATGCTTATATTTAACTTTCTGAATGTATTTACTTGAAAATTTATCTATGATACTTTATAAGACTTTCTACTGTAAAAAAAAAAAACCTATAATTAATACTTCACACATTTGCTTATTTTTAAAAAGTGAGAACCCATCTGCATTTCTGTTTGAAATTGTGGTTGATTTTATATTTACATTGTATTTGAATAACTGTATCAGTTAATTGGTTTGAGTTATTTTGATTATTTAAATTTTGATTTAAAAATCAGTAAAAAATACAGGGTCCCTGACTAAAGTAAGTCCAAAAAGTTAGTTAACCCCTGTCATCTGACTCCATTCCAGAGAAAGCTGCCTCAAAAGTTTTCTTCATGGAATATTACTCTACCTTAAAAAGGACTGAAGTACTCCCTGCAGCCAGACACTGGTTATTACTGCATGGAGGTGAACATGTCTTCATTTACTTAATTGAGTTTATTGAGTGTCTTCTATGTGCCACTCACTGGGCCAAGTGCTAGAGACAACAACAGTAACAACAACGAAAGGAGCCAGGTGTGGTGGCTCACACCTATAATCCCAGCTACTTAGGATGCTGAGGTGGGAGAATTACTTGAGTCCAGGAGTTGATTCCAGCCTGGGCAACACAGTGAGAATCCATCTCTTTAAAAAAGGAAAAAAAAAAAAAAAAAAAGATGGCCAGGCACAGTGGCTCACACCTGTCATCCCAGAACTTCGGGAGGCTAAGGTGGGAGGATTTCTTGAGGCCAGGAGTTTGAGACAGCCTGGGCAACATAGTGAGACCCCGTCTCTACAAAAAATAAAAATAAAAAAATTAGCCGAGTGTAGTAGTATGCACCTGTAGTCCCAGTTACTTGGGAGGCTGAGGTGGGAGGATCGCTTGAGCCAGGGAGGTCGAGGCTGCAGTGAACCATGATTGTACCACTGCACTCCTGTCTGGGTGACAGAGCAAGACCTTGTCTCAAAAAATAAGAAAAAGAAATGAGGTACTGATACATGTTATGACATAGATGAACCTTGAAGACTTTATGAGAAGTGAAATAAGAAGCCAGTCGCAAAATAACAAGTATTATATTTCACTTACATGAGGTACCTAGAGCATTCAAATTAATAGAGACAGAAAGTAGAATGATGGTTGTCAGGGGCTGGGAGGAGGGAGAATGGGGAGTTACTGCTTAACAGATATAGAGTTTCAGTTTGGGATGATGAAAAAGTTCTGGAAGTGAATTGTAGTGATGATTGTACAACATTGTGAATGTACTTAATGCCACTGGAATGTATATTTAAGAATGGCAAAAAGGGTAAGTTTCATGTTATGTGTATTTGAGCACAATGAAACATGTATTTTTCTTCATGGATTCAGCATGCTTGTCCAATTCACATTCCAATGTGACTCCTAAAGAATAAGAATCACAGTTGCTCGGGGCTGGGCAGGGTAGCTCATGCTTGTAATCCCAGCACTTTGGGAGGCCAAGGCAGATGGATCACCTGAGGTCAGGAGTTCAAGACCAGACTGACCAACACAGTGAAACCCTGTCTCTACTAAAAATACAAAATTAGTTGGGCCTGGGGGCGCACATCTGTAATCCCAGCTACACGGGAGGCTGAGGCAGGAGAATCACTTGAATCCGGGAGGCGGAGGGTGCAGTGAGCTGAGATCATGCCATTGCACTCCAGCCTGGGCAAAAAGAGTGAAACTCCATCTAAAAAAAAATAAAAAAAAAATCACAATTGTTCATGGCCTTTGGGTACTGGCATTCTATTTACTTAAAATCGGGTTCAAGGAGTCTTTTTTTCTGGAAAAATTCTCTAAATTGAGAAAGTGAAGACAATTTGAAAACTATCCTCAAAATAGTAAGAACTTTAGTGAAACATGAAAACGGATTCTCCAAGGGTCCCAAAGTTTCCCCTGAGGCTCACTCTGGCCTGGCTTCTCCTGTGCCGGCCAGCAGCTATGGTTTGGGTTTGGATTATCAGGCCATGGCCCCACTAGTGTAAAAAGGTGCTAGAGAATCAGAAAATTGGTGCAGGCAATTACTACTCTGCCCCGGGCTAACAGAATGCTGACTTTCTGTTTGAATGTGTGCCCCTGCCAAAGCCAAGATATTTCTGAGCTCCTTATGATGAGATCTGAACTCAAGTTTAGTCTCCCTAAGCCACAGTTCCTAGGCCTTCCCAGCTTGCCTTTCACTGTTGCTATCTTAGCAGACCTGACTCCTGATTTAGCCTTCCCACATGCCATCTGTCACCAGTTCTGCAGTTCCTTCCTCCTCTCTCTCTCTTCATCCCCTTGAATCCTGATTCTAGCCCTGGCAATCCTCTCATAGGCCTTATGACATGGCTTTGAGAGACCATGTCTTCGAAGAGTGAATAAAGCATCTCTCTGTGTGAGGCAGAGCCACACTGCACATTAGCCAAATCAACACACTCAAATTTGTGTCAAACAAAAAGGAAAATTAATGCTTATTAAGTACCTACTATGTCCCAAGTAATGTGCCAGTTATTTTCAAACCTCTTAACAAGCTTAAGAGGGCAGGCATTACAATTATTTATTTATTTATTTATTTTTTAGACGGAGTCTCACTTTGTTGCCCAGGCTGGGGTGCAGTGGCGTGATCTCAGCTCACTGCAAGCTCCGCCTCCCAGGTTCACGCCATTCTCCTGCCTCAGCCTCCCTAGTAGCTGGGACAACAGGAGCCCGCCACCATGCCAGGCTAATTTTTGTTGTATTTTTAGTACAGACGGGGTTTCACCGTGTTAGCCAGGATGGTCTCGATTTCCTGACCTCGTGATCCGCCTGCCTCAGCCTCCCAAAGTGCTGGGATTACAGGCGTGAGCCACTGTGACCGGCCAATTATTTAATATTTTTAATATAGACACCACTTTCCCACAGCTGGGCCCACTTTTCAGGAAACATGCTAGATCTTAGTGGCAAATATAGAGGCAGAGATCTAGCTGATGATGCCACCTGGGCCTGCTTCCAATTGGTCTTCTTATTTCCTTAATTCTGGGCACTTCTGTTCAGTCACCCACACTTTTACTAGTCAATTCCTTCTCCACATCCAGATCCGAATAACCTGTGCTCACTTGCAAACTCTCACTTGTCAACGGTTCTGTACCTGTCCTGAATCGAGTCCAGAGAATCACCTGTGCTGGTCTCCTTCTAAGAAAGAAATGGTCTCCCTGCCTGCTGGCCATGTTTCTAGTTCCCCTGAATTCCATTCCTCCCAGATTACTGCCTAGTCATCTGCCCTTTGGAAGGTAGACTTTGCATTAAAATTCATTTTACATTAGACTGTCTGATATCACACCTGGTAACCCTAAGAATCCTCCAGATCCTTTAAAATATGCAATTAAGAGTGAAATCTACACTTTTGGTCACTTTTTATTTGAACATATAAAATGCACTTTTGTCGCTCAGAACAGCCTTTAAACAGTGCAGTTTTCTCATAATGGCAGCCAGCAGGGGACAGGCCTTTACCATTTAAAGAGCACCAGGCACTGTTAGGCACTTCACATGTTCTTCCCTTCAAGTATCCCAGCAACCCTATAGGTGAGTAGTAATATCCCCATCTTACAGATGGTGAAATAGATTAAGTAACTGTCCGCAGTTGCACAGCTGCTCAGATCACATTTGAAATACCTTGTCTAGTTCCTAGAGTCACTGTAAGCCAAGGGATAAGTTAGTTCAGGAAGGTTTTCAAACTAGCAGATGCCAAGAAGAGATAGACATGCAAGCCATTTATTGGGGGAAATACCTGTGAACGTTGAATGAGAGAGCAAAAACAGGTTGGGAGAGCCATCAGACAAGGACGCAGGTATGGTATATGTAAAAGGAGAGAGGGGGAGAATGATTGGGTAGCACTACAGCACCATTCTGAGAAAGTCTCTGCTAAGTGGATGGGGTGTTCCTCCTTTGATGCTCTTGGAGGAATCTCACATCGGTCAGGGATGGCCCAGCCCTAGTACGCATGCTGTGCTCCGTCACTGGCTAAAGGCAGCCCAAAGGAGGCATGGCCTTGACATGAAAACTATGGTTAACCCAAAGGGCAGCAGCTGGAGCTGGCTACCACCCAGTGGCAGACTCTCTGGGAGGAGAGCTGAGCAGTGCACCTCCATGCCACAGAGAGAACAAAAATTTAAAGAAAGCATAGGCTGGGCACAGTGGCTCATGCCCGTAATCCCAGCACTTTGGGAGGCCGAGGTGGGCGGATCGCTTGAGCTCAGCAGTTTGAGACCAGCTGGACAACATGGCAAAACCCTTCTCTACAAAAAAAGAAAAAAAAAAAAAAAGTTAGGCAGGCATGGTGGTGTATGTGCCCGTGGTTCCAGCTACTCTGGCGGCTGAGGTGGGAAGACAGCATTGAGCCTGGGAGGTTGACGCAACAGTGAGCTGTGATTGCACCACTGCATTCCAACCTGAGTGACAGCGAGACTCTGTCTTCTCAAAAAAGCAATGGCCAATTCAGCATCATCTAAATAGTCACACGGAGGATGTGAGACCAGTGGCTTCAGCATCATCTAAATAGTCAATACAGATGGATGTGAGACCAGTGGCTTTCAGTATTCTGAATGTCACAAGTCAGAAAGACCAGAAGACCAGTTAAAGTCACCAAGGTTTTATTTTTATTTTTCCAAGTAAGGACATTAAACAGTTAAATACCACTTATCATCACCACAATGTAATAGAAGATACTTTAATACTTCCCAAAACAGGAAGAGCAGAATCTTAGCATAAAGTCCTTTAAGTTGAATAGATTTAGAACAATGAAAAAGCATTGTTCTTACTAGTCTTGTTTTGCTGCAGTTTAGGTAAAAACACCCTCATGAGCTGGGTACCAGTCCATGGACTGGGTCTCAAAACTGTTCAAGGGCATTTAATTATAGGATGGGGATAGACCTGGGCTCTTCTAAGATATTTTCCAGCCCTGAGACTCATTCATTCAATTCATAAGTATATACTGTGCACTTCTACATGACAGGTCCTATGAACATATTGAGGATCCTAGGAATAAATAAGGTGCTTGTAATAAGGGTGTAAAATCTGGTAAGGGGAGAAAGATAATAAGGAGATAAGCGAATGAATAAGCAACATCATTTCTGTTTGTGGTAAGTGCTCCCATAAGGAAGGGGCCACCACTTTAGATAGTGTGGTCTAAAAAGCCTTCTTTAAGCAGGTGGCATTTGAGCTAAAACCTGAGGGAGTCAGCTTTTTGAGGCTCTGGGTGAGGAGTAGGAGAGACACAATTCTCCAGGAATATCAGTGGAAAGGCCTGGAGAAGGGAATGAGCTGGATGCGCCTGAGGAACTGAATGCAGGCCAGGGTGGGGGCCGGGGGCCCTGTAGCCGGCTAGGGAGGCAAGGCGTGTTCCTAGTGTCCAGCTCAGAACCCACTCTACTGCTCCAAAAACCTGACTTCGCCAACAGACACTTCTCTTCGTCTAAATATGCCGTAGAAGTCCAAAGGACAGTAGAGTGTGAAATTGCTTGGAAAGAAAGGGATGTCTGGGTATTTTCCCAGAAATCCCCAAAGGGACACATTTACCTTAGCAAATTCGCCAGGGTCCTCCTTTGTGCAGAGGGAAAAAAAAAGGATCAGGCCAATTAGGACATCTTTCAGGAGCTGACATACATTCAGCAAGCTTATGAGATTGTTGCATGCATCCAACATGAAAGAGAATTAATTTACAGCGAGAATTCTACTGAGGGCACCCAAATCTTGCACACGCCTGCCAGCACATTTTCTTCCTGTAAGTACTCCATATGGGATGACATCTTCTAATCAGGCTTTTGGGATTGGAATATGGGGACTAGGATGCCTTAAAGATGGGCCCAACGTGGTGGCTGGCGCCTGTAATCCCAGCCACTCTGGAGGCTGAGGCAGAGAATTGCTTGAACCCGAGAGGCGGAGGTTGTAGTGAGCTAAGATCGCGCCACCACACTCTAGGCTGGGCGACAAAGTGAGACTCCATCTCAAAAAAAAAAAAAAAAGATGGGCCTGAGTGGCACCGAGATGACTGGGATGCTGTCTTTCATCTAGAGAGGGCTTGTGTGGACACTGAATGGGCATTCCCTTTTCACTCCATCTGTTTGTAGCTGCCCCTGTTGCTTCTCTGGGCCATTCTTTCAGATGGCTTTGCATAATTGTGCTCTGATGTTTCCCAAGTTGTCTGATGTCAAGAATCACCAGGGTCTCTTGATAAAAATACAGACCTCCATGCCCACTCCCAGAAGATTCTGTTTAGGAGGATTTTGTGAGGTCTGCAAATATGAGTGACTTCCATGAGCAGTCCAGGTGATTCTTATCAAGTGTATTTAGGAAACTCTGCATTCACTTTTCATTTTTTAATTTCATTTATTTATTTATTTTATTTTTTGAGACAGAGTCTGGCTCTGTCACCCAGGCTGGAGTGCAATGGTGCAATCTCAGCTCACTGCAACCTCTGCCCCAAGGGTTCACGTGATCCTCCCACCTAAGCCTCCCAAGTAGCTGGGATTACAGGCGTGTGCCACCATGCCCAGCTAATTTTTGTATTTTTAATAGAGACAAGGTTTTGCTATGTTGGCCAGGCTGGTCTCGGACTCCTGACCTCAAGTGATCTGCCCATTTTGGCCTCCCAAAGTGTTGGGATTACAGGCGTGAGCCACCGCACTCGGCCTGCATTCAGTTTTTAAACAGTGTTTTCTAAACTTGCTGAATCATACAATTGCCTAGAACATTTGCTGCATATTGCAGATGCTCAGCCCCAGCCCAAGTGAATCAAAATCACCAAGCCAGGGGCCTGGGAATCTGTATGTTTAGTGAATGCTCAAGGTGCATCTTGTAACAAAGAGGTTTGGTAAACACTGTAATTGAGACTCACCTGGAACCTTTAGAAATATCCATTCACTGTAACTGCAGAGTAACTCAGGGATCTGATTTTTTTTTTTTTTTTTTTGAGTCAGAGTCTCGCTCTACCACCCAGGCTGGAGTGCAGTGGTATGCTCAGGGCTCACTGCAGCCTTGACTTCCCAGGCTCAAGCCAGTCTTCTGCCTCAGCCCCCAAAGTAGCTGGGACTACAGGCATGCACCACCATGCCCAGCTAAAATTTTTTTTTGAATTTTAATAGAGATGAGAGCTCACTATTGCCCAGGCTGGTCTTGAACTCCTGAGCTCAAGCAATCCTCCCTCCTCCGCCTCCCAAAGTGTTGGGATTGCAGGTGTGAGCCACCATGCCCAGCAGGGATCTGCATTTTTAATAAGAGCCCAGGTGATTGTGATGCTCAAGTTTCGTGAACCCCTTTGAGAAACACTGCATTAAACTCTGATGTTGCTACAATTCATGTCTTTGTTCTTAATGCCAAAGCACTGACAGTATTTACTAAGAACGTGCACATCCCCTTGTGTTTGCAAATGTTGTTCACAACCCTCTGTGTCTGTGTTTTAAAACTTTCTACTTAACTCTGTTTTTTAACTTTCTATTAAGAAAAATCTCAAACACACAGAAAATTTAAAATAATAGTTCAGGGCAGGTGTGGTGGCTCATGCCTGTAATCCCAGTACTTTGGGAGGCTGAGGTGGGATGATCACTGGAGGTGAGGAGTTCGAGACCAGCCTGGCCAACTTGGTGAAACCCTGTCTCTACTAAAAATACAAAAATGAGCCAAGCATGGTGGCAGGCACCTGTAATCCCAGCTACTTGGGAAGCTGAGGCAGGAGAATCGCTTGAACCCAGGAGGTGGAAGTTGCAGTGAGCCAAGATCACACCATTGCACTCTAGCCTGGGTGACAGAGTGAGACTCTGTCTCAAAAAACCAAAACAAAACAAAAAAATAATAATAGTTCAATGTAGACCTATTATACTCACCACCTGATGCAACATTTGCCACATTTATCTATGTGTTTATGTATGTGTTTTTTGCTGAATTATTTATAAGTAAGTTGCAAACATCTTGACCACTTACCCAGACACCTCAGCATGATCATCTTTTTAAAAATGAAATGAAACGGTACTCTGCTTCATAACCACAATACCATGGTCACACCTAACAAAACTAATAATCATTCCCCAATATCAGCTAATTTCCAGCTTATGTTCAATATTTCCCCAATTATCCCCCAAATGTCTTTTATAGCTATTTTTTCAAACCTCAATGGATGAAGGGTCATACATTGCTTATGACCGTCGTGTGCCCTATGTCTCTTTTAATCTGGAGCAGTCCTGCCATTTTTTTCCAGGCCAGTTATCTTGGAGAATGTCTCTCTTTCTGGATTTGTCTGATTGTTTCATTATGGGGTTGCATTACCCTTAAACAAAAAAACATAATGCTGTGTGTGTGTGTGTGTCCTCCTCCCATTCCATACAAATATATATATGTGTGTGTGTATGTATATATATATATATATATATATATATATATAAAACATATATACAAAGTTTATATATATATACACAGAGAGAGAGAGAGACAGGTTTTCTCCTTCCCACCCAACATGCTCTCTTTTTTCCTCTCAATCACAGCTAATAATACTATATATTGAATACTTGCTACATGCCTGGTACTGTTTTAAGAAATCAAGTGTATTATTTGTTTACTCCTCATAATAACAACGAGGTAGGTTTGTTATCAGTAACACTAAACCATAGAGTGGGAGTGGCGTGAGAAAGGTCACAGGGCTGGTAAATGATGGAGCACTAGGCTTGAAGACTCAGGACTCTTGCTCTAGAGCCAGCCTTCTTAAACCACAAAAATACAATTATACTAAAGACACTTTTAAAACGTATCTTTCTAGGCCAATACATGTAAACTCGAATCATTCCTTTTTATCTCCAATAATTTATTATAAACATTTTCAAACATACAGAAAATTTGGAAGAATTAAACAGTGAGCACCTATATCCTCACCACCTATATACTACAATTAACATTTTGCTGTATTTGTTTTTTATCACGTTATCTATTTCTCTATCCATCAGTCTATTATATTTTGATGCATTTTACTCAAGTATAACTTTTTTTTTTTTTTTTGACACGGAGTCTTGCTCTGTCGCCCAGGCTGGAGTGCAGTGATGCAATCTCGCAATCTCGGCTCACTGCAACCTCTGCCTCCTGGGTTCAAGCGATTCTCCTGCCTCAGCCTCCCGAGTAGCTGGGATTACAGGTGCTCGCCACCACGCCCGGCTAATTTTTGTATTTTTAGTAGAGACAGGGTTTCACCATGTTGGCCAGGCTGGTCTCAAACTCCTGACCTCATGATCCACCCACCTTGACCTCCCAAAGTGCTGGGATTACAGGTGAAGTAGAACTTATTTTAAAAAATAAGTGCATAAGGCTGGGTGAGGTGGCTCACGCTTATAATCTCAGCACTTTGAGAGGATCGCTTGAGCCCAGGAGTTTTGAGACCAGCCTGAGCAACATAGTGAACCCTGTCTCTAAAATATATATATATTTTTTAAAAAGGGCATAAAGTTCGCAGTATGGCAGTTTAATACTTTATTTGCTCATTGCCCTGCAGATAGATATTCTAGCATTTTGCTATTACAAACTGCTAAAATTAACATTTTTGTATTTATACTTATATTTTAGTATACTTTATCTTATAGCAATGGTGCTTTTACTTCAGTGGGGTAGAGTCCTAAAAATTGCATTCTCAGGTAATCTGAAAAAGGATACATAATAGCTCATTCAGTAGATGCGGTTACTGGAGGATCACTTTCCACTAGCGTACAGCAAAGTCTGGGAAGACCTGCATTTCCTTCCCTTGTTTTACTTATAACTGCTAGAAGAAATATGAACTTAAGATACACGAACACGGAGTCCTCAGGATGCTTTCTTGATACAAACAATATCTAGATATCCTGGTCCCCATAGGGTGTCCTAAATGTTTAAAATTTTGCCTATCTGTGTTGAAACTATTTATCCAATGAACACCAGCTCAAAAGGCAACAGAGCCACAGTGTCTTCCTTAATTTTCTAGCAGAATTGCTACCTCTTCTTATCTCTCTCAACACTGTGTTGCCTCCCCTCAGACCCACTTCACATTGTACGTTTTTGTGAAGTGTGGGTGTGTGCACGCACGTGCCAAGAACATAATTTATGCTACACACTGGAGGTTGAAGAGAGCATGGTTCTTCTTCTACCTTTGTCTCTTCTAATTGCCTAGCACAGTGATTTATACTCAACAAATACTTTCTGTGAATGAATCAGTGAATGAAATGTAGAAGAGACGTGCAGAAGGGCAGACAGTGGCCGAATCCTGGAGTCTTTGTATGCCAGCCCAAATAGTCTGGAATGTATTCAGTGTCTATTCAGAAACCACAGAAAATGTCTGAGCTAGAGAGTGGAGAGATCAGAAGTGAGGAAGGGAGACCCACTACTGAGTCTAGGATAAGACCTAGGTAGGAAGTGATACAGGCTCAAACAATTCTTGGGAGTTATAGACCTAAATTTTATAGTAGAGTTTCTTTAGTTTCTTTTAAAATTAAGTTTTAGACAGTAGGCCTGAACTCACGTAGTGTTTTGGTTTTAGTTTTCTTACTCACAGTAGAAAAGTTAGAAAATATGGAGAAACAAGACAACAATACTCAGAAATCCTATCATGCAGAGAAGATCACCATTAGTTACCATTTTGGTGTAAATCTTTTCACACATTTTCCTATGGCATATATATGCATTTAAAATGTGTAATGAATATATGAAATTTTATTTATATATTTTCTTGCTATATAATATAATCATATATATGTTTGCTATATGGGCTTTTGTGTTAGATAAAAAATACCAAATGTCTTAATATTTTATCTTGAGGACTTGGCCCAGAACAAGTATTCAATATATATTTATCAAATGATTAAATGAATGGCAATTATCCATTGTCATTTACCTTTATGTAGAGATTTTAATACTTTTGCTCATTTATAAAGCAAATAATTAAAGCTTACAGCTCTGTTTTTATATCTAATGCATTTCTTTTGTTTTAGATTATTCTAGAAGAAATATAAATTTAAAATAAACATGAAATCTCTGGGATTTCTTATTTATGCAAATAATACCCAGGCATCCTCTTAAACAGTGATTTATAAATATGTCAATGATTTATCTAGAATTAGTAATCTTTGGAACATCTGAACATTTTAATTATTTGATCAAAAGTATTATTCACTCAGAAAACAATTTCTTCCCTTCCCAGATTCTAAGGAGGAGAAAAGCAAAATAATGTTGGGAATGTTAATTCATGATAATCTGATCTGTGTTTTATTCATATAAAGTATCTCTTGGTTAGTACCCCATCGTGTATTCAGTGCCTGTACTTGGTACTCAGAATACTCAGGGTACTTATTGCCTAACCCAGTGCCTGGCACAAGGTGACACAATAAGTATTTTTCAAATGAATAAATAGGAATACAGTGAACATAGACATAGTAATATCTCTTCTAATGAAAGGATATTTTCATTCATTTTTCAAGTGATGTGACTATATAGTAAGTGTTAGGCACTTCTTATTTATCAATAATACTGGGTCCAGGTTGACATAGGAAAAATCCACACTTAATACAATACCTTATATTTAATGAATGTATTTTTTTTTTCCTTTAGAGTGATGACTTCACTCTGGGGAAGAGTGAGGCCACATCCCTGGGTTTTATTTATACTCCCTTTCCTTTGCCCAGAGGAAAGGAATTGTTAACACACAAATACAAGAGTACTGACAGCTCATGTCATGCTCAACTTTATATGTCTTAGAGTGTCCTGAACAGTAAGAATTCAAAAATGAGATAAATCAATGTCTTTTCCTAGGTCAAAGGCTGGTGTAAGAACTACACTTTTCCAGTAGATGGCAGTATTTTCATTCACCAGCTTAAGTTTTGTTTTTTTTTTTTGTTGTTTTGTTTTTAGTTTTACTATACCTTTAGTAAGCTGCAGGTGAAAATACATGTTAATGAAATTTCTGGTTTTTTCACTTTCTTTTAAAAAAAATTCACTCTTGGGAGCTTCCAAAAGCCCTAGAACGACATCTGCTTTGCCTACAATTTATAGCAAGGTATATACCGAAGTAGACCATACTCTCTAATCCTCCCTATTTCCTGATATAAGTTATTACTAAGAATTAGCTAATTCATAGTAATCTCTTGGAGAAAATCTATCAAGCCTTTCTGCCTCTACAGTAACAAAACAAAACAAAAATAAAACACTGACTTCAGGTTTCCTGTTTTCTAAATAGGGCAAAATATTCATTAAATTAAGCGGATACCTCACCTGTCTGGTTAATAATTAACTTTTAAAAAATCCACATTTTTGCAGCTCGACCTCGACAAGACCTTTCAAAAACCCTAACAGATGGTTAGGTGCTATCACGTGTCTGAAACGAACTATACGCTGCAGAAACTAAATTTGAGGAGGAAGGGAAGAAAGCATTTAAATTCCAGGGACATATGCCGGAGTTGGAAAACAAAAGTGTTAATTAGTGGAATAATATCTCAGATACTTTCTCTTCAAAACAGTGGATTAGCAGGAGTAGGAAAGGCTGGGTCTGAAACACGCGTTTCACTGCCTTCTCAGAATTACTCCCGTATAAACAAAGCCTCAAGTTGCTGGAGGGAGCAGTGTTTCCTCTGAAATCACGGAGATAGCCCAGATTTAGTCATCCAGTCCTTCTTGCGAATATTCAACCCATATCAGGAGGTACAGAGGTTTTTAGGGTTTAGGGTATTTTTAACCAAACCTTTACTTTCAAGACTAGCAGAGGCACTTTCGCAGCCCACCCTGCGCCACTCAGCCTCTGCGCTGCGCCCTCCTCGCCTCTCGCGCGGCAAGGACCTGAAGCCCCGGTGTGGCCGCGGCCCTGCGCACTCTCCAGATCCAGGTGAAGGTTGCGAGGCCTGGCGACGCCTAAGCGCTGACAGGTGGCCTCGCCCCGCCTCTTTGTCGCCCAGGGCGGCGCTCGCCTCCGCTCCAGGCCAGAAGCCGCAGCCCGCGCGCCAGGCACAGCTCCCCCGACCGGTCTCAGGAGTTCGGCCACCTCCCCGGGGAAGAGTGGGACTCAGCCAGGCGCCGGGCCGGCCTCTAGGAGCCTGCGCCAGAGCAAAGGGCATCCGGCACCCGACCCGGGCCAGGCCCTTGGACTAGGGCGGCACGGAACCTAGCGCCTGGGCAGGTCCAACCCTGCGCACTGCCCCTCAGCCTCGTGAACCCTTCGCCTCCACGACCCCCGGAACCCATCCCAGCAAGTGCGGCAGTGACCTCGGGTCTCACCGCCCGGGGGCCAAACACCTCGGCCACCCCGGGGCCCCAGAAGGGCCGAGGGTCAGCCGAGCGGACGAACCACATTCCCAAGGACAAGCAGCGGGTGGCAGCACCGCCCCCGCCCGAGCGCCCTCGGGTCCCTTTCTGCCGGGGCTCCAGTGGCTTGAGTGTCCCGACCCCTCCAGAACACGCAGGCGGCCGCAGGAAGAAATTCACCCGGACCCGTCCTCTTCCCCGAACTTCTTCGTTCCTCTCGGAGGTTCCTTCTACCCGACCCCTCTGCGCCACCAGCTCCTCCCACTCCGCTCCCCTCCCCTTTTTCTGGTCCCCACTTAGGAATCCGTCCCCCCGCCCTGCGCCGGGTCCGGGGTTCCTCCCCCCGGCTCCCCCCGCGTGCCGTCGCCGCCGCCCGGGTTCCTCTCCCCCCGCTCGGGCGCTCCCTGCCAAGCCCATGATGTAATGGTGTATGTTAATCAGTAGCATGTGGGGAGCTCCGGCTCGGGCGGCTCAGTCCTCCGCGAGCCGACACTGGAGGCAGCAGCAGCGGCGGCTGCAGCGGCCCCGACTCGAAGCACCGCACTCTCCCCGCGCCGCCCGCCCCGACGGCATGGCCCGCGGCCGGCGCTCCGGGCGCCCCCAACCCCGCTGAGAGCCGCCGCGGCCCCGGACCCGCGCAAGGGCCCCCGAGCCGCCGGGATGAGCCGCGCCGAGGTGAGCGCTCCCTCCCTACGGCCCTCGGCGGGGGACCCGCGGGTCACTGGGGGTCCCCTCCCCGGGGGCTTCCCCCTCCGCCCGAGAAGTTCTGGGAGCCGGAAGCAGCGTGTTGTTGGAAGCTAGCGGCTCCTTGAAGGCTGAGTCGCTGGGTTCTCCTCCCCGCCGGCGGCGGCCACGAGAACCGGGATGGGACTGGGGGAACCCCCGCAGCCGAACTTTCTTTGCTGTCGTTGGGGGGCGTGTGCCTGCGGCGCCGATCCGCATTCCCCGCGGGGCCGCCCCGCTGGCCGAAGGGAGCAGCGCTGCGGACCCCGGCCGTCCCCTCGCGGGGCGTGTGCCCAGCGCTGTGCCGCCCTCGGCCTGCGACGCGCGGGCGAGGCTCCGGGCCGGACAGACCAGCCCGTAGGCGGCGGCGGCAGGATGCCTGCCACACACGCGCGCACACACACACGCACACGCGCGCGCACAGTGACCGCTCCGGCCGGAGCAGGCCCAGGGAGACCTCCCGGGTGGGCTGGTGCGGCGCGGCGCGGGGGAGCCGGGGCTCTGGGTTGCGCCGCCGCCCGCTGGGCGCGGAGCTTTGGGTGGAGAGAGTTTATTTTTGTCTCGAGCTGCTGCCGCGGCTGCTCACGGCCTAAATCCAGAGGGGCGCCTGGCGGTGGAGATGCTGGCTGTTGCTGTAGATGGAGCTGCAGCCGCTCGGCTGCTTCTCTGGGAGGAGGAGGAGGAGTAAGAGGAGGAGGAAGGAACTCGGGCTGCCGCTGCCTCCGCCTCTGCTTTGCATTAGCTCCCACCCCCACCCCCGCGCCCCTTCGCAGCCGCATTGCAAGTTTTCTGCGCGGGGAAGATCTGTTGCTGGTGCTGGCGTTCTTAAGCACGGCGCCCGAGGCCACCCCAGGCGGGCCGTGAGGGGAGCACCAGCCGTTGGCAGCGGCAGCAACAGGAAGCCGCGGGGTCTCCTCCCGCACCTGGGAAGCAGGCTTCTCGCTGTTACCCGGTGGGGAATAGCCCATCTCCCACATCGGGTGCGGAGGGGGCGGAGGGGGCGGCTGGATTTCGGCGAACCCAACCTTCCGCGGGACGCCCCCTCCCCTGGCCCCAGCACCCTCTGATGCCCTCGTCCCCCCAGGGCGCGCTCCTCCGCTAGCCGAGGTCTCACTGCAGCTCTTTCTCTCCTTCCAGTGGTGATCGCCGCTCGGGAATGCGGGCGTGAAGGGTCCGAGTTGCCGCCCAGCGGGGAGGAGACCCCAGGACGCCGGAAATCACCATCCCAAAGCTGCAAGAAGGGGGGAGAAAGCATTCTTCATTCAGTTGTGTGCCTTGTGGGGGATTTTTAAAAAGTCGTTTTTTTTTTTAAAGAAACATTTCCGTGCTACTGTCTGTCATCGTCTCTGGGGAAATCAGCCAGAACCACCGGAACGTAACTGAAACCAGACAAGAGAGGCAGGAGCCCAGGCAGTACCTGCAGCGTCCGGGCACCAGAGCCACCTTGGAACAGGAACGCGTCTCCGGCCGCGGGGCTGCGGCTCCGCCAAACTTTGGGGCGGGCGGGGCGGGCTGGGGCGCCCAGGGGGCTCTGTAGACCGAGGGCGGCCCCCTAACCATGATGTTTCGCGACCAGGTCGGGGTGCTGGCGGGCTGGTTTAAGGGCTGGAACGAGTGCGAGCAGACTGTTGCGCTGCTGTCGCTGCTCAAGCGCGTGAGCCAGACCCAGGCCCGCTTCCTCCAGCTCTGCCTGGAGCACTCGCTGGCCGACTGCGCCGAGCTGCACGTCCTCGAACGCGAGGCCAACAGCCCCGGTAAGTGTGCGGCGGCCGCCGCCGCCGTCCCGCCTGCCCAACCCCCGCTCCTCCCTCCGCTTCTCTGCCTCGGGCCAGGCCGAGGCCAGTCCCTGCCAGCCGCGCCGGGACCTGGACGGCGTGGCCCCGAGGCCCTCGGAATCCACCCCCTCCGGGTGTCCCCCCACTACCGCCCCCCACCTACTTACCTCCGCCGGCCGCTTTGGGATTTTGCCCACTGTGAACTCCGTCAGCCCTTTCCGTGTGGTAGCTACGGTAGCATGAATGATTGATTTTTCTCTCATGCAGTTTCCTGGGAAATAAGTAAGTCAGGTCACGTAGAGTCTGGATTTTCTGGGTGTGTGTGTTTTTTCCTTCCTCCTCCTTCTTTTGGGCAACGTGGCTCGCTGGATTTCAGCAACACATGATAGATGCCCGGGACTGCCCTTCAGAAGCCAAGCTTGGATAAGGCTGTGTGAGGAGTACATGAAAATCCAATTTTATTATTCATTTTTCCCCACAGATATTCTGGTTTTAGAGCTTCGTCTTCAGAATAATATGCAGGTGACGCTAGAGACTAGTAAAATGACATTTGCAGCATATATATATATATATATATATATATATATATATATATATATATATATATAATGCGGTTAAGCTTACTGCTCGTGACATTATCCATATTGATACGGATCTTGTAGAAAAAAAGGGTCTTGGAGAAAGGACAGGCATGAAGTGGGTTACTTAATGCTTTTCGTTAGGAAACTTTACTGAATAGAACAGAATCGTTTCATATTACCCTGCTAGTATTTACAGACACCTCAACTAGTATGGAAAGTGAATATAGTCGAAAGGTCCAGCAGTTTCCTATTTGCTAGCGTGGGTGGTGACAGACTGAAATTATATCCTGGAGGGTAGGAGGAGGCTGGGGGATGGGGGGAAAGTCTGATGGTTGTGATTTTGGATAGGGGGAAATTCTTTAGTTCATGCTGCTGCAGGAGGGTGAACAGAGTCCCCAGTGTTTATGCAGAGAAAAGAATGCAGGGTCCTCTTCCAGCTGTTCCATGTTGGAGCTGCGAGCCTGCAAAGCTCAGCAGAGGTCTGGGCTGCCATTTGATGACAAGGTCCAGTCCAGGGCAGTGGGGCCTGGGAGACACTAAAGTGAGTGTGCCTTCAGAGCAGCAAGAAGCGAGCCGGCCTACTCATTCCTCCTCCCTAGTATGGTGTGCACGATGGTGAAAACACTAGAATGGGATGCTTCCATATATAGAATCATAGGGTGGAAGTGACCGCTGGAAATCTTCACAGTTCTTTTCCTGACCAGACAGGACTGCACCCGAAAGATCCTGCATGGCCAAGTATGGAGGGCCACATTGAGGGAGATTCCATTGAGCCCGAGCCTCCCAGCTCACACCAGGACTCACTGGGGTGGCGATGACAGGGCCCCCTTTGGTTGAGCTCCACGTTTATAAATAGCTGGAGGGCCAGCCTCCTTCACTGGGGTGTGGAAGCATAATTGGGTAACTGATGATCCACCCTCTTTGCTTCCTTCCTTAATTTCAGCGGGAAGCCTGGTTTACCTGCTCGGTTTTACTTTCTCAGGTTTGACAAACAAGGTTATATAAACTTTTGCATTTTATAGATTGCAGAGGATTTACGCAGAGTCATTTAGGTTGAATGCTTGATTTCAGTGCTGGTAGGGACTGTTCAAACTCATCTTTAGGTTATTCAAATGTTGGAGCAGCACTTTTTCCCTTTGAGTAATGGAGATGACTTTTCCCAATAGAGCAGCCACCAGGTTAGTAAGTAAAACAGTTAAATGTTAAAATAAGGTGGCCTAATTTTAAAAATCTCATAATTTAAAAAATTGAACTGTGAATTTTTTGAAGTCACTTGGCATTTTTTTTCCCTTAAGACATGTTTGGCCATACTTATTTGTATAAGATACCCACCTGTTCATGCTGCTAAATGATGTAGATATACAAAATATAGAACCATTGTGTAAGATAGGAACTGGTCTCCAGTTTCTGGATTAATCCTTCGCCTAGACGTTTTGCCTGCATGGAAATCTTTGCAGTTGTTTTGTTGTGTGGCCAGGACAGAAATTTCTTAGGAGGTCATGTGATGATTTGGTTTACTTTCGGAGTGTGGGGATCATAAAGAGCATCAGGAGTTGTCATAGCATACCTGAGTCTGTAGTGTGGCTCTCTGCATATCCGGAAACTAGCCAAGAACCAGGAAGGGGGCAAAAAGTCCACTTCGCAACCAGAGTAGATAGCATGAAAGTCCAAGAGAATATTTCAGGCCCTCTCTCAGAATGTACTTGCTCTTATTCTAGACACAATCCTAACATTTAAAAAATTTGACAAATAATCCGTAGTGTATTGGGGGTAACACATTTAGAATGGGGTGAGGGACTGCTGTAATCAGTAGTAAAAAGTGACCCCTGACAGCCTGACAACTTGGAAAGAGACAGAAAAACTGTAACTTTAGACAAGAATTGGGGCAGAAACTTTGAAGGCTTGGGAATATTAGGGTGGGAACCCTCAATTGACCTTGTAGGCACCACTCTATAATAACATAAACAAATAATTGCTATTTACTGTTGTTAACGGTGAACTATGGAAATAATACATTTTTAGATACACTCTTTAAGAAGAGAAGGAAATGTTCAATATACTTTGGAAATGTTTACACCCAGAATAATTAACCTCTGAGCTGTTTTGATGTGTAAGGCTCTTACCAATTCAGAAAACTAGGCTGTGCAGAATGACTCATTCATTGGATTGCTGAGATTTCCTGTACCGAAGTCATCTTGTATCACTTTATTTTGTAATCATCAATTTAAAAAACCCTCACATTTTGTCTAGTGTTTAGAGATTTTAAAACTTGGTAAATGGGAACCAAATTCATATATGGGACTCGATCTCAGTATAATAAAAAAAAATTACTAGTAATAGTATGAATATATCTCTCGTTTTATGCAGGACTGATTTTAAATAGTGAGATATCCTGCGCATTAAACATGATTTATTTGAGATTTGTGGGATGTAATTTGGTGCTTTCATTCTCTTAAATTTATTGAGAATCTAGTGATTCACTGGTTCATCCTTTGCCTCAGGCTCATGGTCATTGGAGATTCCAAGAAATGATTGAATCAGTCCCTATGGATTTATTTGTATGTGTTTTTCTTTTAACAGATATGGTCATGATCAGTTCTCTAGTACAGTCTTGTTCCCAGGATCCTTATAACCTTAGATAAGTCTCTTCAGCTACTGCTCCAGTTGAACATTGAGACTTCTGGCCAGTCTCAGTTCCAGGACTAGCAGGTCATTTGATACCTACAAGTAGCAAAAATGCAACCCACTGACTTTACCTGAAGTTTCCAAAAGAAAAATAGACTTTGTGGCATTGTTTATTTATGGCTTTTGTCACTTGGACTTGAAATATATTTTTCATAGAGATTTATAAGTTAATCCACAAAAACGTAACCCACAAAATATACACTATTTGTGTATGTTTGTGGTAAGTAAATGACAATAAATTCCTATACTTATAGTTAAATACAAGAGAAAAGGGTATCCAAAATGGTGATGTTTGAGACAAAAAAATAATTGTGGAGCTTGAAGACTCTCTCTCAGAATGTAATTACTCTTATTCTAGACACAATTCTAACTTTTTTAAAAAAATTGATAATCCATAGTGTATTGGAGGTAACATATTTAGAATGGGATGAGGGGCTGTCACCCTCACCCCATATTTGTGTAAACTTGCTGTCATTAGAGGGTGGGTATGTTGGTTCCATGATTTTTATGGTTTTGGTTTCTGTAGTACAAGTATGCCATCCTCCACCCTGCGTTACTTTTTAAGGTTACAAATGGCATAAAAAGAAAGCAGCAGAAGAGGTTTTCCTGATGATATGGATAAGATCTTGTTTGTAGTTTTTTCATTCATTTATTCATTCCACAAACATTTTCTGACTGCCTGCTATTTTCCTGACCCAGTGTTATGCAATGGAAATGTAAAGGTAACTTAACTCTAGTCCAGTGCCTAGTACAGATAGATACTCTTAGTGTGGGGTAAATGACTAATATAATATCATAGGTGTTGAAGCATAGATATGGGGATAAAAAGTATGAGGAGAGGCCTACTGGGAGCATTGTGAACCTAGCCACTTATTGCCTGGGGAATCAGGGAAGACTTCCCTGAGGAGGAGATACATTTGAGCTGAGTCCTGAGGGGCGAATAGGAGTTGGTTCAATATTTTAATATAAAAAGATTGTAAAGAGGGGTCAAGAAGGTATCTCCCATGCAGAAGATAGTGTTATCCCCTTTAATGTATGGGCCTACATGCATGATCCTCTGAGAGGCATGAGTGGAAGAGCCAGTTTAGTTCAGACAGTTTCCATTTTGGCCACATGGTGGCATTATCTTCTAAGGGCAGCTTGGTTGCTGTCCGCATTGGCATATGCAGGAGAAGGAAGGATGGAAATAGAGAAAAAAGTATTCTCCAGGTGCCCATCTATTTATAGTCATAGGAGGGCATAAGTTGTAGAAGATTTTTAGAGTACAGATTTTTAAATCAGCCTGGGCTAGTTAAATAATTTCTAAGCCTCAGTTTTCTTATCTGAGAAATGATGATTATAAAACCTTGTTATTGTCCGGAAGTTACTTGTTAATGATCCAGCAAGGATCTATTCTATCCCTCAGGTTTAAATTTGCCTTTAATTAATATAGAATTGATATGAATAATATTTTTCTAAATGATCAGAAATCTTTTCATTTAAAGGATTATGAAGAAGAGATTGAGGATGACTTGGAACCCTAAAAAGATATAAGTCTACTGGGACCCACCTTCTATGTTTTAGCTTTGTTTTTTCACTCTGTCTCCTAAAAATATGCAGCCCTGACCCAGTTTTCCCAAATAACTTATCAACACTTTTTCCTTCAGTTGGTGAATGTGAAAAGAAGAAATCATTTTGCTGAATGAAATATTTAGGGGCTTTATATATGAAGCACTTTTCACTTAGGGTTTTGTAATTTTCTTTGGGTCAGTCTGGGATGACCCTGCAGTTTACTGCTGCTTGTAAGTTGTAGCAGGTCACATATATTTGTACTCTTTGTTGTGAATAATTTGGGTTTGGTTGTATCGCCTGGGCACTCACGGCCTTCAACAATTGAGTATATGCTATAAACAGGCCCCATCAAAGCAAGTAAAAGGCAGAGAAACTTCACAACAGTCAAATTGACTTGTTTTTGTTTAAATAAACAAACGAGGACACAAGATGAGGGTTGAAGGGCTGAAAGTAACTGAAAACTTCCCAGACAGTCCTACAGAAGTCTAATTCTAGAGAGAATTGACAACACCAGAGAAGAGGGAAAATATTGCTTCTCCTTGACCCAAGGAGAAATTTGGAGGTTTTCATCTGTGGGTGAAGTGCTTTGTGTAACTCATTTGCTAGGAAAGGTATGGTGCTCGTAGAAATCTTTTCTTTTCCTTTTTAAAATATACAATCACTACTTTGAGATTTTAGTATGTTCCTTCCTTTTCATCTCTCCTGATCATTCCTTCCAAGGCCTCACTGAGCTCATCCAATTCACATAGATTAAGATGCAGAAGCAGACATCTCTTCTGAGCTATTTTTGCTTCCATTGAAGCTGCCTGAGGCAGGATTTTCCCAAAGAAAGCAGAACTTTTAGAACAGGGGCCTAGAGTCGAGGCTTGGGCCTTGCTCTGCTGCCTACATCCCAAGAGCCAGCTTGGAATTCAGAGTACCTGCCTGCTTTTATGTAGGAACATGGGATTCCCTGGAACCCGGAAGCTCATTCTATTGTTTTGTTCCCATTCCACATATCAACATTTTAAAACAGCTTTCTTGTCTTAGTTTACTAGGAAAAAGCAATCAAATGATTCAGTGGTTTCTTTTACACAGTAGATAATACAGTGCCATTGTAATGGTACCTGACAAAGTGTATTTGGTAAGAAAGTGGGACTGAGTTCCTTGGCACATATAAATTTACCAAATACCCCAGCAGAGAGCCCAGGGCCCTGTCAAAAGCTGAAATACACATTACTCCTCTCAAGTAGCTTACACTCGAGTTGCAGAGCTGAAACAAACATAAGAAAATATGTCATAATTCGATCATACACAGTTGCTAAGTGCTGTGGTTCTGATTAGAGAACAAAACTGAAATTGAGTGAAAGGAGAGAACAGCGTGGATTGGGCAGTCTGAGAAGCTGAATGGAAGAAGTAAACTTGACTGTGTCACATGAAATAAGTGCTTTTAGGGCTTATGAGATTCTTGCTGTTGTAGTACCTCAAATGCCAGTTTCATCAAGAAAACCACACATGCAGGGAACTCTGTGCATGTGCCATGGAAGGGGCAGGCTTCCTGGGCCTTTGAAGGATGAATGTGAATAGGGTAGAGAGAGGAGAGCATGAGGGATATTCACCGTCATAAGTGATTGCTTGGTGAGTGGAGAATCAATCCCAACACTCTATGATTTCCAGTATATTTAAAGATACGAAAATGGAACATCTGGTCACCTAGTATTTTCATCCCGCTTAAGTATGCATAACATTGTAAGACTTAGTAATAGTTCTCTTGGCTCCTCCTAGTAGGATATTTTTGTAGGATGCTTTGACTCTAACTAGCGTTGAGCAATAACATCTGAAACAGTTAGAGGAAAAGATAAAGTGTCGTAGACCAGTTCTCAAAATTTAGTTGCACGCAGATCACTTTGGAATCTTGTACTGAAAACCTGAAAACTCTGATTGAAGAGGCCTGGGGAGGTGGAGCTGAACTCCTGGGATTGTAGTAGGCTCCCAGGTGATGTTGATGCTGCGTATCTGCGGACCATACTTTGAGGGTAGACTGTTAGAAATGAAAGGTGCAGAAATGAAAGAGACTGTTAGAAAGGAAAGAGGCAATTTGGTGCAGTAGCTTTCAAGTTTTACGGCTATGTGTCAGAAGATTTTTGTTTGCAAGTGAGAACTTAGATGAAGGTTTATGGGAAGTGAATGTCCCCCCAACCCCCTACTCCCCAAACCTAAGTGTCCTAGGAGAGCAGTTTGGAAATCTGTGACCAAGGGCAGTGGTCTTTCTCAGGCTCTGAGAAAAGACATTGGTCGACAAAGCTATGGCCAGCAGATCTGGGATCAGAATCTGACTCTCCTCAGTCCGATGCTCTTTCTCCTGTCTCAACCCCTATCAAATGGCAGTAACCTGTTAGAGCCCTTGCTTAGGGCTGGGTTTTAAACTGGCCCAGGTGGTTTCCTATAATAAGATGGGGACCACTTATCTTTTGCCCACTGAACTTGCTGATATGAGGAAGGTCATTTTCTGAGTCTCTCTACAGTTTTCTGTTGGCTTCACATGCAGAGCAAAGCAAATCTTTCTTAGCTCTGGCGGTGGGACCTCTTTGGAAGGCAGGGGGAGGAGACAGACAGGACAAGGTGGACACTGTAGTCAGTCTTAAGTAGTAATGTACAAAAGTGCATGCTAAGTGTCTACAGGCACTTTGAGGTCACTTTGCCCTGGAAAATCCCCATGGATTGCTTTAGTCAGAGAGTATGCTAGTAGTGCAGGTGTGTTTCATATGATGGAATTATTGACTTAAAAATCTTTTCAAGTTTTACTTACGCATGTAAGCACTGAAATACTGACGCTTTTTAGTTTGGTAGTGTGGTCACTCATTAAATTATTTGAGCATTTTATATACTGCTCTCAGCAATAATTCTCTCACCGGCTCTTTGAACTACCTCTCACAGCCTGCACTGAGTTTGGGTTTGAAGAAGGCCGGAGAATTTCCCCGAGCTTTTTGAATATGCTGAAATTTCCAGGCACTCTAGCGATCAGTGTCTTATGGAAAATGAGGCTCCAGGAAAGATTTCTTTCTTTCTTTCTTTTTTTTTTTTTTTTTTTTTTTTTTTTTTTTTTTTTGCTGATGCTATGGGCTGTAAAGTTGAGCTGGAAAGAGCAGGAATGTTCATTCCAGAGACTGGATGGGAGAGTTCTCTTCCCCCTACTTCCCCAGAGCACTCCCATAAAGTGCAGTCACTGGAATTTCTGAAGCAGTTTATCCTGATCTGTCATAGAATCCAAGCGTCTGTGTGTGCAGCATAAATACATACACAACATTGACTTTCATTGTATACATTTCTATCTGTGTATGTGCACCAAACATGTGATTTAAACACAGTTAAAATGCATGAGTAAAATGTCAATGCTGAACCAGTTTTGAAATTTTGAAGAGTGGTAAATGAATGGGAGAAACAAACTGTCTGACTTCAGAACCACTCCATGTGCCTCAAGATAAATAAACTTGTCTCCGTTTGAAAAAGGAAAAAGGAGGGAGAAACCAGGTTTTGCACATTGTAGGCATCTGAGAGGTTAATATTGGGCCTGTGCAAGATACCAGAAGAATATTTAAAACATGATCTATGAGCGTATGGATGAAGAAATAGGAACCAGCATGGTTTTGCTGTGAGTGGGAGGATGGACCGTGGAGAACTAATGCCATTTCCTATCTGATGGGGCAGTGGGAAAGGGGGGAGATAGCATTTGCTGAGAGACTTCTGTGTTCCAGGCAGATCACAGGGAATCCCATATCTAAGTTTCAGCATAGCCTTTGACAAAACCTCTTATTTCCTGATGAATTAATGGAGAAATAGCAGCAGGTGAGAATCTAGTTGTGTGGCTTTAGCGTGGTTTCAGTGACTGTTACAGGCCTGTCTCCAGCCACTGTCTGCCTAAAGGGAGATCTCTGGTGCTGTACATTGAAGCTCACATGTTGGACATTATCACTAGTGTCGATGGAATGTGACTTAGCCTGGGGTCCCCAAGAAGGCAGAGCCTGAGGCAAGGGCTGGTGTGCGGGTGGCTTATTTTGGGCACTGATCCCAGGCAACAGGAGAAGGGGCTACAAAGAGAGAAACAAGGAAGGAGGAAGAGCCAACACAAGCCTGCATTATCAAGCTGGTCACTGCTGTGGGCAGTGGGGGCTTAATCCCACAGGGATCCTCTGAGGAGCCACATAGAATGTGCTTGGGAAGTGGCTGAAGGACAGATGAGGTAGGCATGTATCCATTATTCCCCTCTCCCTTGGCCAAGTGTTGCCCCAGGGTACTGAGTCCCTGTACTTTCAGGTTTGTACGTGTTTCTGCAGGTGTCTCAAAGACGCCCCAAGGCAGAATGCTAGAAAGACATGGTACAGCCAAGGCAGGGTGCTGTCAGGTTATACCTGTGTGAAGCTGGGGGCCACAGCAAGGGCTGCAGTGTTATCCAAGCTAAGAAGGTGTTTGTAAAGTCTATGGATGAACCTAGAAGGATAGCTCATGGCTTGATGACAGAATCATGATCAAAATATTTGAATGTAACCAGATGACATATAAAGCATTAAAGTGTAGCCCCTACATTGGCATCCCCTAAACCTAAGCTAGAGAAGGCATAGTGCTTCAATAGCATGCATAAAAAGGGACTCTGGCTTTTAGCACACTTACAACTTCATATGAATAATGTCACAATGTGGTTGCGCCCAAAGCCACTAAACTCTGTAATACAGTCATTGTACTCAGAACAAGTCTGTGCTACCAGTCGCACTCTCCCTGGAGTCCAGGAGGCAGTTCTGGGTACACACTCGGAGGGAGATGGACAAATCAGGATGTGGCCAGAGAAGACAGAATGGCGGGGGGGCACTCGAAAGCCAGGGTGAACTGAGAAGAAGATGAGCAGAGAGCTGTCACTGCTTACTCAGAAAGCTGGCTTGGAGTTGAAGGGTTAAATTCTCCGTCCATGTAGAGGGCAGTGAGTGGAAGCTGCTGTTCATTTAGCTCAGAGTAGAGAAAAACTTTATGATGATTAGGGCTGCCCAAACAATGCAGTGGCCTGGGCTTCATCAGATTTGGACGAGCCTTTAGCATCAAGCAGAATAATCCTTTCGAGTAAGACTGGCTCCTGTTTATTGAGCACCTGCTCTGTGCCAGTTGTTTGCATAACATGACCTCATTTATTCTTCTCAATAACCCTATGAGATGAGGTAGGAACTGCCATTATTCCATTTGTCAGGGAGGAAACAAGCACTCTGGCTTCGGAACCACCCCACATGCCTCTCCACTGTAGGAATTTAGTGTCTATTTGCTTAGGAAAGAAGCTCTGATTTCTTGGATGACTTCCAAAGTCCCTTCTGACCTTAAGATTCTATGATTTCTATGAATCAGGAATGAAGATAGGAACACAAAACTATTGAGAGCAGAGGAGAAAGAGAGAGAGAGAGACAAGATGAGTAAATGAATGAATGAGTGAATAAATAAGGGTGGTTTTAAAAGTTTTCTTGGTGGGCGCACTGGCTCATGCCTGTAATCCCAGCACTTTGGTAGGCTGAAGCGGGCGGATCACTTGAGGTCAGGAGTTCAAGACCAGCTTGGCCAACGTGGCGAAACCCCATCTCTAACAAAAATACAAAAAATTAGCTGGGCGTGGTTGTGTGTGCCTGTAGTCCCAACTACTCGGGAGGCTGAGGCAGGAGAATTGCTTGAACCGAGGAGGCGGAGGTTGCAGTAAGCCGAGATCGCACCACTGCACTCCAGCCTGGGTGACAGAGCGAGACTCCATCTTAAAAAAATAAAAAATAAAAATAAAAGTCTTCTTGATTTCCAGTGTATTCCTCCTGCACTTTTTGGCCTGTTTGGACCACAGATTTGTGGCTTTTTATGAAATACACCTGTAGATTAATTTTCAGTTTTTTTATGGTAGTAGACAGTCAAAGGCTAGATCACTGTGATGAGTAGGGCTTCCACATTTAAGAAAAAGCTGTAATGAAGTGAATTGAATCTTGCTTCTTTTGGGTCACCCAAAAGCAGTGATAAGTGCTGAGTGTGTTAGGCACTTATTAACAAAAGTAACTCAGAATTGCTGTCTAAACCTCCATATCTTTTTTCTTCTCTCCGTGTAGTTCTAAAAATGACCATATGATATTCCTTGAATGGTAAGAGCGTCTATTCTTCTTAGCATGTTCTGTGTGTCACACACTGTGCAGACAGCAACATACACACACAAACACTATCTCCTGTTATTGAATGGATGAATGATACAAAGAAGCAGAACGAGTGGTTGTGAAAATTAAATGCCGTATATTTCAATAATTAGATAATGGGCTGACCTCTCAGAGTCAAGCACACTGTAAGTGCTTAATCCCTGGTTTCTAAGTTATATGAATCCCACAAAGTAGATACTATCTCCATTTTCCAGATGAGGAAACTTAGGTTTAGAGTGGTTGGAAATGTGCCTAAGGTCACCAGCATCTTTCTGATCCCAAAACCTATGTTGAATCCTTGCTATTGCATGAATGCTGAAGATAGATTCCAGTTCTTAGGTAAATGAAAATGTTGGCAATTGAACAAAAAACATGTATTTTTAATGGTAGTTTTAATAATTCACAGTAACATTGTATATGTTTCATCTTGGAAAAATTCTTTTCAGCTTGTCCATTTAAATATTCCTCTTACTTATGACATTTTAACTCTCCATAGCTTGGTATGGCTTAGCTTTGTTTTTCCACTGGCTTTAAAAAAATGAAGTGAAAGGCATTGATTTAAACATCTCTCTTCCTTTAAGGAAGACTCATGGAATGGATGCTTCTGTGGCCTCTGCATGAATGGGCTGGGCTTGAGGAGGGAAACAGGCCCTGCACACTGCAGAAAGGAAAGCCTAAGGAATGTGTTACATAATTGCTCATGACGTCCTTGACTTTGACAAACTAGGAAGTGATGTGCTGGGTCAGGATCTCCATAGGATCTGCAGTTGGTCAAAGTACCAGTCTGAGGGCTGTAAATTAAAATGAGCTCTCCTGTTGTTTGTAAGTGGTGGAAATTTTCAGAACATTAGTTTAGGAAAATATGTTACAGTTGGTATAAGAGTGAGTTGTATTTATTTCATTTACTAGCAACATGCAATTAAGGAAGTAGAAGAGACCTTACATACTGCAGCCCCTTTGTTGAAGACCTGAGAAGACTGAGGTGTACTGGGGTCCACTAAGGGCACCTGTTAGTAGGGGAAGAGCTGGTGTTAGATCCAGTCGCTTCCCGACTTTGACCTAGACTTTGGTATCACAACTTTCTCATGGCCGACTTGGCTGCCACAGTGAATGACTTCTTGTGCTGGAAATGAGAGAGGCTCTATTTACCTGAATTTCAAAGACTACATTCATTAAAATGGTCCCCTCAAAGTCATTTCCAGACTCCCCCACCCCTTTCTGTTTCTTTACTCACAATAAAGCACAGTTTGTTTGGATTGGAAAGTGATTAGCCCTCGTATTTTGAAATTGCAGAGTGTTATAGTGTAGGAAGCATGTTATAATCACTGTTCCAGCAATGTCTTCTTGGTTTATGCAGAATCTGACTTGGCTACTCTGGAGTTGCCCTAAACCCTAGTGGAGCACTGGGTGTCCTTCATGACTGCCCACTACCTGTGGGGAGAAATTTCATTCATTCGTTGGTTAAACAGTTCCTTACTGGGTGTTAATGTGTATGGTGGTGTGGACCAACCAGGAGTCTCCTTGTCTACGACAGCTCTTCCTGAGGGTCTTCCCCAGTCTCTTAGGGCTTGCTGGTGCCCTGCTGATACCTTTGTATAGCACTAGTCTCAAGGTACTGGTGTTGTTCACTATCTGATTACCCTGTGCCTTAGTCACTTTTATCCTCCAGTGCCTAATAGTGTGTCTAGCACATAGGTGATCTCAGAACGTTTTCGTTGAAAGAGCGGATGAATGAATTTAAAGAAATTTAACTGACATCCGTAATCCACAAGGGGTTTACCATCTAGGTTGTGAGATAAATCTAAGTGCATACAGATTGATTAACAAAACAGGTCAAGATGAGAATCCTCACGCTGTTACCAAGATACATGTGATAAAGGCCAGAGGAAATAGATGCTGGTTTCCCCTCAGACCCTTACAGAAGACCTGGGTTAGGGTCTTGGTGTCATCACATAAAGTATGTTACCTTGTAAAAATTATTTAAGCTCTCTGAGCCTCAGTTTCCTCATCTGTGAAATGGAGTTACCACTACAGAAATCACAAGGCTATTACCAGGATTGTGGATGTGTAAAAGTACTTTGTAAACTGTATCGTATTATACAAAAGCAGAGCGACATTATTCTCAAAGTACCAGTTGAAACAATGGGATACAAATTCAGGAATGTGGGTTTTAAAAGGTTCAGGAAAAGATGACCATGGTTTCTTTTTCAGAGCTTTTGCACTGTTAGCAAGAGCTGAAATAAACACATGGTTCTCTTGGTGAACACCAGGCCCCTCTGGGCCTGAACTAAGGCTTGGATCCGATGATCCAATTCAATTGGGACTTTAAGCCTTGTGGCCCTGATTTCCACAGGCTGGACTGTCTATAACGTCAAAGTTAAGTTTGTATTCACTTTCATCCTTTTCATTGATTAGATCATTAAATGTACTCTCTTCAAGTATGAAGGACTCAGGTGTCCATGCTAAAGAATTTCTTTTGGAGAAAGCCACATAAAGTGTTGTATTGTGACCTCTGTATCCCTGCCTGTAAAGATTCCAGTATGAGTGGTCATGCAGCCATTCAAAGCATGCCACAGGGATTCTATACCTATTTTGATAGTATGGATTATTTAAAAATTTCTGATAATTTTTTAAAATTCTGTTTTTAAAGAGGTAAACCTAGATAAAAATTACTAAACTTAAACCCATTCAGTGCAAAACCTTTGAGTATTTTTGGTATACCTCAGCTAAACAAGAAAATAATTATGCTTTGCTTTTTGTTCTATAATATTATTTCCACTTTTACCTTTCACTGAACAAGCGTTCGTTGGAAAAAGAGAAGGCTTTCTTGTCATTGTTCTTTGTTGTTATTATTTTAACAAAGCCTCCCTATTTTCACATTTTCTTTTTGTGGCAGAATGAGCTGTGTTAGCACATTTTGCAGATTATTGTGGTATTTGCAGATGATCTGAGCACAGTTAAAATATTGAAATTCTGAGCTATAATGTCAAACTTGAGCCTCATGTGTGATTCTGATATTAAGCTGCTGGTGGGTTATATGGGAATAATTGTGGCATATGTATGTTTAGTTCACAACATTTTAGATAGGAATAATTTGGACAAGAATTGCTGCTGCTGTTTTTTTTTTAATTTTATTTTTTATTTTTAAAGACTTTCCTACCTTCTCATTGAGAGAGAGAAAGATGCCCAGAGTTAAAATAGGAGGTGCTTGGGTATTTTGTTGAACTTCACAAGTTAAACTGGCGAATGGCGTCCATCAGCTGTTATTCAGTCCTTGAACAGAGCAGATATGTTTGTGCGAGGACAAAGAAGATGCCTCAAAGACAAAGAAGAAGATGCCTCGTCGTCCCCTGAGCTCCCACACGGCATCTGCACATCACCAGCTCAGCATTTAGCACACTGGATTGACACTGCCATGTTAGGTGAGGTGACGGCATGCCCTAGAGTGAAGGAATCTACAGCAATATGATAGCTAAATGCCACATGAAGTTCTGGATTGGATCCTGGATTGGGAAAAAACATGGCTCTAAAGGGCAGTATTGGGACAATTGGTGAAATTTAAATGTAGTCTATGTATTAGGGGATAATGCTGTTATCAATTATACATTTCCTTCTGTTATAATTGTACCTTGGTCACACCAGGAAATGTCCTTATTAGGAGACGCATGCAGAAGTCTTTTAGGGATGAGGACTTACTGCAGCTTATTCTCAAATGTTTATATATAAGGTGACAAAAATTAAGAATTGGTCAATCTTGGTGAAAAGTTTATGAGAGTAAAGTGTGCTGCTAATTTAACTTTTGTATAGCTTAAAAGATGTTTTTTTTCTTTTTTGAGACAGAGTCTCTCTTTGTCACCAGGCTGGAGTGCAGTGGCGCAATCTCGGCCCACTGCAACCTCCGCCTCCTGGGTTCAAGTGATTCCCCTGCCTCAGCCTCCCGAGTAGCTGGGGCTACAGGCGTGTGCTACCATGCCTGGCTAATTTTTTGTATTTTAGTAGAGACGGGATAAAAAGATAAATTTTTTACCTTTTAAGAAATCCTGCACTGGAACATTGGCTCCAGGAGGAAGGGGCTGTGCTTTATCTCCCTCACGTAGGGTTGCCAAAGAAATTACAGGAACCCCAGCTAAATTTGAACTGCGAATGGGGCATACTTATACCACATATACTAGAAAGTTATTCATGGTGTATTTGCAATTCAAATGTAACTAGGGGTCCTATAGTTGTATTTGCTGAGTCTGGCAACCTTGTCCTGAATTAGCAGTGCCCCGAGAAGCAGCAGGGTGGCCTGTAGGAGGTGTTCATCTGTTATGTGGAATGAATGGTGCCTCTTCAGAATTCTGTTGTGCAGTCTTCTATTAGAGAAAACCCTTTTTATCTGAGCATGGAGTTGGGACATTACCTGTAGTTGGATATGATCTCCTTATCCTTCTCCCTTTGATTGATCTTTTTCTTTGAGCTGATTTGAGCTTTCTTCTTTTCTCTGTAGTTGGCGGAATCAGCTCAGTTACATTTTTTACTAAGTTACCCACATTCTGACACTCCTTGACAGTTTTAAGATCTTCTTCTAACACACTTGAATAGAATGGATACTGGAATCTATTTTGACAGCTGTTGAAAATCTATTCTGTTGTTACAGGAGGTTAAGGAGGTTATTTGTAACACTGGGATTATTTAATGAACCTTTTGAAAAGGTGTGCAGACTGTTCAGGCAAATAGTATTTTTTAGAATTTAAATGATTTTGGTTTTCACAGTTAAATTATCAAATGTAATGCTTTTAAGAATTATACACCTAGTAATATTTTTCATTAATTTTCTCCACCAGTGTAGTAATAGTACATTACAATGTTCTCAATTACCGGTGCCTTCTAAAATGCAGGTGTAGAGTCTTTAAATACAGCTAGTCTATTGCCAGCTGTCCCATAGATAACCTTCTCTTTAAAAGTGACCTTTGAGCAATTTCATAAAGAATAAATATTTCTAGTTTTTTGTTGCTGAACTGCTAAAAGATGGTTCTATACATGTAACAGGTGGCTTTAGTTGGGTTGCTTTCACTGAAATTTGATTCAAATAAAGCATTGCATTATTTTACCTTTGGAATTATAATTATGTGCCAGACTGACTTCATTTTTGGCACACTGCATTTCAGTGTTGAGGTTTGGGTTGAGGATGGAGTGTCTTGCATGTGCAGGAGTAGGAGAGCTTTGCAGATAAGACATAGCAGCTGAGGCATAAAACATCAGCGTCTTTTTTATGCATCAGAGGAATTTCTATCAGAGGAGTTGCTGTTCTACTAGGCTTTAGATTTAGGGACAACTGTTCAGATTAACCCCTTAGACTTGAATTTTCTTTGATCTCAAATCCAAAGCATTAAAGAAGACTCTGTCAAGTTAACCATCAGTACAGTGCTTAACACACAGTAGGCACACAAAATAAAATTTGTTCAATGGAATAAACTAGACAATTATGTTTGGGTTATTATTTAATATTAAATGTGATTTAATTACTTGAAATAGACGATCTTTCAGTTCCTGCCCTTTACCGCATTGCTTGGCAACACAATTGTTAACATGTTTTCTGATTAAAATAAATGTTCTTACCTAAGTTTATGCTAGATTATAGCATAAAGATTTAGAAGCATTAAATGGATGAAATAGAATTTGACACGTAGGCTATTTCTGAGAAATCTATTTTATTAAGTATACTTTCTCTTGTGCCTGAAAAAATTTATCAAATTGTCCAAATCAGGTTCTAGCAAAGCAGGTAGAAGAGTTTTTAAAAAGACAATGTTCTTAGAAGAATTATATTTCTATTGTAGAAAGATTTAAAAAAGAAAAAGTTACATAAATAACACCTATAATCCTATTTTTCATTTTGTTGGCTATATTTAGTGTCTTCTACCATACACAAATTTTTCTTACACAAATATACAAAATTAGGTCCATTTGACATACTGTACAGTGGTATGTATCTCTACATATATGCCATTTGGTGAAAAAAATATCTAAACTGCCTTTTAAACTTAAACTGTCATTAATATTTTAATGCACCATCATAAACTCTTTTATGACAGTATTTTAAATGACCGTGTAGCATTCTATAGTATGGCTGTGCCATAATTTATTAAACCAAACCCTTACACTTGGACATTTAGGTTATTTCCAGTTTCTTACAATGCTGTGGTAAACATCCTTTAAAGCACAGATTTGACCTCAGGTTATATGCCTGTAAGTGTAGTTTCTGGATCACGCTTCTTTAAAAATTAGCATATGTAATATGTTAACCATGACATCATTCTTTTTAAAAATTTTTTAAATTTTTTTATTTCAGTAGGTTTTTGGGGAACAAATGGTATTTGGTCACATGAATAAGTTCTTTAGTGGTGATTTCTGAGATTTTGGTGTACCCATCACCTGAGCAGTGCACACTTCACCCAGTGAGTACTCTTTTATCCCTCACCATCCCCACTCCTTCCCCCGAGTCCCCAAAGTCCATTATATCATTCTTATGTCTTTGCATTCACATAGCGTAACTCCCACATATGAGTGAGAACATAGGATGTTTGGTTTTCCATTCCTGCATTACTTCACGTAGAATAATAGTCTCCAGTTCCATCCAGGTTGCTACAAATGCCATTATTTAGTTCATTTTCATGGCTGAGTAGTATTTCATGACGTATATATCACATTTTCTTTATTCACTCATTGATAGATGAGCATTTGGGCTCGTTCCATATTTTTGCCATTGCAAATTGTGCTGCTACAAACATGCGTGTGCAAGTATCTTTTTCCTATAATGACTTCTTTTTCTCTGGGTAGATACCTACCCAGAGATTGCCAGATCAAATGGTAGATCTACTTTTCGTTCTTTAAGGCACCTGAACACTGTTTTTCATAGTGATTGTACTAGTTTACATTCCCACCGACAGTGTAAAAGTGTTCCCTTTTCACCACATCCCCGCCAATATCTGTTTTTATTTTTTTATTATGGCCATTCTTGCAGGAGTGAGATGGTATCGCATTGTGGTTTTGCTTTGCACTTCCCTGGTAATTAGTGATGTTGAGCATTTTTCCATATGCTTGTTGGCCATTTGTATATCTTCTTTTGAGAATTCATGTCCTTAGCCCACTTTTTGATGGGATTGTTTGTTTTCTTCTTGCTGAGTTGTTTGAATTCTTTATAGATTCTGCAAATTAGTCCTTTGTTGGATGTATAGATTGTGAAAATTTTCTCCCACTCTGTGGGTTATCTGTTTACTCTGCTGATTATTTCTTTTGCTGTGCAGAAGCTTTTTAGTTTAATTAAGTCCCATCTATTTATCTTTGTTTTTGCTGCATTTGCTTTTGGGTTCTTGATCATGACGTCTTTACCTAAGCCAATATCTAGAAGGGTTTTTCCAATGTTATCTTCTAGAATTTTTATGGTTTCACGTCTTATATTTGTCTTTGATCCATCTTGAGTTGATTTTTGTATAAGGTGAGAGATGAGGATCCAGTTTCGTTTTTCTACATGTGGCTTGCCAATTATCCCAGCACCATTTGTTGAATAGGGTGTCCTTTTCCCACTTTTTGTTTTTGTTTGCTTTGTCGAAGATCAGTTGGCTGTAAGTATTTGGCTTTATTTCTGGGTTCTCTATTTTGTTCCATTGGTCTAGTGCCTATTTTTATACCAGTACCATGCTGTTTTTGTGACTATGGCCTTGTAGTATAGTTTGAAGTCAGGTAATGTGATTCCTCCAGATTTGTGATTCTTTTTGCTTAGTTTTGCTTTGGCTATGTGGGCTCTTTTTTGGTTCCATATGAATTTTTGGATTTTTTTTCTGATTCTGTGAAGAACGATGGTGGTATTTTGATGGGAATTGCATTGAATTTATAGATTGCTTTTGGCAGTATGGTCATTTTCATAATATTGATTCTACCTATCCATGAGAATGGGATGTGTTTCCATTTGTTTGCATCATCTATGATTTCTTTCAGCAGTGTTTTGTAGTTTTCCTTATAGGGATCTTTCATGTCCTTGGTTAGGTATATTCCTAAGCATTTTATTTTGTTTGCAGCTATTGTGAAAGGGGTTGAGTTCTCGATTTGATTCTCAGCTTGATTGCTGTTGGTGTATAGCAGAACTACTGATCTGTGTACATTAATTTTGTATCTTGAAACTTTGCTGAATTCATTTACTAGTTCTAGGAGCTTTTTGGATGAGTCTTTAGGGTTTTCTAGGTATACAATCATATCATCAGCAAACAGTGACAGTTTGACTTCCTCTTTACTGATTTTGATGCCCTGATGTCTTTCTCTTGTTTGATTGCTCCAGCTGGGACTTCCAGTACTATGTTGAATAGAAGTGGTGAAAGTGGGTATCCTCGTCATGTTCCAGTTCTCAAGGGGAATGCTTCAGCTTTTCTCCATTCAGTATAATGTTGGCTGTGGCTTCTATGCCAATTTTGCTGAGGGTTTTAATCATAAAGGGATGCTGGATTTTGTCAAATGCTGTTTCTGCATCTATTGAGATGATCATGTGATTTTTGTTTTTAATTCTGCTTATGTGGTATATCACATTTATGGACTTACATATGTTAAATCATCCCTGCATCCCTGATATGAAACCCGCTTGATTATGGTAGATTATCTTTTTGATATGCTGTTGGATTTGGTTCGCTAGTATTTTGTTGAGGATTTTTGCGTCTATGTTCATCAGGGATATTGGTCTGTAGTTTTCTTTTTTTGTTATGCCTTTCCCTGGTTTTAGTATTAGGGTGATACTGGCTTCATAGAATGATTAGGGAGGATTCCCTCTTTCTCTATCTTTTGGAATAGTGTCAATAGGATTGGTACCAATTCTTTGAATGCCTGATAGAATTCAGCTGTGAACCTGTCTCGTCCTGGACTTTTTTTTTGTTGGCAATTTTTAAAATTACCATTTCAATCTCGCTGCTTGTTATTGGTCTGTTCAGAGATTCTGTGTCTTCCTGGTTTAATCTAGGAGGGTTGTATGTTTCCAGGAATTTATCTGTCTCCTCTAGGTTTTCTAGTTTAAGCCTGTAAAGGTGTTCATAACCTTGAATAGTCTTTTATTATTTCTGTGGTATCAGTTGTATTATCTCCTGTTTCATTTCTAATTGAGCTTATTTGGATCCTCTCTCTTCTTGGTTAATCTCGCTAATGGTCTATCAATTTTATTTATCTTTTCAAAGAACCAGCTTTTTGTTTCATTTATCTTTTGTATTTTTTTTTTGTTGTTGTTTTAATTTTATTTAGTTCTGCTCTGATATTTGTTATTTCTTTTTTTCTGCTGGGTTTGGGTTTGGATTGTTCTTGTTTCTCCAGTTCCATGAGGTGTGCCCTTAGATTGTCCATTTGTGCTCTTTCAGACTTTTTGATGTAGGCATTTAATGCTAACCATGACATCCTTCTGAAAGATTGGGCCAATGAGTGCTCCTGTGAACATTTAAGTATTTTTTTTGTACACTCTTTTCTACAATGGATATTGTTAAAAACAAACAAAAGAAACCCTTGTTGATTGAAGAGGCTGTCATTATTTTCAGATACATTTCTTTGGTGATACTTTTTCATATATTTATGGTCTAGTAGTTTTTATTTTTTCTTCTGTCTCCTTTTCCATGAGAACATTTGTTTTTTCTTATTAATTTATTAGCACTCTTTGTCATATATATGGATTTCCCCCCATTTTGTATATTTGATGTTTGGAAGTTTACATTTTTATGCAGTCTATTGACAGGAAAAGGATTTTTAAGAGCAAATGATGTTTCTATTAGAAGTGTATTTTCTTCCCTTGGATGGTATTGTTAAGTTTAACAGAAGGAAGGAAGAGGAACTGCTCAATTTTAGTTTAATCCTCTCAGAAGAGTTTTAAGTTATTAAAATGTATACAACGTATATATTAAGAATTATAACATTTTCGTACTTGCATTGTCTGTTTAAACAGTATATCAAAGAGCTCAAATTAGCACCCTTATCTTAGAAAGTTTTACATTTGGATTTTGGTCTATTTTATTTCAACTTAAGACACATTAGAGGTGGGACAAGAGTTACAATGGATAAACGATTCATTGTGGGTGAAATTTTCTGAAGATGGAGTAATTTACACGCTCATCTATCAGGAATGACTGGAGATGAGGATGGAAACAGTGACTGCCATGGGTTATTCAAAGATGATAGTTCTCTGATTCACAGACACCTACTGGGTCAAAAAGCCTCATGTTTTTACTCCCATGAGTCTAAATTTTATGGCCATGTGTGGTATAGATATTTTGGTTGGATTTTCCATGTTGATTTTTTTTGGACCATTCTGCCTCAAGTTTATGTTAGCAATATAAGTAGCAAGACTCAACTATGAGCAAAATTATGTAATAAGCCTATTGATATTAACATCCACTAGAGCCAGTGATTCTCTGTGTGGGAAGCACGTATGTCTTTTGGGGAGGGAAAAAGGTGGCTTGTGTTATTCACTCATTCATTCATTCACTAATTTTTATTTTGTGCCTATTCGGAACATGTTTTTCAAAAGAACATATACTGTGTTAGAGGTTGAGAGTCCAGCTGTATACAAGACACAGTCCCTTCCCTAGTTTGAAAGCAAAGTCCATTGCCCTGATTTATCTTGCATGATTTGTTAATCATGATATCTTTACTTTAATTTTCATATAAGGCAGGAGTTCCCTCTGATCGACTGCCTCAATGTCTGCATGGTTTACTTCACATCCTTCAGGTCTCTGCTTATATGTCTCCTTCTCAGAAAAGCCTTCCCAACCATCTCTCTAAACCTCTTGCCCTGAATTATTTTATTCATGCTGTTTATTACCACATGGCATATTACATTACATATCTGTTTATCATCCAAACCGTATGCTAGAACGTAAGGTCCATGAGATGAGGGTGCTGTCGATTTTGTTGACTGCTTTTTCTCTAGCATAAAAAAATAGTTTGTGGGATATAGCAGGCACACAATAAATATTTGTTGAATGAGTTAATTCACTGAATATTTGCATGCTTGTGATGTGTCTGGCACTGTCAATGGTGAAAAGTGCTATAAGAAAAATAAAGCAGGGGAAAGGACAGAAAGTTCTCATGGTTCACGCCTGTAACCCCAGCATTTTGGGAGGCCAACATAGGAGGATTGCTTGAGCCCAGGAGTTCAAGACCAGCCTGGGCAAAATCGTGAGACTTCATCTCTACGGAAAACAAAACAAAATTTGCTGGGCATGGTGGTGTGTGCCTGTAGCCGCAGCTACTTGAGAGGCTGAGGTGGGAGGATCGCCTGAGCCCAGGAGGTCGAGGCTGCAGTGAGCCAAGATTGTGCCACTGAACTCCAGCCTGAGTGACAGAGTGAGGCCCTGTCTCAAAAAATAAATGGAATATTTAAGAAGAGCCTAGGTTATAAAAGGTGGGAAGATGCTGTGTAGGCAGCTTTATCTTCCCTTTTCTCTTTCCTGAGTGTCTTTGAATCCCTCCCTCTCCTCTCCTCTCTTCTCCTCTCCTAGCTGGTGGTAGTCTCTCTGTCAGCTGTGCTGAGTCCTTCTAGGGAGTGACATTGCATTCTTTTCATGACCTTCCCATGAGTGGCATAAAAACCCAGATGTGCTCCACACATGAGCTGTGTATTCCCCAGACTACCAGGTAGCATGCTTTCCAGCACCTAGCTTTTTTCAGAAGTAGCCAAAGGCCACCTTAGGGTTTGAGAAATAGTCAAATGTTAGTAAATGTTCAAGGGTGCTTTTATTATAGTTTTCTTTTTCTGCTTTAATAATCACATAATACTGAAGCTTAGTTTTCTGAGAGCTGCATCATAGAGGAATTTAAAAGTTTTTAAAATCAGAGTTTCTTATCTCAGACTTTTCCCCTCAATTGCTGAAGCAGCTTGTCACTCAAGCCTTCCAAGATCTTGGTCATCGTCTCTCAGAGGTAGCATGCAAAGAGGATGAATGAGGGGCTATTTTTCTGGCTGTCACCGTGATTGGCTTTTAGCACAGAATGATAGGGGTACGTCGTGCGATACATGAGATAGTTGTCCACAAGAGAAGCTGTCCTGCCCAGAATGATGGTGGTGCCCCTAGTGAGAAATGCTGACTCTAGCTCTATCCCTGGGGTTCTCAGCAAGGGTATTCCTAGCCTCTAGGGGTACTTTAGAAATTTGTGGATGTATTCGTGGTTTTCACAGTATTAGGGGGTGGTTTGCCATTGGCATTTAGTGGGTGGTGCCAAGGGTGCTAGAAATCAGGCAATGTACAGGGCAATTGCTCCACATCCCATTTGACTTTCAAATGCCTGCCAGGCAACAGAGAAATAAAAAATTTATTGGTAGTCATCAGAGCCTAAATGATCTCTATAAGCAAAAGGTATTTTTTGCACAATTTAAATGGAGGGAATCCTGTATTTTGTTTTTTTTTTTTTGTTTTGTTTTTTTTGAGACTTTACCAGGAGTTGTTTCCCATGTTGGCATCATTACTTGTGGTTTTGAAATTGGCGTATCAGTCAGCATGTGTAGCTGCCCCATTCATGGTGATTGTAGCCTAGGGGCAAGAAGCTGACTACCTCATTGTGTTTTCTACAGCTCCTGTGCCTGGACATTTACATAGTGTAGTGTATATTGTATCATTATAAGTTCTTTCCCTTTTATTTCTCCTTTATATTGCAACTAGGTCATAGCATTGATTTATTAAAATTATATGCAGATTAGGTTATATTGTCTGTGATTTCTCATTTCAGGATTGCAGAGGGGGCCTGGAGTCTGATGGGGTTGAAAGCCTTCTCTCTAACCTAGTTTTGCAGCCATATGTCTCACCACTCTTCTCCATGAGCCCTGTTTCAGTCAAAGTGACTTGCTTTGTGTGCCTTTTTCCCTTTTCCTCCATGTGTGCGTGCCTTAAGCTTAAACTGCCCTTCCTCCTCAAAGCTCCCCCCTCTTCCCCCTCCCCATGTGCATCCCACCCATCCGTCAGAGCCCTGTTCCCTGGCAGCTGAGCGAGGTCATCGTTTATTCTTCCTTGACCACCATAGCTCTGTGACTTTCTATTTTTTTGAACTACCCTAGCAATTGTAAGAACTCCTTCAACACTTATCTACATTCTGGTAGCATTGAGTACCTTATGTTTAAGTTGTCTCCTCAAATGGTTTGTAAGCTCCTTTCCTGTGGTAAACTTGTCTTAGTCTTCTTTTCATCCCATGCAGTGTCTACAAACACTTTGCATCTGGCAAGCTCACACACATGCTACACTTTCTTCTCCTCTTTCCTTCCCCAAATATGTATCCTTTCCTGTCTATCATTTTGCTTATTACCGAAGTGAAACATTTGCATTGTTAACACATTTTTTTTCTTTTTTTGTTTTTTGATACCAAGTCTCGCTCTGTCGCCCAGGCTGGAGTGCAGTGGTGCGATCTCGGCTCACTGCAAGCTCTGCCTCCCGGGTTCACGCCATTCTCCTGCCTCAGCCTCCCAAGTAGCTGGGACTACAGGTGGCCGCTACCACGCCTGGCTAATTTTTTGTATTTTTAGTAGAGATGGGGTTTCACCATGTTAGCCAGGATGGTCTCGATCTCCTGACCTCGTGATCCCCCTGTCTTGGCCTCCCAAAGTGCTGGGATTACAGGCGTGAGCCACCGCACCCGGCCATTGTTAACACATTTTTAAATACAGAGAAGTAAAAGAAGAAAATCATCATCATTGATCCTGCCACCCAGAGCCACGCATTGCCTCTTATTTTAGAACATTTCCTTCTAGGCCGTCATCTTTATGTTTATGCGTGTTTTTAACAATGTAGGAATCAAGTACTTTATACAGTTTGTATTTTGCTTTTCCTTCACATTTCATTTAATGTTATATTATGAGCATTTTCCAATGTCACTAAATAGTCTTAGAAAACATGTTTTATGGAAAATTTTAGACATAGAAAAAATAGAATGATATAATAAACCCCTAAATACCCAACATTCAGCTTCAGTAATTATCAGCATTCTGCCATTCTGAATGTGCTATTTGTAATGGATGCATGCCATTCATTGTTTGGATAATATATATGTTATTTAACCATTTCTCTGTTACTGAAAATTTAGATGATTTCTAGTTTTCTATAATTATAGATGCTTATGTTTTTGTTCTTCTGGTCACAATTACTATTCTTCCTTCCTGGAGAACCTAATTAATTTCTTCATCATTAAGTAATTCTTGATTACTATTAGTTTCGTATTCTGGGGTTTTTATTGTATTTCATATCTGTGGCTGGTTTATTTGTCATTTTCTTTTCTCCATCCATCAACTATTTCTTGTGTTAGCCAGAATGGGTCTCAGTGAATTACAACAACAGGTTTTTCTATTCATTTTTTAGATAAAACTGAAAACTGGCAATGTAAGAAGATGATATTTACTTTCTAGGTGATTTAGGGGCAAATACAAGAAGGAAAGAGGAGATGATTTCAGGAGAAATGAAATCCTGTAAATTATCATCTTTACCCTATGGAAAATGATTTTACAAATGCTTAGTTTCGCTTAATTTTGATTGAAAAATGGCCCCCCTCTAAAGGCTGGAATAGTCACTAAGCTAAAAGTGCACTTGAAACCAATATGTATGAGTGTTTTCCTCAAGCTGATTTAAATGTATATTTTGATAAGTATATTTGGTATTAAAAACACCCAGCAGCTCCTCTTTTAAGGAGGTGCATTCTCAGGCAGTGGGGAGAGATGGTCTTCTTAGGTCTGGCCAGGAGAGAGGCATGGGAGGATGAGCCAAGTGGGGGAGAATCAGAGCGGTGGTATTACTGGTGCCTTGTGAAAAGGAAGGAAGGAGTGCTGTTGTCCTAGTTCTGATGGGATTTCTTCTGTAGTATTTGTTGAAATTTTCAGACCAGATCATATACAGGAAGATGACTCATGTGCCTACCTACCTACTCTAAGAAAATGTCTTTGTTTCTTCTGTTGCAGAAGTAAAACATGATTGCTATTAAAAAAAAAGTACATTTTCATAAATTTATAATAGAGGTAGATAACATAGAAAGTAAAAGTCTTCCATAACCACAGACCTCCCCACTAAATGAACACTGTTAACAGCTCTGTTTATGCTCTTCTTGGTTTTCTTTCTGCCTATTAAGTGTATATTATCTGCATAAGGTACAGAACGAAAATGCCACTCTTTGGCTGAGTGTGATAGCTTATGCCTGTAATTGCAGCACTTTGGGAGGTCAAGGTAGGAGGATTGCTTGAGCCCAGGAGATCAAGGCTGCAGTGAGCCATGATCATGCCACTACACTCCAGTCTGGGTGACAGCATGAGACTGTCTCAAAAAAAAAAAGCTACTTTTAAAATTGCAAGTGTTAATTAGATAATCAGAGCATGTTCAGACCTTTGAAGTATACAGACCACATGCAGTTTCTCCTGGCTAGAAGTAAGATGATAAGTACAAACAGCAGGACAGAACTTGTTGGATATGGAAATTGTAGTGGAAGGGAAAGCTTAAGAAAAGGGAGGTGTAAAAGCCCAAATTTTTATTAGTATTCAGAGGTTAAATTTTTATCACTGAATCAGATTTAATTGGTGGTTGTACTTTTTCCCTTGGGAACACATTAAAACAGTCACTACTACAAGATGACTAAATCATGAATGAATTTAAAATATTAAACTAGTCTCAGACATACTAACATATCAGCAACTTATTGGTGCATAATTTTTGCATTGGAATTTAAGTGACGGAAATATGCATGGCTGACATTAACACTTTTTTCTTTTGATTTTGGAGCCACTTCAAATAATACATCTTACAAGGTCTATTTCCAGTTTAGGGCCAACCATGAATGATTAATTATATTGCTACCCTAACAGGACTTTAAATAATGAAGACAATGACATTTTTGCAATGTGAAATCCCATTTTATTCATTCATTGAAAAAATACCTACTCTGTGCCATGAATATTAAGAGTACAAACTTATAAAACTTGCCCCTGTCGTTCTTTGGTGTGTCGCAAATGCTTTTCCATTCATCTGGAATACCTTCCTCTCTTCCATCTGACGACATCTCTCTCAGCTTTCATTTCCCAACACAAAGGTCACTTCTCAGGTATAGCCATTTTAGTTCACTCTACAGACTGTCTTAGCAAATCTCAGTGATTTTCTTCTCACATTTGAGCACATCTTCACTAGAGTTTTATCTTACTATCTTATAAGTATACAATCACATACATGTTGAATTCCTTGAGGTCAGAGTCCTCTTATCTTCATAGCGGCAGAGTCAAAATGGGTACAGGGCTGGTGCCATATATATATATGTATACATGTGTTTATTTATATATATATTATTATAATATATAAAAAATATATACTGTATGTATATATATGTTGAATAAATGATTAAACGAACTAAAAAAATCTAGTAAGGCAGACTAATGTCCTTACACTCCTAACTACAATACAAGGAACCAAGGAACAGCCTTCGGAGGGGAGGAGGTTCACTCTAGTGTCCCTCTTAATGCAGATTTTTAGTTTACGATACTTAGATATTTAGATACTTGGATTAAGCAGGGTACTAAAAGTGTTGAATGGGGTTAACTGAGAGGAAAAGCTTCAATATAACATATTTAAGTGACAGTTCTCATTCAAAAATTGTGAAAAATTATTAACATTCTTATGTGGGCATTTTAGGAAAGTGTAAGAAAAAGATCTTTGTCCCATGGAGCATACATGATTTCCAAATTGTATTTTTAATGGGATGATACTAGTTTTTTGCTTTTCATTTTAACTGTTCCAGAGTGGGACTGATAGTCTAAGGATCTTAGTAATTCAGAACTGTGATTTGGAAATTAGAGTTCATGAAAGATTCAAGAAATAGTATCTTTTCAACCTAGAAAAAATAGAATTGAAGTGGCCTCACTAGTGGATCTCTTCCTCTGTGGAATTAGACTCCCAGGTCTGGTAGAGAAGGATCTTGGTCTTGTCAATTTAGTGTGGTAACTAGATAATGGTATGTGGCGTGGGAAGAGTACCCGTCAGGTCCTGGCAGGAAAGAGGTGGTATTCTCAAAGGAGGTAATTGAGGAGACCTAAATAATGGAGCTACTAACAAAGATGTAGGCAGGATTCAGGGAAATCAACACGAGTTGGCAAAGCATACCAGAAATAACAACAGAAGAACGCCATCACCACTCCTAGTCCTAAAGAAACAAGGAAAGGGGCCGGGCGCAGTGGCTCATGCCTGTAATCCCAGCACTTTGAGAGGCCGAGGCAGGTGGATCACCTGAGGTCAGGAGTTCGAGACCAGCCTGCCCAACATGGTGAAACCCTGTCTCTACTAAAAATACAAAAATTAGCCAGGCATGGTGGTGCGTGCCTGTAATCCCAGCTACTCGGGAAGCTGAGGCAGGGGAATCGCTTGAACCTGGGAGGCACAGGTTACAGTGAGCCGAGATCATGCCACTGCACTCTAGCCTGGGTGATATAGTGAGACTGCGTCTCAAAAAAAAGAAAACAAGGAAAGAACTATAGGAAGGGCCTTCTCTCCTAGGAGCTGACGCCTTAGGCAGAAGATCACAGCCACTGACAAAGCACTCTGCCAGGGAGGGAGCCGACGGGGAGATGCCCCAGCCTTTCTCTCCTCAGGGTCCTGCTGGCAATCCCATTGGAGGACCCAAATGAACCCCAGGGAACCACGAGATGTAGTCTGAAGGGGCAGCCTCCCAGGGCACACATCAGGGTGAGAAGGGTGGAGAGTGGTTCTTGGTGGGGGAGGGGGTAAATGCAGAATATCCAGCCGGGAGAGAAAAGCTTCAGGTTCTGAAAGGTAGCCTTCTCTGTTCATAGCCTTCCTGAGGATTCTGTTGCTTGTAGCCAGACCTCTAAATCAGATCTTATGAAAGGGAGCCCCATGCAGAAGTGTTTTGTTTCATGCCCATTGCATTTTATTGAAAAAGAAAACAAACAAAACACCATATATCTGTATTAGCTTTGGGGAGTGACACCTCAAAATCTGAGTTTCTTTTTTTTTTTTTTTGAAAAATGGAAGATTTGGCAGCACCAAATATGCATTCCTATGTGGGTACAATCTGCTTAGCGTGTAGGAGCTGTCCTGTTAGGTAGGCATGCTTCAGTTTGCCTCAATCCCCACATCTCTCTATCTCTCTGTTGTGGTCTTTTTCTTTTTCTTTTCTTTTTTCTTTTTTTTTGAGATGGAGTTTTGCTCTTATTGCCTAGGCTGGAGTGCAATGGCATGATCTCGGCTCACCACAACCTCTGCCTCCCGGGTTCAAGTGATTCTCTTGCCTCAGCCTCCTGAGTAGCTGGGATTACAGGCATGCGCCACCACACTTGGCTAATTTTGTATTTTTTGGTAGAGACAGGGTTTCTCCATGTTGGTCAGGCTGGTCTTGAACTCCTGATCTCAGGTGATCGCCCACCTTGGCCTTCCAAAGTGCTGGGATTACAGTGTGAGCCACCGCACCCGGCCTTTCCTTCTATCTTTTTTTTTTTTTTTTTTTTTTTGAGACAGAGTTTCACCCTGTTGCCCAGGCTGGAGTGCAGTGGCATGATCATGGCTCACTGCAGCCTCGACCTCCCAGGTTCAAGCGATCCTCCCATTTCAGCCTCCAGAGTAGCTGGGACTATAGGCATATGCCACCATGCCTGGCTAATTTTTGTATTTTTTTAATAGAGACAGGATTTTGCCATATTGCCCAGGTCTCGAACTCCTGGGCTCAAGCAAACTGCCCGCCTCAGTCTTCCAAAATGCTGGGATTACAGGCATGAGCCATCACACTGGCCCCCTGTTGTGGTCTTAAGCACACATTGCTTCTGCCTGGTCCTGATAGACATCTGAGTTTATAATCCTTGGTCTCCATAAAGCAGTTTAGAGAAGGAAGGACAGATGAGTCATGCTAATTTAGAAAGAGAGTGAGTTCTGTCTTGGAAGATGCACTTCTCTACAAAGGGAAGAAAGAGACAGGGAGACTAATCTTGTTGGGGACACAGTCTGAGCATTTGTTAGACTAACTAGAAGGTTTTACATAGATAAATAATGTGAAAACTGAGACACAAACACGGTTAACATGGTTCTGATTAAATATCTAGAAAATGACACAGTCAGCGTTCAAACTTAGGCAGTGTGTTTGTGGGTCCTTGCGTAACATAGCTGTTATGTTATACTGTCCACCAAGCTAATCCCATATTGCCCTGGCCTTCTAAATCTTTTTCCTCTACAAATATATACATGTAGTTACATGCAAATACACAATGAGGTAATACTGTATGCATCCTATTTTATAATTGGCTGCCTTTATCTTAATAATAAAAGCAAGCATCACATTTTTAATAACTGTGTAATAGCTAATCCTATGAACACATCATACTTGGTAGATATTATTATGATTAAAGAATTTAGTTTTGTCCCAACTTTTCACTATTATAACATATTGTAATGCACTTCTTTTGTACACATATTTTAAAACACTCATTGGACTCTTCCTTAGGAAAAAGTAGATTTGCTGTGTCAAAAGTTACTATTCCTCTCTCTCACCCCTTTTAAAAATTGCTGTATTTTTCTGGTTTTAAAGGAAACATAAGCTCACAGCAAAAAACAAAAGTCAGAAAATAAAGACAAAGAAAACAAAATAGACAATCTGTTATTTAGTGGTATAAACACCACTATCGGGAACGTGTGTTATTTACATTTCTGTTCCCTCTCCCCTCCCCTCCCCTCCCCTTCCATCCACTCTCTTGTACAGGGTCTCACTCTGTCGCCCAGGCTGGAGTACAGTGGTGTGATTTCAGCTCACTGCAGCCTCAGTCTACCAGGTTCAAGTGATCCTCCTACCTCAGCCTCCTAAGTAGCTGGGATTACAGGCATGTACCACCACACCCAACTAATTTTTGTATTTTTGTAGAGACATGGTGTCACCATGTTGCCCAGGCTGGTCTTGAACTCCTGGGCTCAAGCGATCCTCCCACCTCGGCCTCCCAAAGTGCTAGGATTACAGGCATGAGCCAGTGCACCTGGCCCTGTCCTTATTTCTTTAGCAAAAATTTCCCAAGAGAAGAATTGCTGGGATAATGCACATTTAAATTTTTGATAGACATTCCCAAATATTATACCTGTTTTTGAGACCTTTAATTCCTGTTGTCAAATTGCCCTATATATGGAGTAATAAACACGATTTAAAGAAATGAGGACTAAAAAAAGATTATATATAACCCAACATAAAGGCAACCTCTTAGGCGTTGACAGAAACTGACAACTTTTTATCTGTGGGTGCGATCCATTATAAGTAACCTGAGCACCTTATTTTTTCTTTTTAAACTCTAGGTAGGATACCCGAGGTCCACAAATTTTTCATAAGAAATATTTTTTCTCTGCCCTATGAGATTTTAAAAAATATTATACTGCTTCAATTGCATCAAAAGAAATGGACCCTAATATCTATGATGAAGGATTTGGAGTTAGAAGACCTGAGTTTCAATTTTGGCATGGCTGTTTGTCTAGCTCTGTGATCTTGGACAGGTCAATTGACTTGTCTTAATCTTCTCATCCATTTAGTGGAGACAGCACCACTATTCACAGGACTATTGTCAGAATTACGAGACAATAGCATAGGTGAAAATATAAAGTACTTTGTAAACTAAAATGTTACACGGATAAGCTGATATCATTGGTAGCAAGAGCAACACTATTCCGAAGTTTTTGTGGTGTAGTTCCCTCTGATTATTCTTCATATTACAGGTCAATCAATTGGGTAGACATCCTCTTAAACCTCTGTTCCTCTTTTCTTCTTAAAACACTGAGATCTCTTCATCTGAAATAAAAATTTCGAGAGAGTTTATAGATTTGTAGTCTTGGATCCTGGAGAGAAGAGACATGTATTCCTGTATACACCCAGATCATTAATCCTACTTTTAATTCTACTCCAAACCTTGTACCACATCATTTCCTACTGCCAGGCTGGAGTGAGTAATGACAACCTTTTGGCAGATCAAATTTCAGTTTTAGAATTCAGGAAGCAAAGCTGTGTCCTGGCCTTTCTTTCTTCTTTTTAAATTATAGCTAAATGTCCTTTTCTGTTTGGGGGCAAGTTACATGCCTGGTTCTGCCAGAGCAAACGAAAACCAGGCACCTTCTCCTGAGCATGTCACTGTCATAAACCCAGGCAGTCTGGTGAGGCAGCTGCTTAAGAAATAATATTCCACCATTAACTGCCCCACCCCTGAAATTAGCATCTTTGGAAGGCATTATCCAAGGTTTTGTTGTTGTTACTGTTTTTGTTTTTCTATTTATTCCTAAAACAAATCTTCATTAAGTTCATCCAGTGCTTCCATTGACCCAGCTGCTTGGAATTCAGTGAACTGTCAACAGAATATAATTTCTTTCAGAATTTGTTATTCTACTGGAACTACACTGCAGTGTCTTTGTGATTGAGTTAGCCACCAGATAACCTTTGCCCTCAATTTTCTAGACTAAAATTGTTTTCTTTGTTGTCCAGAACTTTGAGTTGCCATCTCCCAAGTAACTGTTTAGGATGGAAAACATATTGAGAGCTTGCTATTGAAAAATAATATGAGTCTTGTTGGTAGGATCCATTGTTGAAGGTGAAAGCCCCTTTACTAGGAGGCTGGATCCTTTGATTTTCTGACAGAACATTGGCCAACAGTACTGACACAGTACATTGAAATGTTCACCAACAACCTTAATCCTTTCTTGGGGAAGATAATCTGCAGGGCGGGTTAGTCATGAATTACTCCAGGTTCTCCAAGAGCTAGCATTTTATCGTATTAGCACCAGCAAACAGCATGCTTAGACTACATCAGCTCAGCTATGCATAGCTATGCCTTTAGTGAGCTGCATTTCAGTATCTGGGTTTTGGCTTCTACCAACAATTAGAGGGAGAAATGGCCATCTGGCTTCAGCTGAAATTGCCATTCCTTGTTTCTTAGAGTATTTCATGGAGGGGACTATGCCATAAATTCCTCTTCGAGCTCAGCAGTAGAAAATGGATGGTCCCTCCTGACGAATCCATCTGCTTCCACATTTCAATTTCATTTATGAAATTGAGAATTCATAACCTATCCTGTTTCCTTTTTAGCTTTGGTTTCCTAAAGCTTGAAGCCAAAATTAGTGCTTCATTACAATAACTCTCATCTCTGTTTCCTGGTAGTTGCCTCCCCTTTCTTCCATGTGGATTAGCTCTTTTTTTCTTTATTTCAACTATCCTGCTCTTGTGATTATTTTGAGCCATTTTAAATCCATTATGGAAGTAGGTAGAGTCCAGATTATAAATAAAATGGTATCACTTATATTATTGTCACAGTCACATTATTGGTTCATCTTTGGTGTTAGTCTCCTGCTTCCTTCTGAACTTCTCCTTTGTCCTTTTTGATTCATTCATATTGGGTGGGGATGAAAAACAAGAATGAGTCTCAACAGAAACCCAGCGACATTTTAAAGCCTAAAGTTTTGATGCCTATTGTACAAATATTTTTATCTTCATGTAAATCAAAGGGCCATCACCTGGCTTAGGAATGGCAGGATTAGAGTAATTAGTGGAATTTGTTGCGGTTAAACAGTGGACTCCATAGCCAGGGCCTCCCGTGGAGGCTCCAATGTTGGAATTTATAAAGTGTGTTTTATTTGAATCTTGTGTCTGTGTGTAAAGAATTGCTGTTTTAGGCAGAAACCAAGGCTGATGACTTGGAGAGAATACTCTAACCCCTCAGACACTCTTACATCACTATCCTAAGAACTAATAATGGGTATTAGAGTTGTAAAACTACAGTCTGGCTAGACTGACTTAAAGACTTTGGGGTGAGTTGATGGTGCTAAGTCCTTAGAGAAAGAAGAAAACTCCGAAGGCATCTGGCAACCATGTTGGAGAGAAAATTGAGGGAAGCAATGTAGAAACAAAGGAGAAAGCAGGACAGAAACAGCAGGGTCCTGGGATCCGCCTGGTACCAGAGACTTCTTTTTTTCTCTCACTTGGGCTAGACCCAGAGACAGGCTTCTGGTTTAGAAGAGGAATGTGGGACTGGCTGGCCATGGATTAGATAACTGTGGAATCAATGCCCTTTTACTTGGGACATCTTTCCAAGTCTGGATTATTTCCTTAGGATTAACTGGGAAATCACTGTACAAAGAAGAAGCATATCAATAGACTGCTTCCTTATTTTCAACCCAGAATAATGCATTTTTCCATTGCTAGAGGACTGCTTTAAAATACACACACACACACACACACACACACACACACACACACACACACACACACACGAAACACCAGGATAGCACAGACAGTGGCTTTCAGGGATGAAGATACTTCCTTTCCTGTCTGTTCTAGTCTCTTCTGGTTGCGTGGAACAGAAACTAGTACAAGCTAGCTTAAGGAGATGAAGCTTTATTGCAAGAATATAAAATGTTCTTGTGGGAATGACATGAGTAGCCCCATGGACAGAAACCTTCTCAGCCCTGTTGGGGCTAGAATTGGGAAGCTTTGGAGACTTAAGACATTCACCTTCGGGACATCACACACCGGGGCCTGTTGTGGGGTGGGGGGAGTGGGGAGGGATAGCATTAGGAGATATACCTAATGTAAATGATGAGTTAATGGGTGCAGCACACCAACACGGCACATGTATACATATGTAACAAACCTGCACGTTGTGCACATGTACCCTAGAACTTAAAGTATAATTAAAAAAAAAAAAGACATTCGCCTTCTTACATTCTCTCTCAGTTCATGCCTGTCAGGCTAAATGTCTGGATCCTTGTTACTTCAAGTGCACACTGGGGACCAGTATCAAGGACATCACCTGAGATCTTCTTGGAAATGCAGCTTCTCAGGTCACACTGCAGACCTACTGAATCCCAGCCTACCTTTTAACAGAACCCCCTGGTGATTTGTTTGCACATTAGAGTTTGAGGAACACTGGTGTAGGTTTCTGGTTACTCATAGAGTTGTTCCCCTTACTCAGGTGCCCACCCCAGTGGTGGATGGGGGAGCGAGGCGGACCATGTGACTTGGCATGAACACACTGGGGCCACAAGATGCACATCTGATACATAATCTAAGACTGTTGGGTTTTCCTTTAGCTCATAGCATTTCCATCAAGGGTATTGGTAGTCTCCAGTTGCTGAGACAAAGTGAATAGAGAATCTCATGATTTATTTAAAAACAAAACTATTTTAATATGTCCCCATTTTATTTATATCTTACTTTTTATTAGCCCAAAGATAATTAAACCCGAAAATACTGTAGACTCTGTATAATTTAGGCAGTTTTATGAATATGGATTTTAACTCTGACCTAAATGAGCTGTCTAGTGACTCAACAATAGCTACCTCTTGCTTCAAGATAGTAGGAACTGATCAGCTTATAAAGCTGATGCTGCCCAGTTCTGTTCTGAGTCCAGTGTGCATAGCTCTGGCTCCCACCATGCCCGTTAGCCTGTGAAATTGATTTTTTTAAATGGTTGTACAGGCATTTGGCCTATAGCCAAAGAAATGATTGAGCAAGTGAGTCCTGTTTCTGTATTGCTCTATGAATAAGTAGTTAGACCATTCAAGACTGCTGTACATGAGTCATTCATTCCCAGGGACACTTATAGTTCTTTTACATTTGGTGCATTCAGCATCCTAGAAGGCCTTTTCTTTAAAAAAAAAAAAAAGAACTTTTGTATTTCCATTATTTTATTTGTTTGTTTGTTTGTTTATTTGTTTATTTGTTTATTTATTTATTTTGAGATGGAGTCCTCGCTCTGTCTCCAGGCTGGAGTGCAGTGGCACGATCTTGGCTGACTGCAACCTCTGCCTCCCGGGTTCAAGCGATTTTCCTGCCTCAGCCTCCCGAGTAGCTGGGACTACAGGTGTGTGCCACCATGCCCGGCTAATTTTTGTATTTTTAGTAGAGACGGGGTTTCTCCACGTTGGCCAGGATGGTCTTGAGCTCTTGACCTCATGATCCACCCACCTCGGCCTCCCAAAGTGCTGGGATTACAGGCGTGAGCCACCATGCTTGGCCCCATTATTTTATTGTATCCTTAATTCCCTTAGCTCACCCTTGCTGAGCATAGTTGTCTGTGGTAGAATTAGCCATTGGCTCCTTGCTTGCTCTTCCAGTTTGTGGTGTTTCAAGGTGCTGGAATCCACCACCAAGAATGGTGGCTTCCCACAATGCCTTTTAACAAGAATGTGTCTCTTCAATGCACGTTGTAACTTTCTCTTTGAATTTATTGAAGAACCACAAATTAAGTCTGTGTCTTTATTGAAGCAATTCAGGTGATGGGAAGAGGCTCTTGAATCAAGAAAGAAAGGAAGAACCAGGAGTGGTGATATTAGGTAAGGGGAGATTTAGGATCACTCTTCCGCAATACAAAATGAACTTCCTGTGCTAAGAAAACTTACAGCCCTGAATAAGGAGTTGATGGCATGTCTATGCAACGTACAATTTTATTCCTGGGACGTCGTTGGAAAACCATTATATTAGATGATCTTCAATCTTTTGTAGTTCTGAAAATTTATGAACGCTTATACATGTTGCTTATAAATCCTAAATGAAAAAAGGGCTCCCTGTCTTAAATTTATGTTCTATCTAATATGCACTTTTAAAGTTTGAGTTTTTATTGCACTTCTGATCTTTTTAAAATTATAAAACCTATCATACATACAAAAGAGTATATAACACTTATTAATATGTATAGTTAAAGATTAATAAGATGAATGCCCCTGTGCCTACCACCCAGCCTAAAAAACAGAACATTACCAGTGTCTTTGAAGCTGTCTCTGTTAATGTGCATTTCTAGACTGCTTTAACTTATTGGATTTGTGCATTGCAGTGTTTTATTTGTGAGCAGTTATATCAGTGAATACCAAGTGAGAGTGGCTCAGCCATTTTTACCTTATGCTCAAACTCCTTTCAGATTTCCAATCTGTCTGATATTGGATTTAAGAACAGTTAAATCTTACTGCTTGGAAACTGATCTTTAACAAGCTAGTTTTCCTGCTTTAAAATAATAGTGTTGTTCGTGATGTTAATTTCCCTGTTTCACTTGACAATTACAGCGGGGGTAGCTTCCCTGAGCACAGGATGAGGATCAGTCAGCTTGAGTATCTGGTACAGAAGGCAAGCTCCCTGTGCACCAAAAATCTACTCAGGCCCTGGAGAAAGCAAAAAAAAAACCCAGCAGAGCATAATTAATGGAAACTATCTTTAAGTCATCAACATTAAATGTGATTGAGGTAGCAGTATTTCCTGGGTGCATGATTGGGGCATTGAAGTACTACACTTTGATTTCTGATGTGAATTATTTGTTGCCATCTGAAGTTCCAAAGAGCCAAGATTGGATGTACATATTTTTAAAAATATGTGCTTTGGTGAAAAGCAAAGTTTTGGAAGGGTAGAAAACTTTCAGTAGCCACCAAATTGTGTTATTTTAAAATGAGCAGGGAAACCTCACAGGGATGAGAATACCTAAACTGACAATTCTCAGGAGGCCCTGTCAAAATGCCCATCCTGCTAAAGGTTTGAGTTCATGGCCAAAGGCATTGTTTTTTTATAAATATAATTTTAATGGCTATAATAATTTCTGTATTGCTCCATTGTTTGGTATGTAACTATTGTAATTAATGTTGTCATAAACATATTTGTGTGTAAAACTGTATTTTCTTAAAACATTGGGGCATTAAACATGCCTATATATATATATATGTATATATATAAACATGCCCATATATATGTATGACTTAAAAAATTATTTTACGGAATGATCACTTTCCATTACAGACATTTTGAGGAACTCATATATTTACAACATGCTTGCTAAATAGTCAACATTTATCCTTATTCCTCTGACTGCCCTGGTAGAGACAGACTGGAGCCTAACTTAGAATAAAACAATAATCAACCTATTTCAACAGGTGTTTATTAGGTGCCCATTTTTACCTTCAGGTTGTTCTAAGTACTAGGAAAGTGAGGAAGTTGCAAAAAGAAGCTTAATGTGCAGCCCCGCCTTTTAGAAAATATGAAGCATGTCATTTCTGTTACAAGGAAAAGAGCTCATTCCTCTATGTCTTACTTCTGGGCTGTGTGTGTGTGTGTGTGTGTGTGTGTGTGCGTGCACGTGCACGTGCACGTGTGCGCTCATTTCTGCAATGCTACTTCCTTGCCATGGGCCTGCCTCATCTGGTTTCCAATAAGAAGAGTTCCAGATTGGGGAGCACCCTGCCATCCTGATTGGCCATCACAGATTCGTATGGCATTGATGTTTACAAGCTGTTTGCAAAGTGTTGCTTGGTGCTGCCTAATCTGTGGCATGTGCCTGCTTCCGACACGTCCTTTGTGGGAGGCAGAGCTGAGATTGGGTGGCGGGGGGAGGAGTTTGCCCCTGCACTGTCAGGCTGCACTTGAGGCTGCAGGCCACTTGTCTGAGGCAGGCACAGTAACCTCGGGAAGATGAAGGGCACAGGGGCCCTGTTTGGTCTCCATGTTCTAGAAATCATCACCAGGTCTCACCATGTTCATTCAGCACCTTTCTTTGGGGTTTTCTAGGAAATAACTCTATATACTGTCCATTTCAAAGATTTAGTTTTCAAAGTCCAATGAGATTTAGTGACTCAGAGAATTCTTAATTTAGCAAGCTACATGGTATGTGGCAGTTAAAAGTATTTTATACCCCCCTCCTTTAGTTTGGTGGCTGAAAAGAATCTACAGATTGCCTGTCTTATTCACTGTGGAAATTTTGTGGTCAACACATATTCACTTATTTGCCAACATGGTCTTCAGTGCTCCCTTTGGAGGGAAGATCTTCACTGGGCTGTGTCCTGGCTCTTGGTTGGTGAGGAGGTGGAGTTTGGAGAGCAGGGTGCAGCCTGCCAGTGGAGATTCTCAGGGAGTGGACTCACCAGAGCTGGGATTACCACTGGACTCGGAACATGAGGCCTTGGCCGAACGTGGCATAAAGGAGAGACAGGAGTTCAGTGCTTTCAAGGTTATCAGGTTGGAAAGCAGTGGCAGGGAGGGAAATAGGGAATACAGCTGAGGTCAGAGAATGGAGCAGAAGAGCATGGGCTGTGTCATTCCCATGGAGGGAGGGCGTTCCTGATGCGTTGCTGGGGAGAGATGGGAACGTAGCCCTCTGAGGAATGAAGTTCCTCATGTGAGATCGTGGCAGGTAGATTTGGTTTTCATTTTAAAATGGGAATTAAGGCTGTGAGGAGACAGGAATGTATTGGAAAATGCCTCTAGTCAGGAGATAGTAAGAAGTATACAGGATGGAAAGGGAGTCAAAAATTAGGAAAAGTGGCACTTTGAGAGGCTGAAGAAGGTGGATCACTTGAGGTCAGGAGTTCAAGGTCTCATTTTTTTTTTTTTTTTTAGACGGAGTCTTGCTCTGTCGCCCAGGCTGGAGTGCAGTGGCACGATCTCTGCTCACTGCAAGCTCCGCCTCCTGGGTTCATGCCATTCTCCTGCCTCAGCCTCCTGAGTAGTTGGGACTACAGGCGCCCGCCACCATGCCCGGCTAATTTTTCTATTTTTAGTAGAGACAGGGTTTCACCGTGTTAGCCAGGATGGTCTCGATCTCCTGACCTTGTGATCCGCCCGCCTCGGCCTCCCAAAGTGCTGGGATTACAGGCGTGAGCCACCGCGCCCGGCCTCAAGGTCTTATTTTAATGGCTATAATAATTTCTGTATTGCTTCATTGTTTGGTATTTGACTATTATATATGGGCAACATGGTGAAACCCCATCTCTACTAAAAATAGAAAAATTAGCCAGGCATGGTGGTGCAAACCTCTAATCCCCGCTACTCGGGAGGCTGAGGCAGGAGAATCACTTGAACCCGGGAGGCAGAGGTTGCAATGAGCCCAGGTCACACCAGTACACTCCAGCTTGGGTGACAGAGCAAGACTCCGTCTCAAAAAAAAAAAAAAAAAAAAATTGGAAAAGTAACATGCCATGCCAGGAAAGGAGGACCCTCAGCCACTAGTGTCGAGAGGACAGAAGCGAAGAGAGCAAACCATTTGGACTAAGAAGGCCTGAATTTGAGTCCTGGGCTTTGCCACCTACTTTATGGCCTTAGCTGAGTTACTGAAGCTTTTTGGACTTGAATTTCCTACCTTCATGTTGGGGATGATCATAATATTTTCCATACCTGGCCCAGTTGTAAGTGGATCAGGGAGATGGTGTACTGGAAAGCACTTGGTGCTCTGTGGTGTCCTGTACAAAACATAGAAAATCTGCCTCCAGTCTCTGTCTCAGTCCAGGTCCTCACCTGTCATAATAACAATTACTTTTTGTTATATACTGCCTAATTGGAAAGATTCCTGTTGCATATATGTTCTTAATCGTATGCTCTCACATATGTATTGAAAGGAAATGGGGCATAAATAACAGAAAATAGCTTGCCTCTGTATCGCCCCGGGAAATATTGGAAAATGCCATGCTAAGCCCAATAACAGCAGGGAGTATGCCACTTTTGTCTAATACTGGACATGCTGTGCTGGCACATAGTAGGTTATTGAGTTTGATATTTCGGTGAATGAAGGTCTTGCCAAATTCTTTGAGCAATGGATTTTGCATTTACACTAGCTGGAGAAAGGGAGTTACATTCAGAGCAGCCCAACTGTGTATTTTTAGTGGAAGAAGAAGGCTCTTTCTTAGGTAAGAATATAAAAAGAATCGTAGATATAGAGGTGGAAGGGACAAAAGAAGAAGCAATAGCATGGTCTCCATACTAATCCCACTTTAAAGGTGAGGGCGTGGAGAAACCATAGCTGGACAGTTAGCAACGGAAGACAGCTATGAGTCCAGACCTTTTGAGATGATGTTAAAGTCACTTAACAAGAATAAGTAAAAGGCGCTTTTCACATGTCAGAATGTTTTTTCTTGAAAATTAATGAAGGCAAATGTTCATTTTATTCCTGGTAACTAACAGCCTCTCAGAGATGTGTATGTCCTAATCTCCAGAACCTGTGAAAATGTTATGTTACATGGAGTAGGGGGATTTAGGTTGCAGATGAAATTCGTTCTTGGTTGAGTTTAAAATAGGAAGATTATCCCAGATTATTGTAGTGGGCTCAATGTAATCACAGCGCCTTTATAAGTGGAAGTTGGAGGAGGAAGAGTCAATGAGAGAGACGTGATGTGAGAAATACTCAGCCAGCCACTGCTGACTTCAAAGATGGAGAAAGGGGCTATGAGCCAAGGAATGCAGGCAGCCTGAAGAGGTTGGAAGAGGCAAGGAAAGAGATTCTCCCCTAGAGCCTCCCGAAGATGTGAAGCCCTGCTGACACTTTGATCTTAGTCCAGTGAGACCCATTTCAGACTTCTGACCTTCAGAACTGTAAGATAATAAAAGTGTGTTATTTTAAGCCACTAAATTTGTGGTAATCTGTTACAGCAGCCAATTGGAAAAGAATACAATTCCAGCATAGCCTGCTCCTGATGGTCACCTTGTGAAGAATAATGTACTGTTTGGCATTCAGATGCTTTAATGGAGGGCTAATTTATGACGTCTGGAAAGGAAGGTAAATTTAACAAGACAAGTTTGAAAGAAATAGCTGTAATTGACGAGTGCATCATTACAGGTTCCTCTTGGCCACGCTGCCCTTTTTTCTCTGCCACACAATTTCTCTGAGTGGACCCTTCTTGACTGTCGAAAAAAGTAATTAAGTCCTTTATGAGTCAGACTGACAGCAAAAGTTAGCAATCTTGTTACAGTATTAAAACTTGCTTACAGGACCAAAGACTTTATTTGGTCTTTGAAATAAAAGTAAAATCACCATCTCTTTGTGGGTTTCTTTTCACAATGAGGCATTGATTTGCTTTTGGAGAGATGGGAGCCCATTATGATTTTACTTTTTTTGTTGGCGCTGCTGATATTAAATCAGCGTACCTCAGGTGATGAGGTTATATATGCCGTGTTTTTAACTTTCATCTGCTTAGTGAATTCCTTTTGTCTTTTGATCTCTCTCAGCAACCTAGTTTTTGTTTTTAATTTTAGATATGACCCTGCTTTTCCAGAACTAGATCACTTTCATTCTGTTTTGAATACTTAATAAAAGTTCCCAAAATGAACACGAGTTTTCGTAGCCTTTTGTTTTCCAAACAAGCGAGGGCTCATTTCTTCCAATTAGAATGAAACTAAAATGCGACCAAGTCAGCATTTTCATTGGAAATGTCAAGAATGTATTTCTACAAAAATATAAACTGAACTTTACCATGTAAAGAAGGAACAAAGTCATCTGTCGAAAAGCAACTCCAGGCCCCGGAGCTCACAGAGTGCCCATTATAGTCGTCCCAGAAAAGCGTTTTCTTTACCAGAGACCTTACCAGCTAGCTCAGCCTGGCACCGCAATGGGCTGACACCAGCTCTTACTATTCTCTTTGCTCGGGGTCTGAAAAGTATTTTTTGGCACATATCTCTGATCTTTGGTTCTCTGCCTCTACAACTGGGGGTTGCTTATGACTAAATGTTTTCTGTGATAAAGTTAATTTCTGAAGCTTTTAATTTTTTATGAGCCAAGTCACCTGTAACACTAACTCACTGTTGATAAAGTCTCGCTACTATAAAGTCCGTGCTGAGTTTTTTAAAAAGTCAGACAGTTCAGTTCTCCTGTGAAATAGCAGATAGTCAATGATATAATCATTTGAATCTGACACATTCTTACAATAGCTCAGCTCCAGTGCATTTTTTAGGGGTGAGTGTGGAAAAAATAAGCTATGAAAAGCACTCATAGCCAGATGGAAAAAGAGAAGGTTTTGGTTTTCTCTCTCTCAACAGCCAATATGCCCAAATCTGTAGAATTAAAATAAAAAGCTGTTAGGACCCATGATAGGCTTACATTTTTTTCTGAGGTTTCACCTAATGATGATAGTGATCAAAATCCTGCATGATCATCATTAGAGTTTATAGCATGTTTAATTTGTGCATTAAAAATCACATTAATTGTGATTACTCAAGGCTATATATAATAATGACACAGAAATATTGTACTTTAGTTTATAAAAGGAAGCCTTTGAATCTTGGCTGGGCTTATGTGTCCTAAAGAGAAAAAAAAACCTAAAAAATTCAAAGATTAGTTAATGAAGAAGAATTAATGTTAATAATGTCATAGCTCTCTCCCCTTTTAATCCATAAAGCCCTGTTTATTAATAGCAACAGCAATAACAAGAATGAGCATATTCCCTCTTTCCCCCACCAGTGGCCTTCACAGCTTGACAGAGCGCTTCATTCTGCTGAATGAGCAACACTCAGGACACCAGTGGCCTTCCGAGTGGGCAGAAATTCCTTGGGCAGCTCCAGATCCCAGCAAACCACTTAATCAGCCTTTACATAAAAATCGTAGCCTAGAGAAGGCATTTGAGGAAACTCTTCCTTATGCTAGCCTTTTCCCCTCCATTGTGGCCTCTGGAATCAGTAAGGTTAAAAAGAGAACCTGACATACTAGACTGTTTCTATCAAACACTGAGTTTGACAGAAAATAAGCCAGTTGGGGCCAGGCGCAGTGGCTCATGCCTGTAATCCCAGCACTTTGGGAGGCCGAGGTGGGCAGATGACTTGAGGTCAAGAGTTCGAGACCAGCCTGGATAACATGGTGAAACCCCATCTCTACTAAAAATACAAAAATAAGCTGGGCTTGGTGGCAAATGCCTGTAATCCCAGCTACTCAGGAGGCTGAGGCATGAGAATCACTTGAACCCGGGAGGTGGAGGTTGCAGTCAGATGAGATTGCGCCACTGCATTTCAGCCTGGGTGACAGAGTGAGACTCTGTCTAAAAAAAAAAAAAAAGAAAAAAGAAAAGAAGCCAGTAATAACTGTTGTCATTGCTAATGATTACCAGAGATAGATCTACTCAAACTGCAGATAGAAATCCTCTGATCATGCCGTCACCCTGATTGACACCAGAGCCGCACAGTTATTTACTGAAGGGAGCCAGATGGGCAGTGATGGGGGCCTTGCACCACTGGAATGGAGCTTCTGTTTGTTTCTGAATTGCATTTATTTACTGCAGTGGATTTGAGTTGCTACTTTAAAAGCTGGTTGTTGATGTTTGGAAAATAACAACTAAAAATTTACATGGAGAAAAAGTTTTTTTTCAAAGAAAAGCCTTTCCATTTTGGTTTAAGTTGTATATAGTTAGCCAGTTTCTTCTACTTTTTTGCTTTCCTTCAGTCTGTCCCTTAATGTTCTTATTTTTATGATAAGATACCATCATTTTTATATTCACTTGAATATGATAGACTAATCTACATATGTCTCCAAGTCTTCTTTGAGTCATTAGAAGCTCTTTCCTGCTTGATAGAGTTTGGGCTATTATTAATTTGATTTCTTATTTTAAAATCTCATCTTTTTTTGAATGTGAATGTCTTCATTTCCCCTAATGCCTGTTCAGTCAACTCTAATTTCTGTTTCTTGAATCTAGGGTCATCTTCATTAGTTTAATTACTGTAGAAGCCTGTTTCCTAAATGTGCTAATAGCATGAAAATGACTTATTTCCATGTTCTCTGTTGTGCTATGCTAAGAAACAGGCAAAAAGAAAAATTTGTACAAGAAGACTGAAAAACATCTGTTTTTTTCAAATGACCCATTCAAAGCAGTTGCACCCACCCTCATCCATCTGCGTGCTAGGATTTGGGTATAAGGGGCTAAAATTGGCATAGAAGATGGGGTGGGAAGACTACCCGAGGCAGTCAGTAGCAGAAAGAGCTGCATTCCTCAGAGAAAGTGAAAGCCGGCCGGGCATGGTGGCTCACGCCTGTAATCCCAGCACTTTGGGAGGCTGAGGCAGATGGATTACGAGGTCAAGAGATCAAGACCATCCTGGCCAACATGGTGAAACCCTGTCTCTACTAAAAATACAAAAATTAGCTGGGCATGGTGGCATGCACCTGTAGTCCCAGCTACTCGGGAGGCTGAGGCAGGAGAATGGCTTGAACCTGGGAGGCGGAGGTTGCAGTGAGTTGAGATCACGCCACTGCACTCCAGCCTGGTGACAGAGCGAGACTCCATCAAGAAAGAAAAAGAGAGAGAGAGAAAGGAAGGAAGGAAGGAAGGAAGAGGGAAAGGGAAAAGGAAGGAAGAGAAGGAAGGAAAGGGAAGGAAAGGAAAGAAAAGAAAGTGAAGCCAAGGAGAGCAGAGATGCTCACTGATTCTGACAACAATAGAAATGCATGCAGGATCAGAAGGCTTGGTGCAGGGGCCGGGTGGAGACCAGAGGGAGGTGGGAGCAGGTTAGGGTGAAATGAAGCAGGTAGCAGGTATCACCTCTACTGGTAAGTAGGTTCATTGTGTGTGATATGCCAGGCTGGTTTAAAGGGCTAGGGCTGGTTATGAACAGTCCTGATGTAATAAAAATATCTTTACAATTCACCCAAGGGTTCTCACCTATTGTTGAAAAAGTTACCTTCTCTGAGATGTTTGAGCCATTATGGTGCAACCTCTATTCCAAAACTCCAGCTAAGGCCATTTCTCTGCACTCCTGACTTATAGTGTCTGTCTTCCAGTTCCCAGGACGTGAAGTTAGAAGATGGGATGAATGATATGTTTGCATTTGATCTTTCTTCTATCCCTTCTTTGCAAGATTATTTCACCTTGTTCCTTAAGTTTCACATGGTATTGCTTTTACTCCATCGATTACACATCATAAGACAATTTGTATCTTTAAAGTGAAGTTCTCAAAGTGTGGTAGGGACTCAAAGGTCCCTAAGGTCCTTTCAGAGGATCTGCAAGGTCAAACCCGTTTTCACAATAACGCTAAGACATTGTTTGCTCTTTTTTGCTCGTGTTACCTCACGAGTGTACAGAGTACAAATTCACCCGTAAGATTTTAGATTCCATGTCGCAAGTAACCTTTAAGAAACGACCAGTTGTCAAGTTTTAGTGTCCGTCAAAGAACATCAACAATTGTCTAAGAAGGCTATTGAAATACTGCTTCCTTTTCCATCTACATTTCTGTGAGCCTGGATTTTCTTTATATACTTTAAAGAGCATATCCTAACAGATTGAATGCAGAAGGAGATATGAGAATCTAGCTGACTGCAATTAACAGATACATGAAAGAGTTTTGTAAAAATTTAAAAACTGTGGCTCTTCTCACAAAGTTTTTTTCTGGAAAAGATAATTTTTTTCATAAAACATGTAATTTATGTTAACATATAATGGGGTTATTGTTATTTTAAAATAAATTAATGAATACATATTTTTTAAGTTTCTTGGTTTTGTAATATGGTTCATCTCAGTTATAATCCACATAAACAAAACTCTTTGGTGTTATCAGTAATTTTTAAGAGTGTAAATGGGTCTAAAGACTAAAAAGTTTGAGGACCATGGCTTTAAAGTAAGCATTTGTTTGGATACTGGAAAAATTCTGTTTGTTTAATGACACGAATGCATACCATAAACTTGGGTATTAATAACAAAAGGGACTTTTAAGAGCACTTATCTGGGCCTCTTCTTTCTTCTGTGCCAGTGGTCGGCACCTTTCCCTCCTCTTTCTATAAACGTGAGAAACATTTAAATACTATCTATTTTGTTTTCATAAAGTGTTTCAGGTTGCCTATAATAGTTTAATAAAAGCAAGTGGTTTTGCCCTTTTTTGCCTCAGGAATGCAAAGCCTTACAACAAAAATTTCATTGATTCTCAGTTATTTATAAAATAAAGGCCAAAGTACCCACTTCCTGAGAGGAAGACTGGAGAAACCCACTGTTTTCTCCCGATTTAGAGAGAGACCTGTGACATGGGAAGTGGCTCTGTGATTGTCTAATGAAGTCCTCAAGTCAGAGGGGAGACCAGGATGGGACCTGGTTCTTTTGAGTTCAGCTCAATCATCTCAAAATGTGCCATTCTTACTGCACCATCTTTCTTTGGTAGTATGCCCAGTGTGTGTTTAATTAAGATTAACTAACAAAAGGGTGGTCAGATGCCATGTATCTAGTGAAGAGGAGATGGCTGAGAAGTTGAGTCCTGGCACCTTCTCTTGGCTTCTGACAAGTTCACCTGGAACCTTGGAAAGTTGCCCAGCCTCCCTGGCACTCTTGGTCATCTGTCAATGAAGACTGACCCACCTGGAGAGGTGGGATGCAGCTTTATAATTTACATGGCAATTTTTGGCTGCTTTACCTCATTTAATTCTCACACAGCAAACCTCTTAAAGTAAGTAGGGCAGATGTCATTACTTCCATTTTGCAGTTGAGGAAATACCTGAGATTATGTGATCAGTAAGTGATGACACTTAATTCTATTCCTTTTCCTAACAATACAAAACCTCTGCCAATGTTTACATGAACCACGTCTCTTGGTCCATGAAAAATACATGTTCAGAGCACAGGAGATGTATTTGACTCCTCAAGTTGCAACTCTGAATTATTTCACACGGAAATACCTGTGGTCCTTTAGAATTGATGGCACTGTAAGTACTATGTTTCAGGAACATCCTGGGCTAAGCAGATGTTTGTGGATTGACATAGGTCCCTGATCACCTCTTATAGCATGATTTCTTAAAAGGGTGTTCCAGGTTCCACACAACCTATTTATAAATGAACTTTTAGAACACAAGTCATTCTGTTGTTGTGTTTATTCTTTTTATTTTGTTAAATGAACCGCATTTACTCAATGTTCTCTATTTTAATGTTTACCATTTTTATTTAGTGACTTTCTTGAAATAGATGGTATTACTAATATTTTAAGCATTAAAATATTACTTAAAGTGAGAGCACGGGCTCTAAAAATATAATATTTAAAAATGCTTTACTCCATTATTTTAATACGTATAGGGACCCTCCCCTCCCCCCCGATAGAAGACAGATTTAATTATAAAATAGAAGTGAGTGGGAAAAATTCTCTTATCAGAAATTTCCTATGTAAAAATAAAAGTTTGCTGTATTCCATCCCCTTTCAGGTAAAATTTACTTGTATTTATAAGTAGCTATCTAATATATGGTGTATCCCATGTGACTCTATAAAATCACACACTATTTCTAGAGAAGATAACTGCAGGCAAATAGCTTCCTCTATTTAAGTTTCATCTCAAGAATGGAAACATAAACCTTCCCATAGGAAAGATTATAAATTGCCTTGCTCCCTCTGCTCATGCACATTTTATACCTGTCTTTATTGTTCTCTTTAAAACTATTCAGCGTTAACCCCACACTTTCTTATATTCTAGGGGGAAATACCTTTCTATAACTATTGAATTATGGGACAATGCCTATTTTTTTTCTTTTTGATTCTTTAGAAGTTCTTAAAACTTTCAAAAACAGACACATCTGCAGAAAAGATCACATACTAATACACTACTCTTATTTGCCTTTTTCATTGCATTAGAAGCCTATTCTGCCAGTGAGGACTTCGTATCATTGTATGTAGCTGTGTGTGTCTTGATGGTTGTGTCCATCAGTGCTCTTTAAAGCATGGGAACGTGGGAAGGCTCCCTCCTGGTTGAGGCCCCAAGCTGGCAAGGTGATATCCCACATAATCCCAAACAAATTGTTCTATCTTTAGATAAGCAGATATAGTCATAATTACCATTATTGGCTCACTCCATTACTTAATAATATGGAACCCAATAGTTGTGAATTCCTTTGGTTAAGCTATGTTTCCATAGAATTAAACTTATTGATTTATTAATAATTATTTTGTTTGGACAATTTAAAGTCTTTTAATGCCTATCTGGTCACCAACCTTGTAGTTTTTATTTTCACTCCAATTTTCTGAAGTAGCAATGTACGTAACAGGAATTCTGAATTTAAAGACATGGAAAATTCCATTTAATGAGGTACTAATGAAGAAATACTGTCCTTTAATTACAAAATAAGAATTTTGAATATGACCTAGTGAAAGCTGAAGAAGCCTGGACCTCAAATTATTTCCAGCCAATTTACCTTTGAGGGTAAAATTTATTCTTGTTTTACTTATGTATCAAACAATTTATTCAAACCCTGATGAATTACAAATATACAAATATATATTTAAAAACCATGGGATTTTTAAAGGCTTCAAAATTAAATATTTAATTGTGTGGTGATGTTTAAATATAGTAATATTCTTTACAATTCTATGAGAATAAAGGAGGGAAGATGGAAGGCTCATTCATTTCCTTGAAATAATGTATTCGTAGGATAAAATATGGTATTTCTTTCTTAACTGTATATGGAAGGATTGTGATTCCCCAAATACACTGGACTCTTTCAACAAAAGTAAATATAACTGTGCATTAAAACATACAAATGATCAACAAACTATATTACAAGAACATGCATATGTGAATTCCTATTAATATTGAAAGCACTGAACCATTTTCTTCACTCAAAGTTCAGGGTAGGTTTGCTAGAATTCTGTAAGAAAGAATCTGTAAGGAGAGAATCTTTCCCTTTTTTTTTCAGAGAAAAGTGGGGGAGCAAGGAAGACATTTTAAGTTGGCCAGGTCCCTAGTGGCTTCACATTTTTGTCTTCTTTGAAATTGAGAAAATGAACAAATGTCTTGTATTCCGTGTACTGATATTGCATGCAGTCAGTTTGATGAGTCATTAGATTTCATGATTAATTTTAAGAAATCTTTCGACCTCTTCCTCCATTGGAGTTCTCACTGCCACTACTCACACTACAGAATTAGTACTCAGGCCCTACTGATGACAACTTTAAAGTGCACCTGGATCACCATTTAACAGGTGTTCCCACAACAATTCATTTCTCTGCACTCATAACCATGCCTAGCTTGTGAATTTCTTGAAAGTTGGGTGCCTTATTTTAGCCGTGATATAAATTGTTTTCACAACTTTATTGATAACTACACTGGTTGGAAAAAAACTCAAAGCCTTCCTGACATCGAAATAGATGATGCCTTTTAGGCCTGGCCCTGAGTTATTGGAGAAGATTAGTATGATATAATTTGATCTTTAAGAAGCCATTCTATTTATTACCATGTTTTTTCCCGAAGGAGTTTGCAATTGATTGTGCCCAAAATTATCAATATTTTGGTGACAAACTTTGTAAGAATAAAATATTAAATACTCTCAACTTGAGTAAGATGGCTTCTGGTGCAACTCAGATTAAAATTGGCATGGAGCTATATGGTATTGCTGATGTACTTTATTTCCAGTGGTGTGCTGGAGCCGCCTCCCACCAGCTCCCGTGAGCTGATCATGCACAGCTTTTTCCAACTATGCTTTCACCTTGGTAGTCTGAAATCAGCCATGTTAGGAGTATTTACACCAAGGAAATTGGCATATGCTACAAATCCATCCCTCTGCCCCATGAGAACCAGTTGTTAAAATATTTACTACTGCTTAAAAACCAAGAGATAATAAATTTACAGTTCTTAGATTTTTCAGCAGTATCTACTGAGAAGCAATCACAAAGGAAATATCAGGTAAGGTCTTTGACTTTGAGAAATCACAGGTTTAGCCAAACCATCTCCATCTAAGCATTTATCAAATTTCTCTTTAAACTTGAAAATCAACTGAAGAATTTAAGTCAAGTTTAGAATAGATAAATATGTCTTTGAGTATATTTTACAATGTCTGTTTGATTTAGTAGATCCTTCTGGGGACAGGTCTTTCTAGAGTTTGGAGAGTTACCAAGTTACTAAGGTGTATTTCCTCAGGGCTGCTTCTTGCTTGTTCTCAGAGAAGTTGGCCAATCACTGACAAAATGCATTTCTTTTCCCCCTTTTCCTGTCGTTTGTTTTATTTTTAAGCTAGCACTTGTATTTTGGAAAAATTATTTACTCAAAGATATCTTGGGCAGGAAAGAAAAATGTTTTACTTCAGTTATTTATTGGATCTCTATAAAGCAATATGATTTCTCCTAAGGCTAACTATATAGTAGGACTAGCATCATAAAAAAGTCATGTCTTTAAAAATGCCAAAAATTTGATTTTTTGTATAGAAAGAAAAAAAGAGCCCCTTTATTAATCAAATATATGTCCCTTTAAAAATGTTTTGAGGGTAAATTTATAGAATCATTTCCAATGTGTAGACAACTGCCATCAAATGCATTCTTAACAATGATTTAAAATAGAATGAACTGTAAGTGGGAAAATTGCTAAGGATGATAATCTCCTGATACAACTAATAGGTAATTATTTTAAGTCAAAATGTTAATTCATCAAAATCAGTTTCTTAATTCAGATATGGTTGTTATCAAGACTTTGAAAATGATAACTTTCTTTTCATCCTATCCAAAATTCTATTTAAAATTCTTTAATCCCTCGGGGTAGGAGGAGTAATCTTGAGCTCTTGCCTTCTCATCTACATTTTTCTTTTCTGACTGTGTCTATATGCTGTAACTTAGTGCTCAGCCCATTTCACATAGCAGGTGTTTTTTCCCTATGTAACATATTCTTAGAGGGAATGACTATAACAAGTTTAACCAAGGGCATGTTAAGAAATTGGGGAGGGGACTGTGCCTTGGCTAGGGATAACCTTTTTTGTTTTAATCATTTTTTTTAATTTAATTTTTTAAACTTTTAAGTTCAGGGGTACATGTGCAGGTTTTGTTATATAGGCCTTGTGCCCACTAGTTATTTTTCCTGATCCTCCCACCCTCTCCACTCTGATAGGTCCCAGTGTCTGTTGTTCCCCTCTATGTGTCCAAGTGTTCTCATCATGTAGCTCCCACTGGTAAGTGAGAACATGCGGTATTTGGTTTCTGTTCCTGCTTTCGTTTGCTAAGGATGATGGCCTCCAGCTCCATCCATGTTCCTGCGAAGGACATGATCTTGTTCTTTTTTATGGCTGCATAGTATTTCATGGTGTATATGTACTCAGCCTATTTTGTTTTAACTGAAAGACAAAAACAGGGTCAGGTAAGTCAGTTAATTTTTTAAAGTATTGTTTATTTTCCTTTGGACTTGAAAGACTTTTTTTTTCTTTTTTTTAATTGATCTCAGGGGAACTTCTATCATCTAGATGACCTTAAATTTAGCATTTCTTCTACCAGTCATCCAACTAAAACTGATGGCTACTCTTGGGTGGGTGTTACGTACATTCTAGGCCTGTGTGAGCCTTATATACATTATTTCATGAGGTTGGCATTATTATAACCCTTACTTTTTAGATGTTGAAACAGAAGGCTTGGGAATTTAACTACCTTGCCCCAGGTCTCACAGTTAGCAGCCGCTGAGCCAAAACCCATCTGCAAAGGGGGCCTAGTGTCAGTAACCCCCTCATAGGGTTGTTTTGAGGATTAAAAGAAAAAGCAAACAGAAAACTGTCCATAACAGTGCCTCCAACAAAAATAAGCACCATGTTGGAGCATCATCATCATCATCATCATCATCATTATCAAAACTAGGTCAGTAGGATCCCCACAGCAATGCTGGTAAGGCCTGCATAAAATGCCAAGTGAACAGAATAGTTGTGGCATTCCTTCCCGCTCACATGGCTGTAGACCCAGAAGATCTCCAAATGAGGCAAATGATAATAAATGCCACAGATTTATATGGCTCTGGCTCTGCCTTGTCAGGTTAAGAACAGCTTCTCGTGGTATAGGGCAGAGTGTTTTAGGCTGTTTTTAGGTCTGAGATCTTTATTTTAAAATTGAAATTAAACCAGGCAGGAAAGAAGTCGTAAGGGACATGTGTTTGAAACTGTGGTGTTTTCTGAGCAAACTTGTCTGTAATTTAAAATTGAACCTAGAAAAAAATCATTGCTCCATTCATTTATTTATTTATTTTAGAGACAGAGTCTCACTTTGTCTGCCAGGTTGGAGTGCAGTAGCACAATCATAGCTCACTGTAAACTTGAACTCCTGGGTTCAAGCCATCCTCCTGCCTCAGCCTCCCAAATAGCTGGGACTGCAGGTACACACCACCATGCTGGCTGATTTTAAAATTCTTTTGTAGAGATGAAACATTTTTTTGTCTTGCTGTGTTGCTTGGGCTGGTCTCTCAAACTCCTGGCCTCAAGTGAGCCTCCATCCTTGGCCTCCTAAAGTTCTGGGATTATAGGCATGAGAGCCACTGACATTTGCTTTTGAGCAGGTGGAGAAAGGAGACAGGAAGGGCTGACATCTTAGGGCTGTTTGGTAGGCACGACCTTTAAGGCGAAGGTTTTGTGCATTTCAACTCCCTGATTTCCTTTCCAACTTTTCAAATAGCAACTCTTGAATTCAAACATGACAATCAGAGAGTAGTCTTCCCTCACTGGCACTCACCACAGACAGCCCAGATGTCACAAAGCAAGACCCTCCTGGTTAAAAATGCCTGAAGACCACTCTCTATGTGTTTGTTCTCAGAACATATTTTGTTTGTTTTGTTTTGTGTTTTGAGACAGGGTCTCGCTGTGTCCCCCAGGCTGGAGTGCAGTGGCATGATCTCAGCTCACTGCGACCTCCATCCGCTAGGCTGAAGTGATTCTCCCACCTCAGCTTCCTGCGTAGCTGGGACTATAGGCGGGCACCACCATGCCCAAATAATTTTTTTTTTTTTTTTGGTATTTTTAGTAGAGACAGGGTCTCACCATGTTGCCCAGGCTAGTCTCGAACTTCTGGGCTCAAGCTATCCACCCGCCTCAGCTTCCCACAGTGCTGGGATTATAGCCGTGAGCCACTGTGCCCAGCTCAAAACGCATTTTTGATGTACATAAGCATTCCCATATTCTAGACCAGATTCTTTCTTTACTGGTCTCCTTTACCCAAAGAAAATAAATCTATCCCCTAATATTTACAGGACATTGATGCTTTCTTATGCATTATCTGAGAGATAAAAGGCAAAATCTTCTGGTTTTGTAAGTGTGTCCAAGTTCAACTAGACTCATATCTGTTAATGCCAGCAAAGCAGGAGGGGGGAGTGTTTTGGGGAGAAACAACTCATCTTTTAAAAATATCCTTACTCATTGTGTATTGTATTTTGTGTTACTCATATTATATGAAATTTAGGACTAGAATAATAAACATTTTTCTCTAGAGCAAATGAAGTATTTTGCTGATTTTTCATGTATAAAAATGTCCTACCTACACACAGTCTTGATGATTTTCACTCAAGAAATGAATTTTCTTGAATGGGAATATTTTGTGGTAGGGACACCAGGATAAGTCTTGTTAATGGGGAGAAAAGCATTTTTCTTTATATTAATGTTATATTTTGTATAAATTAGAAATTAATCATTTAGAGTTTGTTACATCAACTTTGATGTTTTACTGGAAAGCAGTGGTTATAAATGTCTGTCTTCCATTTGTGTTCTTAATACGTGGTCATTCTTAGAGAAAACTCTTCTCAGATAACCAGGCAACGAATGGAGGGACTGTTCAGGGCCTATCTAGGGAAGCAGGATGTAGGATTATGATGGGCCTCAGAGGCAGGCGTGTGATGTTATCTTCAAATGAGCTTATACATAAAGTTGTGCTTTGTGTTAAAGGCACTGACTTGATAAATGTGAACATTTAAAATATGTCACATTTGGGTAATTCTGCTTTGGCACTGAAGAACTTTGAAAAAATAGAAATAGCCCAGGCCTCCGTAGAAAGAGCTTTGTTGATTTGTTCCTGAGTGTGAAGAGCAGTGATTTGGGCTGAGAGAGGACTCCTGCCCCTGGATAAGCATCTGGGCCTGTGGGTCACAACTGTGGCTCCCCTAGGAATCCTCCTGGAGCTTTGACATCACTAATTTCTGGTTTCAGCCCTCATGGTTCTGATTTGACTGGTCTGTCGTGCAGCGTAGGCGTGGGGAGTTTTGCTCCTCAAAGGGTGTCTGTGCATCAGCAGCACTGGTGGCATCACCTGGGAGGTGTTAGATACACAGATTCTCAGGCCCCACCCTAGCCCTGCTGAATCAGAACCTGCATTTCAACAAGAACCCCAGGTATACATGTTAAAGTCTGAGAAGCACTTTTTACAGCCATCTTAGGCCGATCGGTCTGAATGTCACCTGAAAATGAAAGTGTTCTAGGATTGGTTGTTTTCCGTCACCTCCACTAGACTGTCAGCCCTGTGAGGGCAGGACCTGTTTGGTTTAACACTCTTCTCCCAGCTCCCATGAGTGCACCAGCCCTGCCGGGGCTTGTGTGGGTTCTGCCAGTGTATCCCCCAGGGACTCTCCTTGCCCTGTTCCCACATCAGGCCAGCCCTCTTTCTTCTGAGACCCTGATGGCCTTGCTGCTTTGTGGTCCCATGAGGCATCTCTGCTGGTCTGCCCATCTATACCTGGTATTGCTCCTATGTTTTTGCTCTCAGAGGGCCATCTTATTGCTCCCACTTCCAGCTTCTCAATAGGGCCTCAGTGTAATCTTCATGAACTTTCCAAATTGTTTTTAGTCTCACAAAGCCCACTTCCATTCATTAAAGACCCTGAGCAGGTTGGAGAGCATTTATAGTCACAGCTGAGTCTGTGAATATAACCAACAACTGTGATGACCCCTCTGTTAATAAATAACTTGGACATCAGCAAAAAAAAAAAAAAAAAAAAAAAAAAAAAAGCAGGGGGAGGAAAGGTATAAAAGATTATTCCAAAGTATTAATTGTTGGCCACTGGAAAAATAATGGCTAATTCTGTTGGTAGAAATAAAGAAGCCAAGGTAGGGATCAGTTGGGGAGGGTGGGGACAAGGATATGCCTAATTTGCACTTGCTGAATTCGAGGGAAGGATAGGTATCCATGTAGAAATGTTCTGAACATAGCTGGGGGATAACAACATGGGAGGTCCCAGTTATTACTGCAAAACCTCTTTTAGAGTCTCTTGACCTAGAATGTTATCATTCTTTCCATTCTTCCTGAAACATTAGAAGGAAATGGACTATGGCTGCCCAGGGCCCCTTCTCCTCTAACTTAACCAGGAAGAAAAGAGAAGAATGGTTCTGTTTTCATAAGTTAGTGTGAGGGGACAATCTAACAGACAGTATCTGAGAGGAACTGGTTTGATTTCATCCACTCTTATTTAATTCCTTTTTTTTTTCTTTTTGAGATGGAGTCTCACTCTTGCTCAGGCTGGAGTGCGGTGGCGCGATCTTGGCTCACTGCAAACTCCGCCTCCCGGGTTCTAGCGATTCACTTGTCTCAGCCTCCCGAGTAGCTGGAGCACAGGCGCCTGCCACCGCGCCCGTCTAATTTTTGTATTTTTAGTAGAGACAGGGTTTCACCATGTTGGCCAGGCTGGTCTCGAATTCCTGACCTTGTGATCCACCCACCTTGGCCTCCCAAAGTGCTGGGATTACAGGCGCAAGCCACCGCGCCCGGCCCACTCTTATTTAATTTCTATTATGCCCTCTCCGGTCACGTGATAACTTACATGCCAGTGTGCGATGTGGGAAAGAAAAAGAAGGCATCAGACATCACGGAAGGGCTCTGTATATTTCTCTTTCGGAACCACCTCCATTGACCCTTATTACACAAACCCTGACTGAGCCAAGGAGCCCAAACAGTGCAGATCTAAGAACTTTCGAAGACTACCTGCCCTGACAGCTATTTCAATGCTAGCGGGGAATTTCAGCAACAACCAATTTAACTGAGCACAAATGATGTGCTGACTGAAGTTTGGTAAAAAGCATGTAGTTGAGATTCAAAAGTAAATGCTGTCTCCTCTCTGAGTTGCTTGTGATTGTTAATAGACTGAAAACTGACCAAATTGGCAAGAAAGCAAATAGTTTTACTTATATGGCTATACAATTATCCTCAATTACTAAATTCAGTTGGTGAGCACCATAATTACTTTGTAATATAAAGGGCAACCTGGGGAGAAGAGATTTTTTTTTTTGTTGTTTGGAGGTAAGTGGCCATAAATAACTAAATCAGAAAGGATACAGCACGGATATACAGTTTTTGTTGTTGTTGTTGTTTTTAAGTATCAGAAAAATAAATACAACCTTTCAGGATGCTTTGCAAATGTAGGGATTTTGTCACTAATAGAAGTCTTTGAAATACATATCTGGAATGACAGCAATAGTCAGTCAGTGTGTGCTTCAGGATGAATTTATGACCTGAATTTGGTTTCCCATGCTTTCTTTAACACTGTGCTACTATGGCAAAGTTATCATTTCTTTTTTTTAACACCTAACCATTTTTCTGGTGGATGGCTTCCTATGTCCCCCTCCCCCCAGCTCTTTCCCCACAGCCCATAAAAGGTTTTCAGGAGATTAGGCAATCCCCAAAACTGCCAATGATAGTATTTTGCTAATTCTATAAATATTTCTGTAGACTTCACTCCAGTGAGACATAATTTCAGCAGTTGGAGTAATGGGCTTTCCTGCTGTTGCGTGCATTCAGATCGAAAGCTCTCTGACTTGCTGCGCAATTACTCCTATGTTTCTGCATTTCTGCTTCGTGACATTCTGTCATTAGTCTTCCCTGCACCAGGGTGTGAGGTTGTAGGGAATGGAATGTAAACATTGTCATTCTGAGATGAGCTGCCCGAAAGTTCAGCAGTGAAAATAGCAAGAATAAGTTTCCTTCCAGAACCTGGCAAAGCCATTTTGATTTGTTTGTGAACCCAGGTGGGGCTTGTTTATTGACAAACTGTGATTCTTCAGATCACCAGGTGATGTTTACAAAATGTAATGTTAAATCCCTCCATACCTCTTTAAAAATGTGTCCCCATATTTGCAAGTTTCTCAGAGAAAGGGCCACATAGTTAAGCAGCTGCTGGTTTGAAATGTAAAGTACTTAGAAAGTACCTAAGGAAAAGAGCTTTATAATAAATTTTTTAATCAAAATTTTGAACTCACCTTGTGCAGCTTTGCTCACGGGGCATGTTCAGCTCATGACTAATGGTCACTCTTACTTGACTTTGCCTATTTTCTTCCCTACTTCATTTCCCCCATGCATTGTACCTTTAAATTGTCCCGCTCTAATTTGGTATCTCTTGACTTCTGCTTCAAACTTTTAGTTGTTTCCGAAGCATGCTAAGCAAAGTCTGTGTTTAGCTCCTGACCGAGGCTTGGTGTTGACTGTGGGACATACTTACAGAATAGCAGCTCTACTGCTAGGTGTGTGTGTGTGTGTGTGTGTGTGTGTGTGTGTGTGTGTGTGTGCGCGCGCGCGCGCGCGAGTGCGCACATGTGCATGCATGAGGGACAGAAAGAGACATCTTGTTTTTTTTTAGACTCTAGCTTCCAGGAGGTCAGGAAAAATAGTGGCTCTAGTTTAATTAACATCCTGTTTTAGCACCAGTTACAGGGTCATTACCACAGTAAATGTTAGATGTTAGACTTTATCTCTTCTCCATCAGAATTTCACTTTCCACAGGATACTGTATTTCTTTCAGGCTAATCTATATTTTAATGGCTTCTAAATTGTCAATTGAGATGGTAATTAGTTCTAATTTAGTGATAATGCTGTGAACATGGAGTAAGAAGCTAATTGACATGGCATGCTACCAACTAGAATTTTATGAACTAAAACTTCTTATCTCTTGCACAACAGTGAGTGTTCTCATTATAAAGGTGCCATTCAGGAAGGGAGAGTGGCTTTGCCCACAGGTGTTCGGTACCTTGTGGATACGTTGCTGATTGCTAGGTGATGGCCAACTTTGACTTTCCAAGTCGAACGGGTCTCCCTTAAACCTGCTTTTGGAAACTTGTACTAAAAACCCCTCCTATATGCATATTTAGTTAGGACATGTTTGTTTCCAGTTGCGTTTGTTTTTCCTACTAGATATAAGGAATTCCTATGGAGGCTGAGGGATATACAAGCAGGAGAACAGCAATTCTCTGTTCAACACATCTGGATTCTGGTAGAATAGCAATACATTCACTGAAAAGTTCTTAATAGTTTACAGAAGACTTGCACATATGTGACTTCATTTGATCTCATAATTGAAGTCAGGGCAGGCATTATTATACCCATTTTAGAGCTGAAGAAACAGAAGTTCAGGGAAGTTAAATAGTTTGTCCGTGATTATTTGACTGGGTAAGTGGGAGAGCCAAGCCAAGGACTGGAGTCTTCTGACTCTTGCTTCAGGGTTTTTCTCCCAATTACATCTTATTTCTCTGACCTGTTCATCCATATAATCTTATTCTGTAATTCTAAGCAATTGCTATTTCCTTAAAAATTCGGAAAAATTACATAACTATAACTCAACTAACTCATTACCTTTTTACATCCAACCCCCAGACTCTGGAATTAAATTTTCCTTCAGTACTTACCCTACCCTAGCTCAAGCTCAGAAAAACTGTCTTGGAAAAAGAGGTAAAAAGGACAGAAAGTAAAGAGAATCAGATTGAGGGGTGCTTCTGACTTTTTTTTTAAAGAAATTTTGTCATACAACTCCCCTAAGATGTGAGTCCTAAGGTTAACCAGAGTAGTTTTTCAAAGACGCAGCTTGTCCGTTACATTTGCTGCTCCGTGGCTGATCCTGTCCTGGACTAGCCTACCAGAACGTTCTTTAGCCCATTCATTAGATGATCTAGCTCCTGAATATCTAGCACACAGACAGTCTTAATCCCTGATTTGTGTTTGTGTATGTGTTTGACTCTGATTTGCCTTTCAGATAGATTCCTTAGAAGCTCTACCAGAATGTGGACAGGAAAACAGTGGTGTGAGACCCTAACAAGTCAGCTCAGCTTTTTGTCAGCGGCTGTTACTGCCTGGGCAGGGTAGAAGTCATTGTTGAAGATGAGGTCTTTCGGTTACCAGGCAGTTTTTTACATCCTTCCTTGCCCTCCTCCTGCTCCTTTAAACCAGTGGGAGATGAGAAAGCCGAAGCTTTATCTGTGTCTCTCTGTTAGTTTATTTGTAAACTGCAGGTCAAAAAGTAATATTATGTATAAAATCCAGACTAGACAATTGCTCGTTTCATGCAGAGAGGGTTTTAAAGGAAATCAGCTGACTTCCTGACTTGCTGAATGAAGTGTGAGTTTTAGTTTCTGTCCTGTTAGGAAATGACATGTGAATAGAGTTCTTGTATAAGCAGGCTTTTATTTTTGTCAATGGTTGGAAATTTGGGAAAAAGAGAAGAGAGGTCTGTTTATTTTAGCATATCAAGATTCATTTCTGTGGCACACACGCAGAAATGGGTATTTCTGAGTCTTGGTGGTCTCGGGCCTTGAAATTCCATTTCCTCTCCTCTCCTTCTCCCAGAGTTGTTGGATTGCCATAGCAACATGACTCCTCCCCCACAACCCTGTAAGAGTAACTGGTTACAGATTTAGCAGCAAGTCAGGCCGAGATCAAAATCCAAATATAGGGCCCTGATCACAGAAGGTGGGAGGACTGAGGCCGAAGACTGCTCTGTGTCCCTTCCTGGGGCTGCATGTGAAGTGACAGGCGCTTTGCCCGGACGGTCTAGGTGGTGCTGCTTGGAGACTCCGCCGGCCTTCATGAGCATCACTGCCATGTCACAGAGGGGTCTGCACCAAGGAAGGGAATTGAATAATGGCATGGATGAAGAATATTTACTGCAGCAGTATAACTCTGCATCAGATGAAATTGCTGATGCTCTGAAAGTCAAGCATGAGACTATTGGGGAAGCAGCTATGGAAATAGGCCTTCAGTAGGTGCTATAAAAATAAAGCATGCTCTGTCCCCAAGAATGCTTCCTAGGGGAGTCTTTGGGATGCTGAAAATGGTGATAATCATATCAACAATTGCTCATGTTGATTGAGTACTTAGTGTGTACCAGGCATTGTACTAAGTACTTGATAACTCATTTAATCCTCCTAACAACCGTTTGACCTATGTGCTGCTATTTTACAGATAAGGAAACTGAGGCACTGGGAAGTTAATGAACTGCCTCAAAGTTATGTAGCTTGTAAGTGGCTGAGCTGGGATTTGAACCTCTACAGTGTGGCTCCTTAATCCAGGTTCTTCATTCTCATAGTATTGTCTCTAATGGATCTGTATGGGCTCATAAATAGGGTGTTCAAGGAACCTTAACTGTAGTTTTGGTTTTTTTTTAAACACAAATATTGTTACAGGTTGAATTGTGTCCTGCCTCCCCCAGAATGTCAAAGTTCTAACCTCCAGTAGTTATGAATGTGACCTTCTTTGGAAATAGGGTCTTTGCAGATGTAGACAAGTTAAAATGAAGTTATGACGTGATGGTGGGCCCTAATCCAATGTGACTGGGTATCCCTATAAGAAGCCGACAATGCCATATGAAGAGAGACACACAGGAAGAGCACCAGGTATTAATAATCACAGAGGCAGAGATTAGAGTGAGGCAGCTGCAAGCCAAGCAATGCCCAGGATTGACGGCCACCACCAGAAGCTTGGAAGAGGCAACGACAGATTCTACTTAGTGTCTCAGGGAGAGCATGGCCCTGCTGACACATCTTGATTTCAGACAACCTGATTTGTTTTCAGAACTGTGAGAATAAATTTCTGTTGTTTTAAGTTACCCAGTTTGTGGTATTTTACAGTCATCCTAGGAAGCTAATACAAATATGTTTTTATTGTACCAGATTCAATCAGTAAGCCCCAGTATGGCATACAGAGTGATACATGAATATTTCGTTTTATCTGTCCCTTCCCATCTTATTGGTAACTGCTAATGACAGTTTATCTCCTTTCTATGCATGTATATTTATGTTAGTTTTTATATAATGAACCTATATTATATTCATTTTCTGCTATTCTTTTTTTTCTTTAAAGCTTACTGGTATATTCTGGAGATCTCTAAGTATTTGGCTTAAAAATTTTTTTTTCAATTGCGGTAAAATACAGTTTATCAACTTGGCCATTTTTAAGTGTACAGTTCAGTGGTATGAAGTGCATTCACATTGTTATGCAGCCATTACCACCATCCATCTTTAGAACTCTTTTAATCTTGCAAAAATGAAACTGTGTGTGTATATTAAACAATCACGCCCCATTACTTCCTTCCCCTGGCACCCACTGTTCTATTTTCTGTCTGTATGAATTTGACTCTTCTAGATACCTCATATAAGTGGAATCATACAGGACTTATCCCTTTGTGTCTGGTTTATTTCATTAGCATAATGTCCTCAAGCATCATCATGTTGTAGCATGTGTCAGAATCTTCTTCCTTTTGGAGGTTGAATAATATTCCATTGTATGTATATATGTCATTTTGTTTACCCACTCATCTATCAGTGGACACTTGGGTTGCTTCCACCCTTTGGCTATTGTGAATAATGCTGCTATGAACAGGGGTTTACAAAGATCTCTTTGAAATCCTACTTTCAATTATTTTGGGTATATATCGAGAAGTGGAATTGCTGGATCATATGGTGATTCTATTTTTAATATTTTGAGGAACTGCCATACTGTTTTCCATAGCAGCTGCATCATTTTACATTCCCACTAGCAATGCACAAGGGTTCCAATTTCTCCATATCCTTGCCAACCCTTGTTATTTTCTGTCTTGTTTTTTAATAGTAGCCATCCCAATGAATATGAGATGATATTGCATTGTGGTTTTAATTTGCATTTCCCGAATGATGGGTGATGTTGGCCATCGTCCCATGTGCTTATTAGCCATTTGTATATCTTCTTTGGAGAAATGTTCATTCAGGTCCTTTCCCAATTTTTAAAATCAGATTGTATTTTGTTGTTGCATTGTAGGAGTTCTTTATATATTCTGAGTATTAACCCCTTATCAGATATACGTATGAGTCTTTAGCTTTTAAGCTGTTGTTTCTCTCTGCACCAGCTGAGAATGCTTTGGTGGTGGTGGTCATGGGGATATTGTATTCTCATTATCAGGCTTCTAGTGATAGGTTGTATCAAGGGGTATTTCACTATGGTGAGTTTTCTAACAGAGGAAGCAACATGTATTAGTCAGGGTTCTCCAGAGAAAAAGAGCCAATAGGATGTGTGTATGCATATATGTGTATATTTTATAATAAATATAATGTAACTACATATTTATAATTACATAGCTATATTTATTACACATATAATAAATCTTGTATTTTATATGTGTGTGTGTGTGTGTGTGTGTGTGTGTGTGTGTGTGTGTGTGTGTGATGAGAAATCGGCTCACATGTGTATGAAGGCTGACAAGAGCTGCAGGCAGAGCCAGCAGGCTGGAGGTCCAGGAGAGCTGATGGTGTAGTTCCAGTCCAAGGGCTGATGGGCTCAAAACATGGGAAAAGCTGATGTTTCCATTTGAGTCCAAAGCAGGAAAAGGCTAATGTCCCAGTTCAAGGGCAGCCAAGCAGGAGGAATTCTCCCTTACTCAAGGGAGGATCAGCCTTTCTGTTCTGTTCAGGCCTTCAGCTGATTGGGTAAGGCCCACCCACATTATGGATGGCACCCTGCTTTACTCAGGCCACTGATATAAATGTTAATCTCATCCCAAAACACCCATATAAAAACGTTCAGAATAACATATGGCCAAATATCTGGGCACCTCATAGCTCAGTAAAGTTGACACATAAAACTAACAATCACACAGCACTAACAAATGATGCTGTCCTCCTCTGCCTCTGCTAATTAGTTTGAAGATGAAGAACATTCTCAGGGTCTTCATTTTCCTATAGGTTTTGTGGCTCAAGTCTGTTATTGAGCTCATTCCTTTTCATGTGAAGGTATAACAAGACAAAGCAACTTTGGAGGGCTCCAGGTGGTCATTTCTAGGGCAGATGTTTCCCTTAGAATGATGTGGCCTCAAAGAAGGAGTTTTCCTTTTACTGAATCAATAATAATTTTTATAATCCCAAATTACTTAAATAATAACTGAAACTTTGTACATGTCCATGTAGCTTCTCTAAATCTCTCCTGCTTTTTAAGGCTTGAGCTGTTTTCTTTTTCTTTCATAACCTCACTGCTTCTTGCCCACTATCAGCATTTTTCTGACCCTGTATAAGCCTAAGTGAAATCCCTTGGGACATACATAGCTTCTTTATACTAAGAAACTTAAGTGTTGGTCTAAAGTATTAACAATTTTTGTGCATTTTTGGTAAAGAAAGTTCCTACAGTTTTACTCTCTGTCTCACCCCTAGATTTTTGGGCACTACCGTTCATTCATTCAGAGTTACTATACACCAGGTAGGGTGCTAAATGCTGGGGGTATGGCACTGAACTGTACACACAGAGTCCCTGCCCTCCTGGAGCTTACATTCTAGTGGGGTCTAGTGAGCTTACAAAGCTAGTACAATAAACATGCATTGCCTTCCCCACACTACCACAGCCCCACTACAAAGAAAAACCAAAGCATTTTAGAGGATGACTATAGTAGAGTCAAGATGAACATGCACTAATAAACAAACCACTTACTATTAGATATACAAAAAAAATGCAAACGATTATACGGTAATGATTTGGCTGTACCCTTTTTCCTTTTGGAAATCTCAATCTGGTAATCTGTTTGTTTTTCATTATTAATTTGAATAGTCAGTATGTGCATGTTTGTGCATACATGACAAAAACCAAAAGGCACAAAAGAATACACAGTAAAATGTAAATCTCCTACCCCTGCCCTGGCCACCTATAGTTTCCCTTTCCAGAGTAGCCACTGTTTTTACATAATTTCCCACTGTTCCTTATAGGTCTTTGCATAGAAGTATGCAAACATACACATTTGTGTTCTTAAAAACACCCCAAAACTCCAACAGGTTAAGCTCTACCCATTTGTTCTACACTTCACTTTTTTTTTCACTTAACAGCATGTCTTGATGATCAGCCCATACCAGTATGTATATAATGCATCATTCCTTTTGCTGGCTGCATGGTATTCCACCACAGGAATGTGTACTGGCAGGCAGTATTGCATAGAGACCAAGAACCTGTGGTCTGAATCCTCAATTTACCACTTATTAGCTATGCATCTTGGGTAAGTTACTTAAGCTCACTCTGTTTTAACTTTCTTATCTAAAATAGGACGTATAACAGTACTTAACTCATAAGGTTGTTGTTAGGCACGTAGAAAGTACCTAATGTATTTTATCTGTCACTATGTATAGTAATTTATTTAAGGAGACCCTATTGAAGGATAGTGAAGTTTTTGTCAACATTTTGCTTTTAGAAGCATCACAGCAATGAATAGTCCTGTAATATATATCATTTCACACATGTACAAGTTTATATTTAGAATAAATTCTTAGAAGTAGAATAGCTGGATCAAACAGCTAGGTATGTGATTTAGGTTCTGATGGAAACTGCCAGCTGGCTGTCTGAAGAGGTTATACCAACCTACAGTCCTAACCATAATGTATAAGGGTGGGCATGAGGAGTGGAGGCAGGGGAGCTATTTTAGTTTGGGTGGTCAAGGATGTGACGTTGGGATTAAATCCTAGATGATGAAACCGAGCCAGCCACGTAAGATCTGGGATCACAACAGCTGGGGCTATGCTCCACAGCAGAAATGGCCCTGCTGTGTTCAAGGACTGGAAAGCAGGCCAGTTTGGCTGGAGACTGGTGAGTGAGGAGGAGACTGCAGGGCTGTGAGTAGACAGGAAGGCAGGATTCATATAGACCCGATTTAGGATTGTGTTCTAGGTGCAATGGAAGCCATTAGGGGGTCTGAACATTGTAAGATCACTCTGGATGTGGGGTCGTGAGTAGTTGGGGACAAGTAGAGGGAGACAGGGAGATTAGTTAGGAGCTAATGCCATGCCAGTCAGCCATGTCAGAGAGTGGGGTGCCTGGTGCCTAGGGGGTAGTGGGGATGGAGGAGGTGGAGCCTGCTGGTTTTGCTGACAGATACAAAGGATGGGGAGGGGGCAGGAGGAGTCAGGGAGAGATAGGACTCAAGGACTATGTGCCCTCCTGGCTCTGTCATTTACTAGAGGTATGACCTTGGGCAATAATCTCTTCTCTCTCTGCTTTACTATCCTTTATAAAATGAGGAGAGTAATTTCACATTTTCATATGGTGGTTATGAATATATCACTTAACATATGTAAAATGCTTGGTACCTGCTAAACAAATATCAGCTTTTATTAGGTATTGAGATGGGGAAGATTGGAAGTGTTGGAGGGGGGATCTTCTTGTCTGTCTTATTACTGTGTCCTCAGCATTTGGAACAGTATTTGGCACATAATAGATAGTCACTAAATATTGTTGAATAAAATTATGTATATTCAGCTGGGTGCGGTGGCTCACGCCTGTAATTCCAGCACAGGTGGGCAGATCATCTGAGGTCAGGAGTTCGAGACCAGCCTGGCCAAGATGGTGAAACCCTGTCTGTACTAAAAATACAAAAATCAGCCAGGGATGGTGGTGTATGCCTGTAATCCCAGCTACTCGGGAGGCTGAGGCAGGAAAATTGCTTGAACCTGGGAGGCAGAGGTTGCAGTGAGCCCAGATCATGCCGCTGCACTCCAGCCCGGGCGACAGAGCAAGACTCCATCTCGGGGGGGTGGGGGGAGGGGGGAAGTACTGTTGAATAAAATGAATGAATGAATAGAAATAGGACCCATTGGAAGGGGAATGGGATTGGGTGATTGATAAGGAAAGCTTTACATTATCTGTATCAGCGGTCCCCCACCTTTTTGGCACCAGGGACTGGTTTCATGGAAGACAAAGTTTCCACGGGCCAGGGTAGTGGGGACAGGGATGGGGGTTGGTCATAAGGAGTGTGCAACCTAGATCCCTTGCATGCACAGTTCACAATAGGGTCTGCGCTTCTATGAGAATCTAATACCATGCTGCTTTGACAGGAGGCAGAGCTCAGGTGGTAATGGTCGCCCGCCGCTCACCTCATGCTGTGTGGCCTGGTTCCTAACAGGCTGTGGACCAGTACCGGTCTGTGTCCCAGGGGTTGGGGACCCTCTATCTATCTATCTATCTGTCTGTCTGTCTGTCTGTCTGTCTGTCTGTCTGTCTGTCTATCTATCTATCTATCTATCCATCCACCTGTGAAATAGTGTGAATATACTGACACGTTATTTATATAGTTAAAAATAAATTCTAAAAATATACTAACATAGTAATAAACTTAGCAGTGTCAGCAAGACTTTTAAGTTAAAATGTGTCTTTGGGTCTGATTCCCAGAACCATGAGCCAAGAACTAAAGTTTGGGGATCTGCAGATCTTGGTCACTGTATCCTGCTATGCATTCAGGGCTCATCAGTTACATCATTTTGAACCCAGGAACTTGTTTTTCAAGAACATTTGTAGATAAAAGTGAGTCTCATTTCTTAATAGTTCACAAATCACTTTTATAATTAAGAGCAGTGCCTTTAAGACATAATCTCAAAACTTATCCAGCTGGGCGCTGTGGCTCACACTTGTAATCCCACCACTTTGGGAGGCTGAGGCGGGTGGATCACTTGAGGACAGGAGTTCAAGACCAGCCTGGCCAACATGGTGAAACACCGTCTCTACTAAAAATACAAAAAAATTAGCTGGGCATGGTGGCAGGCACCTGTAATCTCAGCTACTCAGGAGGCTGAGGCAGGAGAATCACTCAAACCCAGGAGGCGGAGGTTGCAGTGAGCTGAGATCACGCCATTGCAATCCAGCCTGGACAACAAGAATGAAACTCCATCTCAAATAATAATAATAATAAAATAAAATAAAAAATTATCCAACAGGCCAGGTGCAATCGCTCACGTCCGTAATCCCAACACTTTGGGAGGCCGAGGTGGGCAGATCATCTGTGGTCAGGCGTTCGAGACCAGCCTGGCCAACATGACAAAACCATCTCTACTAAAAATACAAAAATTAGCTGGGTGTGGTGGCTCATACCTGTAATCCCAGCTACTTGGGAGGCTGAGGCAAGAGAATCACTTGAACCCAGGAGGTGGAGTTTGCAGTGAGCCGAGATTGCACCACTGCACTCCAGCGACAGAGCAAGACTCCATCTCAAAAAAAAAAAAGAAAAGAAAAAATTAGCCAATGAATGAGAAAAATAACATCAGCACTGCAAATTAAACCACCAGGACTTGAAATTTCAGTGATCCTATTTTTGCATACCACAGCCCAGCATTCATTTATTCAATCCAGAAATAGTTATCAAGCAACTGCTATGTGCCAGACACAGGTCTAGACACTTGGGATACGTTGAATAACAAAACAAAGATCCTTTCCCTCGTGGAGCTTACATTCTAATGGGAGGATGTGGGGAGACAGACAATGAGAAGCAATACGTAGCGTAAGGTAAGTAAATCACAGAGTATGTTAGATAAGTCTTGTGGAAAAAATGAAAAGTCAGGCAAGCTATGGTTGCTTGGAGTTTTGCCAAGAGTTGTGATTTTATATAGTGTGGTGTGAGCCTCAGCTAGAAGGTGGCATTTGAACAGAGATGTTAGGGAGGGAAGGCAGTTTGCATTTGCATTTGAGGGGAAGGTTGTTTCATGCACTGGGAACGGCCATTACAAAAGCCCTTAGGTTGGGATGTACGAGGAGGCTGGTGTGACTGGAGAGGAGTGATCAAGAGGAAGGGTGGTGGGAGGCGAAACCCCAAGAGGTAAGTGGTGGTGGGGGAGTCGTGCACTGGGAATCATGCAGGGCCTTGTAGGCTAAGTGTAAGCCCTTTGGCTTCCACACTCAGAATGAATTTTGGAGACATCGCAGGTTTTGAGCAGAAAAGTGGCATGCTCTGACTTATACTTTAAAAAGAGAACTCTGGCTTCTATGTTGAGAATAAACTTTAGGAGGGCAGATGTGGAAAGCAGGAAGACCTGTTGGAAGGCTGGTAGAGTAAGAGATGATGGCGGCTCACACTTGGCTGACAGCAGTGTAACTGGTGAAAGTGGTCGTGCTCTGAATATATTTTGGGTACATCTTGAAGGTGGATTTCCTGACAACAGAATTTCCTGGCAGATTGGATATAGGGTGAGAGAGAAAGAGAGGAGTCAGGAATTATCCTAAGCTTTTTGACCTGGGCAACTGAAAAGATGGAGATGCCATCACAGAGATGGGGAGGGCATTGGGCTTGGCAGGAAAGCTCAGGAATTTGGTTAAGAACATGCTGAAATTGAGATATTGATTATACCTCCAAGTCCCATTGTTGAATAGGCGGTTGGATATATAAGTCTGGAATTTAAAAGAGACCGATCAAGGGGGCGAGATATACATTTGGGAGTTTACTTTAAATACCAACTATATGGCATGGAACTGCATGAGCTCACCAGGGGAGTGACGGTAAATAAAGAGGAGACCACAGACTAAGAACTGAGTCATTTCAACATTAAGAGGCAAGAAGAGGCCAGGCCTGGTAGCTCACGCCTGTAATCCCAGCACTTTGGGAAGCAGAGGTGGGTGGATCACCTGAGGTCAGGAGTTCGAGACCAGCCTGGCCAACATGATGAAACCTCGTCTCTACTAAAAATACAAAAGTTAGTTGGGCATGGTGGCGGACACCTGTAATCCCAGCTACTTGGGTGGCTGTCGCAGGAGGATTGCTTGAACCCGGGAGGTGGAGGTTTCAGTGAGCTGAGACTGCGTCATTGCACTCCAGCCTGGGCAACAAGAGCGAAACTCCATCTCAAAAAAAAAAAAAAAAAAAAAAGAGGCAAGAAGAAGAGTAGGAATTAGCAGAAGAGATGAGAAGGAGATGCCAGTGAGGTTGGCAGAAAGCCAGGAGAGGGTGGAGCTCTAGAAGCCAGGTGAAGAAGGAGTGTTAAGAAGGAGAAAGTGTCCAAAGCATCTGAGAGGCCAAGCAAGAAGAGTCCGACCTCTTTCCACCTGGAGAAGAGACCTGGGAGTCCGCACCATGTGTCAGCACAGGGAATAGTGAGAAAGAGCCTCGTGGACACAGAGCTTGCCAACAGCAGCCCCAGAAGAAAAGGAAAGCATCTTCTTCCATCAGTTCTGGCCTCACAAGACAGAGAGGAATGAGCAGGGGTGGAAGGTAGCTTTGTAAGTGACACAGTGATGTACCTCTGACCCTATTTTGATACTAGTTACATTAAATCAGTCCTAAATGGCCTTTTGGAATCCCCAGTTGATGAAATTTATTTCTCCTTTGTTTCATGTGCCACTCAGGATCTCTTGAATTCGTGAAATTTTTATTAAGAAAGCCTCATACACCAATAAACAACGTGTGCACAGACTCCATAGCCTCTCTGCTAACACATTGCTCTTGTATATCAGGAAGGTCTCCAGCATCAAAGTGAGTCAGTTATTGCACAGAGTCCCAACCTTGCCAGCTTTTTGCCAAATGGTCACCATCCTGTACATCCTTCCTTCCTGGAAGTGATAGAAATCTCTATGGCTATTTTTGCTACAAGGAGATTATGGCACAGCATATGGAGTCCTTACTCTCCAGGGGCAAAAGAAAAGTCTTGTCTTTGCTTAAGCAAGTCACACAGTAGATGCCACAGGCTTAGGGCAACTGTGTGTCTGCATGATTCATGGGGGACTGCACGGGGGAGCCGCAGCACACGGAGCAGCTGGTCTTAGCAGCATACTAACCTGATGTTTCCCATAAACGTTGCGCATGGAATTTCCCCCATTTGTCATGCTGAGTTGGCTCTGTCAATCCTATACAAATCCCTGCGTGCATTAATATTTCCTTGAGCCAGAGCAAAGGAATTCTAGAATATTGGCATTCTGAGGGTGAATAGTGATGGATATAGTAAACTTTTAGCATTATGGATATTGTCATCTTAAACAAAATAAACATGAAAGAAAAAGAGAAGTTATGATAAATTATCAGAGGCTGTTTGTTAAATTCCCTGATTTAAAAGCATCTTCCTCTATAAGTCCTCGGTTTAAAAACAAGAATCAACAAGGAACAAGATTTGTCTATAAGTAAAACCGTTTCTGTTGCTATTTTTTGAACAACAAGAGACATTTCTCTAGGAGATTAAGCCAGTCGTTTATCATGTTGTTTCAGGGAAGAGTATACTCTGAGTTATAATGTAATACCCAGACTAATTTATCTCATCATGGAAACTATTTACAATAATTTCTGGCCTAGCTAGAAATTGAAAAGTTCATTTTATTACCTGAATTCAATGTATACCGATGTTCTAAGAGAGTGGACATTCGGCAGTTAGTGCTATTTTAAATGGTGTTGTTGAAGAGAGTTTACTGCCTAAATTAAACAGGTTGGTTTTGCTTCTTGGCATTTATTATTTTTTTGAAATCTGACCAAGTTTAGGTTTATTAACCTTAGGGCACAGAAACTCATTTGTCTCACTAGATGCCTGAGCAAGGTTGGCATGCTAGAGAGAAAGGACATGGTTTAGCAGATCCATGGACCATGCCATTTGGTACTTATTGACCCCAGCAAATTACTTTAATCCCTCCAAGCTTCTATTTCTTCATCTCTATTGTGGGGAAAATAACCTGCATCACAGAGTTATGTCAGAATCCATAAAATATTATATGTAAAGTTCTGAGCACAGTGCCTGTTGCGTGGGGGCACGAAATAACCGGCAGCTGTTATTGTTGCTGCTGCTGCTGTTGTTACAATCTCCTCTAGCCTGCAGTCATGGAGATGTAAGAAACATGGTGGCTGAGCCTGGTGAAGTTTCTCAGCGTCTCTGTTTCTTGCATGTGTCTCACACCCTTGTCTAAAATGCCTTGCTCTCATCTAACCCAGAGTTCTCTCTCAACTAAGGCAGCAGGGTTGGCGTGAGGGGGGCAAAGGAGGGAGGAGGAAGGCAACCAGCCTCACAAGTGGGGGCCACTCCTCACAGCCACGAGCAGCTGGGCCACATGCAGCACTGGCAGCCCAGGTGGCCTGTTACGGCGGGCAGTACTTCCCTTTGCCTCCCTTCGGAATCTGTCAGCACTTTTATGTGGAGTCTTCATCCCATGTTCAGCCCTGGGGTTTTAAGGTGTTTCTCCTTTGCTTTGGGATTTCAAACATGGCAGCTCATAGCACTGTACTGTCATTTCTCCTGGATGCTAGGGATGCCTGCTACTTGCCTACCTCGAGCAGATGTTCTGAATGTCAAGTCAGCATTGCTTGAAACACACACACACACACACACACACACGTACACACCACTGTTACTAGTTCTGCTATGTCTGGCTCATAGACAAGGATGTAAAGAAGCAGTCTAACATTCTGCCATTGACAAACTACTCCTTTTTAAAATGCCAAATTCTTGTAATTCTGCTTATTTTCAATAGGCTATGTCTGGCCAAAATGTCTGCTTGAATTGGCTAATTAAACCAAAATATCTATGTTTGATAAAAAAAAAAATAGCCTTGGGATTTTGTTTGCAGTGTACCCTCAAATCACCATCTGCAAGTCTGTTACTCCAAGCAAGTCAGGGAAGAGTAGCTTCTGTTGGCCCTCCCCCGAAGAAACAAAACCAAACCTACAACCAGGCCTTTACTCTTTCCCCAGAAATGGTTTTCCCTCTTCCTTCATCTCCCAGCGCCCTCGTGTCTCTCTCTCAACAGTACCTGGAAGTTTCGTGCTATGAGATTTTTATGTTTTACTCTGGGTTTGTAAATCCGTTTCATAACTGTAAAGATCTGTAGCTTATCTCTAAAATCTCTTATCTGTGTTTGGGATATAAGAGGTCCCTATTGACACAGAATCAATTATTTATTGATTTAGAAGAAGAAAAATGCAGAGTCGCAGAGACATTGTCAGGATTTATAGATCTCATTTTGGTTGATGGGACTCACTGCGGGGGAAACCTGTGCTGAGTGGAAAGGGCTCCTTTTCCAAATTTATGCTATTCTGGTTCGATTCTGGAGAAGCCGGCAGTTTTGTTTGCAGACTTTCTGGTTTTCATTAGCAGTCTGGTGGTAACAGCTAGCTTTAGCTGCTTCTTCCTGTCACTGCTCACGGGAATGGCGCTGAATGCTCGGAGGTGGCACGAGGCTTTGGGGATGGCAGCAGCTTCATCAGCATGCCCTCACCCCAGCCCTCAATTGTCACAGCAGCAGGTCCTGCCTCCGAGAATGAGAACATTGCTGATTAGTGTGCCTGGTGCACTGGGCAGGCCGTGGGGAGAGAGAATGCTATGGTATATCTCCACTGATTTCCCAACAATTACATTCTCCCTGCTTCCTACTGGCCTTCCCCTTACACACAGGCTGCATCTTGTCTTCCATTATCAAGAGTTTCCTTTTGGTCTTTCACACTAGGAGTTCACAGGTTTCTTCTCAGTGTCTGTAACTTCATTCCACCTCCTGCTCTTGAGCTTCACCTCTCTCCAATTCACCCTTTCAGTCCTGCTCAATAAAAGCTCGGCTGTTCCTCCTTAATGCCTTTATCCTCTCATTCAGCAGTCTGTTGAAAACTGTGCACTCAGAGGGAATTCCACTTAATGATGACTTGAACTCTCTAGGCTTTAACTTGTTTTCTCATCTGTAAAATGGGGATAATGGTATTACACACCTCTCAGGGCTATTGTCAGGTAAAACAAGATAATACATATAAAGTGCTCAGATTAATGCCAGATACATAGTTATCAGTAAAGGCATTATCATCAGTTTCTTCTTCATCACCAACATCTCTAGGCATACTCTGGGTCTATAAGCAGGGACCACCTGTACTTTTGGTGCTATGAGTATATGTTTAGCCCTACAGATCACAACCTAGTCTTATTTGAAACTCATTTAATGTGATGCCAATTTCCTGTCCTATCTTAATTCTAGATTCTCAAAGAATAGTCTCTTTGTCTCTTTTTTTCTTTACTGCTTCACTACACTCGTGCGTTCACTACATTAAAGTTTACAAAGCAGTATTAAAAATCTTGTTGCATTTAGTCCACATAGTGGCATATGAGACATGGAGCATTTTACATATGATAGCATTGCAGACCCAGAGAGTACATATTTTGCTTAAGACAACCCACCATTAAGAGGCAAACCCAATATTCACACTCAAGTCTTCTGACTCCAAGTCCAGTATAGTTTTTTTCTATGTGGAACAATTTTTCTGTGGAGAATCAGTGACCTTTAATTTTCTACACAGGCTTTTATCAAGAAGTCAGTAAGTTTATTGTTGTTGTTGTTGTTTTTTGAGATAGAGTCTCGCTCTGTCACCCAGGCTTGAGTACAGTGGTGCAATCTTGGGTCACTGCAACCTCCTCCTCCTGGGTTCAAGCAATTCTCCTACCTTAGCCTCCTGAGTAGTTGGGATTACAGGTGCACACCACCACGCCCAGCTAATTTTTGTATTTTTAGTAGAGAAAGGGTTTCACCATGTTGGCCAGGCTGGTCTTGAACTCCTGACCTCAAGTGATCCACCCGTCTCGGCCTCCCAAAGTGCTGGGATTACAGGCGTGAGCCACTACACCTGGCCAGAAGTCAGTAAGTTTTAAGTTCTTGGAAGGTAGATATTAGTTCTAAGTCTCTCACTAAGATGCTTATGTCTAGTCATGTATCAGCATGATGGCTTGAACTGATTTACTGGATTTCTTTCCTGGCATCTCACTAAGGGCAGGGGACTAAGGTCATGATAATGTGGAGGAGGCTTTCTCTAGGCTGGGAAAGTAGTCCTAGGGGAGCACAGACTACTTTGTTGACTGAAGGGGACTTTGTTCAATGAAGAGTTACAGTGTATACTCTGGGAATTGGTGGTGGGTAGAGGAGACACAAAAGTGGAAGCTGGTGTTACAAACCCGACATAAACTGCTGCTCTCAAGTTGGTCTGGCATCGGCTCTCCATAGAATTCTTTTGAATTCATCCTTCCCTGTAACTTCTTGTCCCTGACTCTGCCCTCAAATCTCCAGGCAAATCCTTGCCTTTCAATGTGGTTTGGATAGCAATGGGCACTGAGTTCATCTATCCATTCATGTACTGATTTGTGGAGATTCATTCAGTACCAGCTATGTGCCTGGTACTGTGTTCATCACTGAGATAACAGGAATGAAAGATCCCGTTGAGTGGATGATCCAGCTTCCTGGTATCAGGTTGAGGGGACTGGGAGAAGCAGAAGGGATGGAGAGTCGGACGAAGAGAAAAGCGTTCTTAGTCAAGAGGAAGCGAGTCTGCTGTAACCCAACCTGCAGACCCTGCATGCGTGAACATGGTGTGATCAGCCTGTGAACATTCATAAACACTGAGAGCTGCGTTACACAGTGTCACTGGTTCACCAGAACCTCTGGATGACAGAGAGCTCAGCAGTGAGCCCAATATGTGGGGTAATGGTGCTTGGAAAGCCCTGGACTGTGAGGGAAACAACCTCCCTTTCCCCAAAGGTCTCAAGGCAACTTGCTGATTCAGCTCCGTCTTTGCTTCCTCTAATATTTGGATAGAAAAGCAGATACTCAATAAGAATAAAGAGTTGAATCAACAAGGCAGGAGGGGGAAAGTCTTTAAGACAACAGGCAAGGGCCAGGGAGTTAGAACCTGGCTTCAAGCACGCCATCTGCTGTTTACTCAATTCACTTCTCTTTAAAACATCTAGGTTTGAAAAAGAACTCTAAGGGGGACAGAAAAGCATACACCTTTCCAAATGGTCTTCCCCGATATGGAGCTCACTGAGTAGCCTCATGATGAGCCTAACTCAATACAAACAAACTGCCTGTGAAGCTTCTCCTCCACCCAGTTGTTGGTGAAAGCAAATGCATACCTCCCATCTTTGATGCTTAGGTTTCAAAAATCCAAAGCTGTTCTTTTGACTTTGTCACTAAACCAGACATTGGCAAATGTCAGTCCTTTTATGGAAGTACCAGCCTTGAGCTAGGAGGTCTCCTAGGCCCGGAGATCCTCAGCAGCCCACTGTCAATAGGTGGTTGTTATCAGTTCCAGTAAACATTTTTAAATATCCTGGAAATGCCTCAACAGTGGACCTAGATATTTCCCTTTCAGCCGGTAGGCAAGAGTCGGTATGCTCTTTGAAGTTTTGCGGTGTTATAAGACACTCAAGAAAAATGTGTGGTAAAGTATTCTAGGTATGTTTAAATTGTCAGTTATTGCTTATTCTGTTTGTGCCTTCAAAGAATGTTTTTGTTAAGGAAGTCACAGGGATTTGACTTACTTCTCCCTGACTGAAGAGAATAGTGGAAGACTGCCTCCAGATTTGAAAAGAAATTAGTCACAGGTTTTTTTTGTGTGCTTTCAGCCTGGAGAACAGACGCCTTTCCACCAAAGAAAGAAGAAAAGAGGGGCTCTAATGTAGGGCAGGTGGGAGAGAAGGGCTTCACACTGGGCGGGGAAGACTGTAGGTCCAGGAGGGACTCGGTAGAACAAATGCTTATTGCGGACAGCTGGGAGAAGCAGTCAAAGGTCATTTGGGTGATCTGGAAGTTTCAGGGCAAACCACTGGGAAGGCCTCTCTTGACTACCGGCTGTGATTCAGGGTAAGCTAAAAACAAAGTCTACCTTTTGTTTAGGAAACTTTGCCATTTTCCAGCATTTTCACACACATTTCTTGAATCTGAGCATCTCAGCCCTTACTGCTAAGGAGAATGGGACAGAGAGGTGTATCTTGTCTAAGGTTACTAACTTGTGGTAAATGCAAATCTTCTCAAAGATGGGCACTTCTAATCAAATTTGGGGGTTAAATACCATACTTCTAATAGATTTAAAATAGAAATTAGGTTCTAAATTGCACCTAGTTTATTAATTTAAATGTTGACGGGTAATAGCTAACTATTATTGGGCACTTGTTACGTACCAGGCACCTGGCTATGTACTTGACAGAAATTCGTTCATTTCACCTTCACAACACTAGTAAGTAGGTAGATGTTTTTAATCGCCACAGTGCAGGTGAGAAAAGAAGACATAAAGAGGCTACATGCAATTAGTCACACAGTAATTAGAGGAGTCAGATTCAGGTAGAAAGTCCCAAGTCCAAGACCCTTCCATCACTGCCTCTGTGTGGAACCTCTGCATGGCCCTCGGTAAGGGAAGGGTTTAATTCTAGTGTTCAGCTTTAATTCTAATGGAGTTATGTTTTTGTAAAACCTGTAGTAAGTTAGTATGATTCAGATCTTAAACACATGAGTGGTGTTGCAGGACATGTGACAGGCAACATGATATGATTTTTTTAAAAAGCATAAATTGAGAAGTCAAAGGACTGAGGGCAAGTCTTGCCTTCAGTATCAGTAAATTGGATGGTGTGGGAAAATCTCTTAATCTCTCTGGGCCTCCGTTTCTTCATTTGCAATGTGGCTAACTTCTACCACTACCAGATGAGAATCTACTGGTATCTGGTGATAGTGTACTCAAACTGTTAAAAAAATAGTTATCTGAAATGGCGACCTGAAGTTCTTAAGTGACATTCAGTGTGATGTGTACCAAAGGTTGATGGTGTAATAATATGGATTTATTATTTTTAAGTTAATTTATTTCTAACTGGTGTAGTTTTAAAAATTATACAAAATATGTATGAAAATAAATTTGAATAGGACCCAAGGACTTAAAGTGAAAAAGGTAAAGTTTGGACAGTCACAGTGGCTCACACCTACAATCCCAGGACTTTGGGAGGTTGAGGCAGGAGGACTGCTTGAGCCGAGGAGTTTGAAACCAGCCTGGCAATATGGTAAGATCCTATCGCTACAGAAAACTACTTTTTAAAAGTAGTCTTACTTCTCTGCCATGCCTATCCCTATCCCACTGTTCAGACATAACTACTGTTAAGGTTTCTTCTTTCAGAAATTGGAGCCATATATAACTATGCAATATCTTTTACATTAATTTACGAAAGACTCTGCTCGTTTCTCTAAATTATCTTAATTACAAAAATATGTGACTCTAAGTCTTGCTTAAAAAATACTTCAAAGCCTGTTTTTTTAAAAAGCATAAGACCTTAAATTTATGCATATTGAATTTTATTTCCTTCCACTAAAATATGAATAAGGCACTCTGCTGGAGAATATATTTGAATTGTGAAAATATAACTGTCAACATTATGGAAGCATCAAAGTATTAAAATAAGCTTTCATTTTGTTTTGGATCTTTTAAAACATGACAACAAAAGTCATTTAAGGCATTGTTGCTTATAAGTCATTTTGTGTGATTATTCATGCGATCCAGAATACTTCTCTGTTTCCCTCTGAGTTTTGACTGTTAAGAAATGTTATGTCTTGAAAAACATCTGAAGAGGGTTGCCTGTATCTTTCCTTGCCGTTTTTTATATAGTCAGTGGGAATTTGTTACATAATTCTGTGATTCTTTTGCTTCGCAAAATTATTCTTTTTTCAAATAAGGAAGTGTTAGAGGCTTTCCTAAACTAACTGCAATACTCCATCTTTTATGTGGTTATTTCATCTCTCATTGTAGATCAATAACTCTTCCTATGGAGGCCAAGTAAATTAAACCATATGGTTTTGGGCCAGGAGTTTTCTTTGTGATCGACAAAATGAATAATTAGGGTTCGCTTTCTCCACATGGCCCAGGTTTGTCACAGAGGCCCTACTTCCTAGGCGCTGCTGAACATTATGTGATTCCATTAATTGTCATATCAGAGAATTGAGTTATAGTGAGGAAGGCTGAGTCCATATTATGTGTCAGTGCAAATGAGAGCCAGTTGAAGCTTTCTCAGTACTACCTAAGAAGAGGCCTAATGGCTTCTCTGTGGAAGCTGCCCCCAAACAGAGGGCATAAATGCAGCCCAGGTGTACTTCCCGTGCTCTGGCACCAGAACATCTGTAGGAATTGTTCAAACACATTGGTGGGCCCCGCCCTCAGAGTTTGTGATGCAGTAGATTGGGAGACCCAAGCATTTGCAAGTTCCCACGTGATACTGCTGCCATTGATCCAGGGTGCACACGTTAAGAACCACTGGCCTAGCACATTTAGAAGCCGTAGCAAGAGAAGAATGGATGGCCAGTTAGGCAGAATTAATGTACTGGCTTTGGCTTTTGAGTCCATATAGCCACCTCTGAATTTCAGCTACTGGAGGTAGGGAGAAAGAGCTCATGCTCCAAATGTGTGGACTGTTTGTGCCTATTTCATCAGTTCACTGGGAGAATGGGCCTGTAAGCACTTAATGCAAAATAATGCCTACATGTGCTTTGAATTAGAACTCTTCTTCTTGTTTTGTTTTTCAAATTTTTAAAAAGACTAGTATGATTAGTTGTATCCTGCCCGTTTAACCACTTTCACATTTCACTTTTAAAATGAAATCACCCTGCTTGCATTTAACTAATGGAAACTTATTCAACCTGCCAAACAAGGTTCCACTATCCCTGAGACAAATTTTCCAAAGGGCTGGAAACTCAATGCAGCTTTTATACAAGAAACAGAATGGAAATGTTCGAATTTATGTTACTTTGACACATATTTTCCAAGGTTTGATATTTAAGTAATATCTATTACATTGTATCTGAAGGCATTCATTTGACTCTATAAGACAAGTACTTAACATTTGGGATACCTTTTCATCTTGCTTTTAACTTCCACAAGTATTATTTAAGTTTATCTTGTTTATAATAATTTTAAATGTTTGATACGTTATTATCATCATCAACTAATATTAATGAGTGGTCATTATGAACCAACCATTGCTAATTGATTTGCAGGTGTCATCACGTTTAATCATCACTTCTCTGTAAGGAGGATAGTTACCATTTTCTCTCTTTTACCAATACTTAAACTGAGGATGATAAGGGATTAAATAATTGTCCCAGGTCCCCGGCTAGTAAGTGGCAGAACAGTTCTAGGCCTGGGTAACTCCAAAGCCTAACTGCTTCCCCACTATGTTATCACCCTTATGAAAACACACTTTTTAAAGAGCTTTCTGTGCTTGGCACCATTCAATATTGGTTCTGCCCCTAAAACCATTCAATCTAAAATAGTCAACATGTTAAGTACATTGACTATATGCTCATGCATAACAGCTGAGCAGAATAAATATTTACTCTGCGTAGAAGAGAAGTTTTATGAAAGGGAAGTCATGTTTATGTGGGATAGGGAGACGGGTGTGTAATATACCTTTTCCTTAAAATTAGGGTGGATCTCAGGGAGGAATATTTTAGGACCTCCTTAAAATTGAAACATGAGGTCTTAGTAAAAAATCAGGTTCAAAGGGCTGATTGGGTATGGAATTTACTCTCATAGATTTTGTTGTGGGAATTGAATAGGTTTGCCAGAGGGGATAGGTTCTGTACTATCCAGTAGAACTTCCTGAGCCCTACAGCTGCGCTGTTGATAAAAGTGTTGGGTTGTATAAAATGTTGAGTTGATAAATGTATGGGGGATAAATGCATAAAAGTGGAATGCCCTACAGCTGCACTGTTCAGTAGGGTGGCCACCAGCCACATGTGGCCCTTGAGCACTTAAAATGTGCTTAGTGCAGCTGAAGAACTGGATTTTTAATTAATTGCAATAGCCACATGTGGACAGTGGAAGACAATAGGAGGATTAAGTGGGAGGGGAATGGAGGCTGACTCCCTGGCACCTGTACATGGATATAGACAGAAACTTTTGTGAGACTTCTGGAAGGATACTTGTTATAGCAATAGGAGGAAACTAAGGGCAGCTGGAAGAGGTGTGGGGTTTCAGTGAGGAGATGACCAGGACAGGCACAGGACTCTGAATAGAGGCAGGAGGAGGAAAGGGCAGATTGAGACTTCAGTGCTGGGGAACACGGGAGGATTTGGCAGCCAACTTATTGTGGGTTGAAGTACAGTGAAGGTTGGCAGCTACTTCAAGGCTTCCAGCCTAGTGATGGGGGAACAGCTCCTTTTTGCATTGTCTAATTTGTGCTGGCATAGGAATATCTAGCTTGAGACACCTTGTAGACAGAATGTGTATCCTGAGGCTGTATCAGAGAAGCAGGTTGGTAGATGGATCAATTTAATGTTTGCAGAGTGGTAGTATTTAATTCATGTGCACAGATGATATTCAGAGTTGTGTGTTTGAAAAATAGTAGAGTCAGTGTGACTGGAATGGATTGAACAAGGCAGAGTGTGGTAGGAAATGAAGTTGGAGAGGTAACCTTGTAGGCTCTGGGGCTACCAGGAGCTGTGTGGGTCGTGTAAAACTTTGGGTTATGTTCTAGATGTGATGGGAAGTCTCTGGAAGAGTTGAGAAGGAGAATGAAGGCGCTTCATTGACCCTTGAAAATGACCACTCTGAATGCGGCACAGAGAGTAATGAAAGAGTAAGTGAGGAGGTGGGGGTTCATTTAGGTTGTTTCAGTACACCAGGTGGGAGAGGCGGTGGCTCAGACAGGATAGCAGTGGCAGCTGTGGAGACAAGTGGTTGGATTCTGGATAAATTGTGAAGGCAGAGTCGCCTGGATTTGTTGTTGAATGAGATGTGTGGTGTGAGAGAAAGAGGGGAGTTGAGGATGATTCCAAAGTTTTGTCCTGAGCAACTGAGTGGTATCATTGACTGAGATGGGAACACTGAATGAGTACCAGGTTTCCAAACAAGATAAAGTTTTGGACATAAGCTAGACATGCCCGTTAGATGTCCTAGTGAGGCTGTCGAGTAGGATTTGAACATGTGATCCTGGAGCTGTCTCATGATTTGGTGAGTTGTGACTTATTTTTAAAGGAAGATTTTTAAAGGAAGGAAGGAGCCAGAAGAGGAAGAGAAGCTAAATGACAAAAGTATTCAAGAGTGAGACAGAGGTTTTAGGGAGTGGGAAGTTGCAAGATCCTGTTGTGGAATGGAGGAGTTGACCCAGGAGAGAAACACGCCATTCTGCTTATACTGTCGTTGAAGCTGCAAAGCTATCTTTCGAAGGGATGTGCATCGTGTGGGGTGGTGATCACTGGAAAGAATCCCACACTTAGAGGCTTTGGGAACAAGAAGGAGAGAAGGAGTGGGCCACAGAGTATTTGAGGTTTAGTACCTGACGACATAGCAACTGGGTAGAAGTCAAGCTATAGGATGACTTTGTCGTGTCGCAAGTCAATTGGTGCCTGCTCCTTGTGCATGAATGTATTTTGGGGCCATTTAATAAAAATTGCATGCCTTGGGGTTGAATAACACAGTGGGAAGTGTTGACTGAAATTGTTTTTGCAAGCAGGCATAAGTGTCAGAATTTAAGAGAATTGTATGCTGTAAAAAGATTATTTTAGAAGGAGGAACTTTTTCTAATTTTTCTCATTTGCCTGTAAGTATTTGTCACACAATCATTTGCCTGCTTTTATAAATGTGGGATTTCTATTTACATGTCATATTTCATATTTTCCCATTAAAATGGCACATCTTGGGTTTATTTGGCATTTGTTCTTAGTCTACTTAGACTTTTAGGCATTGGAATGTTTACTTTTAAAAAAACAAGATTTTCTGTTATTGTTACTGACTTATGATATACCACTAGGGCAAGATAAGGGCTTTTGAAGAACCGTAAGGGAATACATATTCCAGAGCGTATTTTCTTGAATTCCACTTACCTCCTCTAATTCACTGATCCTTACCTGCCAAAGTCAACAGAAAGAAAGTGAATGAAAAGAAATTAAATTGATCAGACTCACAACTTGTTGGCAATTCTGATAAAAGACTTGAGATAGAGGATTTACATATTGTTGATAAACCTTTACATCATTTATTGACTCATAGTCCCCTCTGTTTCTGAACCTGCATGAGTAACCAATAGTTGCTTAAATAGATAAAATTAGAATTCTTTCCATGGGATTCCTTTCTGTTTATAGGATAGGATCCCCATGTTATTGGCTAGTGATTTTTCCTTTCTTGCATTTGTTGGAATGGCCCATTGTTGAAGATCAACAGGCATTAATCAGTAGTGAATCAGTCTTGCCTCCTTGTCATCTTGTTATAGCAGCTCCTGCGACTGGACTGTGGTCATGCCTCGTGGGTTGGCAGTAGGGAACAGGACTTCCTTCAGACACTCGTGCTTAAGCAGCTGTTTCTCTTTCTCCAGAAAACACTGGTTTCCCCAGCCCCCAACTGGTTCTTCCCTGCTGAGAAGCCAAAATATGCCAAAGTCACTGCTAGACCAGTTCCATCCCGTGATAGTGCAAATGACTCCAGTGCCTTTCCCTCCCACCCAGATTTTCCCAACATAAGCTTTTCTCCTCTTTGTCAAGAGCTTATTCTGTCATCTTGTTTCCCTTTCCCTATAAATAATCTATTTTTTCCCACCAGACTCACGGAACAGAGGCGTGCCCCACGTTGTATGCTTGCACTGAGCATTCTTTCAGCGTTCTTTACTTGCTTGACCTTTTAGTTATTTTCTTTCATCCCTACCGAGGTCTCCAAACTGAGGTCGTGAAAGGTCAGAGTTTTAAAAATATATATCAACTGAATGCTTTTCTTCAGAAAACTGAGCACCTCACTTTCTGGATATTCGCAGAGGTTCCCTGGTCTGCAGTGACCCTTGCCACACATTTCTTCACTATTTTCACTTCATGGTTTAGATGCCCTGGTGATAGTGAGGAACTGTAAATAAGCACGGTCTGAAAGTGTCAGGAGGAGCTCAGATGATCCTGAGCTCTTTGGTCTTTCTCTTGGTTTAGAATTCCTCAAGACCTATTGTAGTGACTTCTTTTACTCGACTCAGAATTCCAGGGCTTTGGTGCTCCTTAAGTCTCAGAAGAAACGCATGGTTATGGTGTCTGTCAACTTGCTGTTTATTGAAATACCTTTTATTGTAATGCACCAAGTAAAGACGAGGTGATGTGGGCACTAACTTAATGATATTACACAAACACACTTAATTGCACTTAGGGAGTTCAGCATGACATTAGTGATTTCATACAGTGAATAAGTCTCTTCTCTTTTGTTTGACAAGTTTTGTTGTCATTTAACAGATTTGCTTCATGGGAGGTAAACTTATACTTTCTAAGGATGAATGAGTGCTTTGCAACTAATGGGTCATATGTTGGAATTTAAACATATTAAAGAGTTAATTCATTTCAAGAACTTACTAGTAAATATGCACTACCCACAAGAGATTTTTAGAATAACCTCTTTTGAATGATTAATATTTATATGTAATCATGTGCATATTTTATTTGAGATTTTCAGGGTATAAATGTCGATGCAATTTCCTTTAATAAAGGAATGATATATATGAGCCAAAGTAGTGATGTATTCATCATAGATAACGTCTCACTGATTTCCATTTGCCCCCGAAGGCATCCCAAATTTGGAAGGGCCATTGTTGTTTCATCATAGACTCCTTGGCCATGACTCTTATATAGACATCTGAGGAAATGCTGTGGCAAGTTTCTTGTACCTACTTTGGTAATTGTAAACCATCCAGGACCGTATCCTTTAGGTTTAATTTATCTTGCTCCTCTTTGCCCCTCTTTTCCAAGGGAGGGTTTAGAAGATGAATTATACTCAAGAGTTAGTGTTTCTCCAGAAGATCAGACCACAAGTTGTAGAAAGCACACCAGAACTTTGCACTTCTGCCCTTTATCTTAATTCCTAGCCCATGCTTAAGCCTTTTAGGATCTATCTACATCCACCTCACATAACCATCTAGAATTCTCCCAAAATCTTGTTTCAGTAGCCTGGGAATCATGGCAGTTATATCTGCATTTGTGTGTTTCCTGGCCATATAGTAAAAATGGCAAAAGAGATTTATATGGTCAAATCCCTAGCCTTTCCATTCCTTTGCTTTATAAATGAATAACAGTGATCTAAAAGCGAAAGAATGTAGCTAACCAGTGTCATTTGGGATCTTCTGAAGTAGTACGGAAACTCCACATTCTTCAGACCAACTTGCGGCATGCCAGCACATTCCTCTCCGATGAGGTGGAGGAATACTGGTGGCTGGCCTGGGACTTGTAGGACTGGGGCGGGGAGCTGCTGTTTAAAAATACATTTAATTATATTCCTTCTCTGCAGTAACATTGATACCATTTTTAGCCCATTACAAATACTGTGATTTTCATTTAAATCACGTCCATTATCTTATTGACCTAGTTTTTATTTTGTAATCAAAATGTTCTATTTCTGGATAGCCTCACCCAGAATCTTTTTTTTTTTAAAGGTTACAGACCCTTTGTGCAGTTTTTTCCTTTCGTATCTGCGTACAGATGGGCTGCATCTGTGTTCACACAGCAGAAAATGGTACTATATTGTTCCCTTTAAGAGTGTGGGTTTTCTCTACTTAATCTCGGACTCTTCATGGAGACACAGCTGGCAAGATGCCACGAGACCTCGCATTTGGTAACTGTTTTGGTGAATGGATATTGGGAGAGTTAAGTAATCCTATTTCTATTCGAAATGAGAATCCTGATTCTCTTCTTCCATTTTTGCTCTTTCTCTGTTCGTCTGCTAGTTCCCTCTGTGAGCCTTCTCTTTCCTCCCCGCCTCTCCAGCCGTCCACTATGAACCTCACGTAGCCCTGTCTTCATTCATGCCCTCTCGGGTGCTCCCTGCTGCTTGTAAGATCCCACTTATTTCTGGCCTTTGCTTTTTCTACATTTCTTTCTCTCCTGTTTCCTTCTTTCCCTCTTACCTTCTCTTCCTTGCTGTCAGCCATGTATTTCTGCACTCTGGTTGGAAGCTCACCCTGCAAAGAACACCCCGGAGGTGTTTCCAGGGCTCAGCTGTTTTTCACTCATGTCTAGGCAGGGCCTTGAGGCCCCTGAGGAACTTTCAACTTTGCCCTCAAGACTTCCTCTTAATATTATTATTATTATTATTATTATTATTATTATTATTATTATTATTATTATTTGAGGCAGAGTCTCGCCCTGTCACCCAGGGTGGAGTGCAGTGGCGTGATGATCTCTGCTCACTGCAACCTCCATCTCCCGGGTTCAAGCAATTCTTCTGCCTCAGCCTCCTGAGTAGCTGGGATTACAGGTGTGCGCCCTGACGCCCAGATAATTTTTGTATTTTTAGTAGAGACAGGATTTCACGATGTTGGCCAGGCTGGTCTTGAACTCCTGACCTCAAGTGATCCACCCACCTTGACCTCCCAAAGTGCTGGGACTACACACATGAGCCACCGTGCCTAGCCTCTCAATATTGTTTTTCACTGTCCTTCTTGACACATGAAAATAGGCTGTGCTTCTCTTGAGGCAATAATTGGATCAGAATTTTAGGATTTTTGCATGACCAGCCATTTTATTTTGTAGGCGAGGAAGCAGAAGACCTGAGAATGACTTCCCCTAAGATTCTGAGGCAATGGAGTGGCAGGACCAAGTCAGCCACCCCATCTTCCCCTTCCCACTATGTGGTTCTCCTCTTACTGCCCTCTGTCTTAGCCGGGGAATCTTACAGATGTTGCATCTGGTGCTTCCTGGTGTTCATTTCTTCCAACCACCATTTGCCCTTGCAAATACCATTCGGTATGAAAGTATTTTAGAGCAACTGAGTCTTCAGTGTGTCACTTTATTGCCAAAAGAAGACACAAACGATGGAGTACAATGGTAGGAGTCTCCGGCTGGGTTCTCAGGGATTTTCTCAGGAATTATGTTTTGCTCCAAGTCGTTTCAGTTGACGTATTCATTCCTCAGAACCGGTAGATGACTATGACATATAATACCCAAGCTTGAGCTCTTTCCTGTCTAACTGGAGTCTCCCTTTTAATCAGGAAACCACATTTAAAGCTGTGTCCTGAACTCTGCCCAGCATGTCAGCTTGGCCAGGAAGGACAGGGAATTCCTACTGGTAGTAGCCACTGGGGACTGAGGGAGTCACGGGAGGTCAGATGGGAGCTTAGCAAGAAAGACAGCAGCAGCACAGGGTACATTCAGGCTGCTAGGATTGTCTTTTTGTTTGCGAAACTCCCTCCCTGGTTGAGGTCAGGAAAAACCTAGGATAGCAACCCCCTGGGCCGGTGACCCCACACTAGGATTTTGTGATCTAACCATTTAAAAAAAATTGTTTTTAATTGAGGAGGTTTAACATAGTGTTTAGCTTTGATCTTGAGAAGTAAGGATATTAAAAACAGCAATGTTGAGATTGTCATGTAATGTTACAGTCCTTTCATGAAAGAACAGGCACTTCAGAATCAGAAGTAGGAAGAATAAAATCTCAGAATGAAGGCTAGTCCTCTATTCTGTACACACGTAGCTTCAGGAAAAACTTGTACTGTGTTATCCAGATATTTCCTATTTAGCCACAGGTCAGCAAAAATTCTATCACAGAAGCAGTGTTGGTCTGTGATACTTGGGAACCACCAGCCTTCACTCCATGGTTGGTGCATCCCTGCCCCTGTTTCCAGGAGCAGTGTGCATGAGGAAGATGGCGTAATGACAGCACATCAGTGCCTGGCTCATATGTCATCAGTGCTCAGGAAATTGAGTTGATTTTTATTCTCTTAGATAGTCCATATAGCAGAGACATAAATTAGGCTGGATGACCATTTCAGGTTGGATTTCAAGGGACACCGCTCTTCCTTGGCTTTTTTCATCGGAGACTAGGATCTTAGCCTCAGCTTTGCAGATCTGAAGCTGGATTTTTATCATGTATTTTATGGATGACCTGGAAATACTTACACGTCCAAGCTCACAGGAGGCTACCCCATAAACAAAAATATCAGCTCATTATTTTGCGGATGAAAGATAGGCTTTTTCAGAGACCACATTGATGGATCAGTCTGCCTCCCAGTCATATGTCCTTCCCACAGCTGGAGGTAGGGAGTGGATGCTAGGGTGGCAATTACGGCACACACTTTCCTTGAGGAACACAGAATCAGTGCAATGGCAGTTGGTTGACTGAGTTTATTCCAGTCAAGTTAAGGAAGAGCCCATTCTACTTCATTGACATTGTTTTCTCTTTGTTGAGAGACATTAAAACATAGTGGTTAAGAATATAGATCCAGGAGCCGGGCGCAGTGGCTCACGCCTGTAATCCCAGCACTTTGGGAGGCTGAGGCAGGCGGATCACCTGAGGTCGGGAGTTCGAGACCAGCCCGACCAACATGGAAAAACCCCGTCTCTACTAAAAATACAAAAAAAAAAATTAGCCGGGCATGGTGGCGCATACCTGTAATCTCAGCTACTCGGGAGGCTGAGGCAGGAGAATCCCTTGAATCTGGGAGGTGGAGGTTGTGATGAGCCAAGATCATGCCATTGCACTCCAGCCTGGGCAATAAGAGCGAAATTCAGTCTCAAAAAACAAAAACAAACAAACAAACAAAAAGAATATAGATCGGGAGTCAGAATGCTTGTGTACAAATTCAAGCCTTGCTTCTTACTACTTTTGTGGTATTGGGCAACTTATTTCACCACCATTTTATCATCTGTAAATGGGGATAATAATATTTGCCTCATAGGTTTGTTTTGGTGAGGAACAACTTAAGTTTTGGTGAGGAACAAACATAGGTTTGTTTTGGTGAGGAAAGGAGTTAATACATGGAAAGTGCTTAAAATAGTGTTTGGCATATAATAAATGGCAATAAATATTAAATATTAACATGTAATGTTAAATAATACTTAATATTATTACTAATATTACCAAGGAAGCTAGTTTTGTGGTGGACGTGGAAAAACGAACACAAATCAGACAGGCAGAATTGGTTAGAGTCTTACCCTTTAACTTTCCTTACTGTAGAATTCACTCTCCACTAACCTATGGTTTCCATTTGTTATTCTTCATTGTTTCAGTGGATTTTCCAACTGTGTCACTCTGTCTAGATTGTTCTTTAATGATTACATTTAGAGTTGACTATTCCTTGTTGACATATGGAGAGACGCTTTGATCTGAAACCATCAAAGGCTTCTCTCTCCATGTCACATCTTTGGAGAGGCTTCTGGTCATGGTATGTGGACCCATGTCAGCTTCTCTTTCTAGGTCACCACCTTTTTTGGCCTTTACCCCTTGAGTTTGAACTTTGACTTATTTAGTAGTGGCAAGAGAAGCCCCATGGCTCTTGATATACCAAGTACCAACCTGTCTGCCAGATACTGAAAGATGCCGAGATACTTACACAGTTGTTCTTTAAAATAATAAGCTGCACAAATAATAGTAAAGCTGATTCTGAAACTAGTTTTTTTGTTTGTTTGATTGTATGTTTTTTGAGATGGAGTCTCACTGTGTTGCCCAGGCTGGAGGGCAGTGGCGCGATCTCGGCTCACTGCAAGCTCCATCTCCTGGGTTTACGCCATTCTCCTGCCTCAGCCTCCCAAGTAGCTGGGACTACAGGTGCCCGCCACCATGCCCAGCTAATTTTTTGTATTTTTAGTGGAGACAGGATGGTCTCGATCTCCTGACCTTGTGATCCACCCGCTTTGGCCTCTCAAAGTGCTGGGATTACAGGCGTGAGCCATGAAACAAGCTTTTTATGTGATTTCTCATATTTTGCCAAACCAATAGGGCAAAGAAACCACTGACATGATTTTTTTTTTTTAATTTCTCCTCTCCCACCCCGCCGGAGAAACTAAACAACTATTTTACAGTGGAAGCCAATAGCAAATTGACTGGTATTCAGGATGCCTTTTGTAGAAGGCATGCATTCCATCTTATCTGTAGATATGTCTAACACCTGTAATATGATCATTTTTCAATTTCCTCACTAAACTCACAGTGATAAATTACAGTTAATATTGGCCATTAAAATATTCTACTGTAAAATATTCCAGGTACCTTGGCCACTGAAGCAAATTAATCCATCTACCACCTATCTGTGACATAATGAGAAATTTAAAATGATAATCAGCTGAAACTTTCCTTCTGTAAGTAACACTGTCAATTCCTACATCGAAGAATTTTTTCTTAAAGCTCTATTGCCTTCCCATCTCTTCAAGGACAGGTGTTTATTCCTTGACTCCTATATCACTTTCCACTCCAGCTAGAATTAACGATGTAATTGGGCTGTTTACTTATTTTTTTTGTTCATCGCCAGATGAGAAGTCAGAGGGTTCTCCCACCAGATGCTAAGTTTCTGAGAAGAGAAGAGGTAGTAGGCTAGAAGCACTGACTGTTTCCAGCTTTGCAGTCAAGGTTTTCTACTAAAGAGTATTGCATCCTGTTGTCAAGACTGTGTTGGGTTTTCTGCTTAAGGCATGGACATCTCTCTGGTCTTCTGCAGTGATGTGGTCCATGTAAAATGACCAGCAGTCTCCTTTCTAGGGGTCAGCTGTGCTGTGTAAGTGGAAATTAAGATTTTCATATAGGGACCGTCCACATCAGCCAATGAAGAGCCACTCACCCTTCCACTAATCCTCTGGAGGTGAGACTGTCCTATTTGGGGTCTACTTTGCATTTGTTGGGCCTGGATAGTCTAAAGACTACTTGTTTGTGAGATCCCATCTATCCCAGGATCTGAGGCTCTGTAGGTGTGAAAATATCTTTAACAGCCACAGAGCAGCTCAACTTTAGGTTCTAGGACCTTGTAGTCAAGAATGTTCATGAATTGAACTCCACGAAGTAGATGTTAGAGAAGTTTTAAAAGAGAATGTGGCCGGCCGTGGTGGCTGACGCCTGTAATTCCAGCACTTTGGGAAAGTCGAGGCAGGCAGATCACTTGAGGTCAGGACTTTGAGACCAGCCTGGCCAACATGGCGAAACCCCGTCACCACAAAAAAATATAAAAATTAGCCAGGTGTGGTGTCAGGTGCCCATAATCCCAGCTACTCGGGAGGCTGAGACATGAGAATTGCTTGAACCCAGGAGGTGGAGGTTGCATTGAGCCAAGATCGTGCCAGCACACTCCAGCCTGGGTGACAGAGCACAACTGTGTCTCAAAAAATAAAAAGAGCATGTAACTATTTGGCTTTCCAAATAATTGTGTAAGGCCAAGGTATCAGACCACCCAGACCTCCTCACACTGGCTCAGTGACCCCCTTGTAAGACAGGTGCTGTGCTATATTCTCCTGCAGGGCCTCAGCCAGCCTCAAAATTTTGACCTTCTTTTCTGAACAAATGACCACTGAGTCCCACCTCTAGCTAGGCCCCCATCCTAAGCATGGGACCCGTATGTCCAAAAGCTTGTCTGACATCCTGCTCCAAGTAGCCAGCTGGCCTCATCACAGTCAACTTGTGCAACAGGAGCCTCTTCCTTACCCAGCCACTGTCATTGACTTCTCTGTGCCACTGGGATATTCCCACAGTCACTCTGGCTGAGCACCTTGGAACTTCTCCGAATACCGTGTCCACTGAGTCTCCAAATGAGGGTCATTCCATCTCCCCAGTGTTCCTCCAAGCCTCTCTACTCATTTCCCATCCTAACGTCCTTACTCTTCACCCTCTTGCATAGCCTCGTATTACTATTGTCACTCATTAGAAGTCAGGCTGAGGATTCGAGCATGCCCGTGGCTGGGCACCTTTTCCACGCTTTGTGGGGGGCAGAAGAATCAGGGCCAGGCTTGTGCTTAGGCAGGATAACCTGGCCAAGTAACCTGGCCTCTCTGAGATTCAGTTTGCACACCTGTAAATCAAGAATGCCTGGCTCACAGGGCCCTTGAGGGCTTGATGTCATAAGGAAGAAATCAGGCAAGGAAGGAAATAGACAAAACCTGGAATCCAGTACTATATCCTGTTTCTGACTGCTAGTAATATTAAAAGGATATGTGTTTTCTTGGTCCCTTACAGAGGTTTCCCCAGCCTTTTTTTATGCCCAGACACAGGCTAACATTTGTTGAAGACACTAGGGTTACCCAGCTATCCTGGGTCTTGCTCGGCTGCTTGAGGACTGATGAGATCAAAATCTCTATGGGTGTGGAATGCATTTGAAATACATCATAGTTGGGGACTCAGTCTCACAGTTCCTGAGCAATATGCCATCTTCCCTTGGTGGTATCCATTCATTCTTATCAGAGCTCTGTGTGTGTGTGTGCGTGCGCACGCACACACATGTCCGTCTGTCTCTCTTTTTGGTTTGTTTGGTTTCGCAGTGTGGGTTTTTTGTTTTTGGTTTCTGAGGGATTTTGATTATTTGTTGCTCTTACATAACCTTCTTTTACCTGGACAATGAATAATCAGTCATCAAATGACTCCTCATCCTGTGTCTCATTCTTCAGCAAATATTTACTGTGGTTATTCTACGTGATGCTTTGGGGGAACAAAGGTAGATGAATATGTCTCCTCCCCAACCTCAGGTGCTGATAGTCATGAGGTATAATGTGAAACCTAAAAATGAGGGGGAAGAGCCAAGGAGCCCAGCTGTTGGAGTGTGGGGTAACCCTGAACTCTGGAAATTTAGTTTGGAAACTACTTGTGCTGCAACATTACCTGGCCAACCTCAGAACCCTGTACAATAGCACACCCAGAGACAGAGTTTTGGTGGCCTATGGCCTGATGTCCTCACTGTGGGTCATGGGGGCTTGGTGCTGGGTGGCGAGGGAGAAGTCAAACAGGCCTTTTGATTAGCCGAGCATGGTGGCGCATGCCTGTAATCCCAGCTACTCAGGAGGCTGAGGCAGGAAAATTGCGTGAACCCGGGAGGCGGAGGTTGCAGTGAGCCGAGATCGCCCCACTGCACTCTAGCTTGGCAACAGAGCGAGACTCCGTCTCAGAAAAAAAAAAAAAAGGGCCTTTTGTCAATCATCATTCTCTTGTTTCAGGGGTTTGGTGTATCTAATCTCCCAGACATCAATGATACCTAAAGTCTTCTTTCTACGGTGCTGTGTTGTTCACAACTTGCCTTATTTCCTTTCATCCTCATAGGAACATGGGAAGTAGGCATTATTTTTATTTTCTCCATATTTTAATTGAGGAAACCAAGAATCCTCTGAGAAGCTAGGTAGGGTAGCTTGTCCCAGAGAGTAATGGGCCAGGGACATAAGCCAGCCCAGGCAGTTGTCACTCAACCATCCGCTTCTCTGGAGGTCCATTTGCCCCAGCATAAAGTTTTGTCACAAAGTCACTTCAGTGTGCAAAGAGAAAGTTTCCCCTAATACTGATGGGACACTTATCCCCTTGTGGGGAGCAGGAGTCCAAGGAGCTTTGAGTTTCCAGAAGAGGAGGATGACAGGTCAGGAAAGACTGGAGACAGACTTTCTTGATGCTACCAGTGGTGAAGAATCCAGTCATCACAACTCATTTGCCAGCTTGGCTGACTTTGACATTTGCTGTGCTCTGGATGGAAGGACTGGAGAAGACATCAACTTGAAAGTTTAAAAAAAAAGAGAGAGACTGTCTAGAATCTGATTATGTGTTTTAACAGCAGCCCCCTTGAACCACATTTACACAGCTATTTTACAAAGTGAGATCCGTGCATAATTTTCCACCAACAACTTTGGATGGCTTCCATTAGACTTGGTATCCAAGCATATCCCTCCAGTCCTGTCAGCCACAGAATTGTTTGCCTGTTAACATCTGAATTTCTGTGTGTAATCATTGCATTGAGAGCTCAGGGAAGCCAGTTAATCATACACTATTCAGGCATCTTTTTAGTTCTCTGGAGGGTTTTTCCACCTATGGACTTGATCAGTGAAGTCCTGTTTCATGAATGGTGTGAACATAATAGAGTGAAAGGCACTGCGGACTTTAAGTCAGAACACCGAAGTTCTTGACCTCGGGCAAATCACTTGTTTTTTCCAAGCCTCAATTTCCTTATCTGTCAAGCAAGATCATAAAGTAGCTTTAAGAATTTTAGAAGTGCTTTATAAATAGAAAAGTGTGATTCAAATCTCATCTTTTGGTCCACATGCATTTTTATATCTAGGACAATGATATAACTTTACTTACCTTGACTTATTAGATTAACATAATACAGAACAAAAATTCTTTTTCATACCTATATTTTAGATACATAATGTGGATTCTATAGATTTCTTTGATGCCTTTTTATTCCCAAAGAGTTCGAAGCTGTGCCCCTGGTATGCCTGCTGTATTTATAAGTCTGTGATTGGTTAGTCAGTTGGTTAGAACAGAGGGCTAATTAGCAGATTAAAGCAAGCCCCTAAAGTAGACCCTTGAGGAATCTGCTATTCCAGAGTCTCCTATTCTGTGAAGATAGTTCCCGTCCTAGTTAATGCCAGCATTTGGATCTGTGGTCTGTGCATTAACCTCAATCCTTATCGAACCTTCTAGTGTGGGTCATGGATTCCTTCTTTGTGCATGCAAGTTGGCTTTGTGACTATTCCACAGTCACAGATCACACCCAGAGATTCAGCCGACTATTCCCGGATATCTGATGTTTGTTGCAAAAAGGTTAGTGGGAGCGTGTGGATGACTTGCCCCAAACCCATCCCCACTACTGGAGAAACACCTCTACATGGCCTGAAGCATCTCTGTTCTGAGGACAGCCCTTTACATTAACAATTGTTTACCAGGTGCCGAATGCTTATCATCTGAGAGAGCAGAACTCACAGGTGTGCAGGCTAGGTAACAGGAATATATGCTTGAAAGCAGTGCTTTATCCACTATCTGGAAAAAAAAAAATATGTTGAGCAGGTATTGAGATTGGCAGCCGCCATTCACACAAAGAAGAGCCAAGAGCAAGGGGCTGGGAGCCAGAGAAGGTGATCAGATTTGGCAGGTAGAGGTGACTCTCAGACACAGGGACACTCAGGGCCTTTTTACTGCAGCTACATGTGGGAGCTCTCACCTGAAGTTCTTCAAACATGTCTCTCTCTGGAAGGGGTTTTGATCGCTTAGTTACAGATGGAAAACTCCAGCATAGTTAAGGTAGATGACCTAGTCAGCCCAGAGATCAATGGCAGATTGAAATAACACCTGTGGATATTTTGCTCCATTTAGATGAGACTTGAAGGGATAGAGGTCCACAGGGAGCTGAGATTGAGGCTGTGCCTTTCTCTTGTTTCACATTAAAGAGTGTATGATTATTGTACTTATTGGCAGAGAGACTCCTACTGGATGGGACACTTATTTTTTTTTTTTTTCATTTTTTTTTTCCTGAGACGGAGTCTTGCTTTGTTGCCCAGGCTGGAGTGCAGTGGCACTATCTCAGCTCACTGCAACCTCCACCTCCCAGGTTCAAGCGATTCTCATGCCTCAGCCTCCCAAGTAACTGGGACTACAGGTGCATGCCCCCACACCTGGGTAACTTTTGTATTTTTTTTTTAGTAGAGACAGGGTTTCACCATGTTGACCAAGCTGTTCTTGAACTCCTGACCTCAAGTGATCTACTTGCCTCCGCCTCCCAAAGTGCTGGGATTACTTCCTGAGCCACTGCACCCAGCCTGAGTGGGACACTTATTGATGTCTTACATCCGTCACAAGGGAGGGTCCTTGTGGCCACCTTTGGCTCCCTCAGCACAGGGTGTGGGGCTGCTATGGCCCTGCGATTCCTACACGGTCTGCACACCCCACGTTGACCCCCAGAGAGGTCTTGGACACCAAAGGGGATGCCCTGGGAAGTTCTGCCAGGGTTTCCTGTGCTGCTGGGCTGCTCCCTGCACTGGGCAGTAAACCAAAGGTCACAGACTCTGCAGACGTACAGCCTTTGTTGCACAGTGGAAGTCCCAGACCACAGGGGTCCAAGTTAATTAATCACACTGGGGAAACTACTCCATTGAAGTTGGACATAACAGGATGAGAGAGAAGTGACTGAAACTGATTAAGAATGGGCTTAACTGAAGAGCTAAGCTGCCTCAAATCCTTCATGGAAGTTGACAGGATGTAAATAATAAATTATAAATAAACAAAATGTAAGAGCTAAATAAAGTTCCATTAAATATACCATCCCTCACAGATGCAAATGTTTCAAGGTGGAATTAGCTAACTTGTGCTTGACATTGAGAGCGGATCCAACCTCAGATACTTTTCATCCAAGTATTTTTATCCAAGCCCTATAGAGTAGCAATAATGAGTAAAATGATAGACCGCGGTCTAAAGTACTGAACCAAGGCAACTAAGCTGATTTTTCAACCCAGCCTGAACTTGAGGGATTAAAGTTTTTTAGTCAAAAGATCTTAAGACACAACGTGAACCTTCGCACCACATGAAGCATGAGTTCCGTCAGGTAAGTATACATTCTTCCTTATAATTTTTCTCTACTTAGCTTGACTACTTTTTTTTCTGTCCTATTTGTAGCATTGTACTGCACCTTAGGAGGGGATTTATCCAATAGTCAGTGAGACAAAAACTGAGCAAACAAAATTACTCTTCCAATCCCTAGAAAGGCAGCAGGTTAGAGACTGTTAGGTCTCACGTGGTCATTTTTTCCCCTACATTATTGGAATAGATAATTAGCTCTTTCTTTGGTTGAACCTAGGGGAGGTACTGTGGGAGCTCACTTAATCCATCTGCCAGTTAACATGTTCTCTCTCTTCCCTGTGAATGAGCGCACCAACCTCTATCTATGGCAGTCAGTTAATGGGCTGCTCTCCAGTGAGCCATCCCACCCATCCCATCAGCTCAGTTGGGGGCCTGTTGAGAGTATGTGCTCCCAAACCTAAGTATGCCAGTTGTACTTATTCTAAGACATGTAGCTAAGTAACGTTTAAACAAATGAAATATGAGTGGGAGAAGGAGAGCTGTCTCGAAAATTATATTGTTGCCTTGAAAAGACTTGTTAATGATGAATTTGCTAAAAAATAAATTGAGGCCAAATTAAATACAAACAAGATAACTCTAAAAGATTGAGGAGAAAGTCAAAAATCTAGGCAGATTCTGTGGTCAGATGGCTTTTCAGTTGCCTTTGGGTTTTTTTTCTCTTCTTTAAAGAAAGAGAACCTGAAAATCATAGCAAATTTCCTGGTTTATACAGGAAAGATAATTAGGAATTCCAGACAGTGGACCCATCTTCAAAGATAAGGCATGGCCCCTGTACTTCTACCAAGTTTGAGATGAGTATACACTTATAGTTTGGATTAAGGATGTCTTTTGTAGGGGCGGCAGCCGGCTGCGTTGTATAAAGTATACCTGTCTAATGAGCATATAAAGATGCTGTCACTCAACAGGTTACCAGAGAACTGAGCCAGGCTGAGGAGCGCGCAGACACACATCGCCCTTGACATGCTCATCGGGACACAGACCAATTGAGGGAAACTGGGCAGAACCATCTTTACACTTTCTCACAAATGCACTTCCTCCCTCTCTCCCCACTTCCTTCTCTTCCTCCTGTCCCCCACCCCCTCTCTTCTTCTCTCTCCTTCTTACTCCCTAAGCAATGTAGTTGAGTTCAAAGAACTTAATGCTCCTATGATGTGACTCTGAAATAAACAGGGAGAAACCATTTGGAGTTGACCAACAGAGTATATTTCAAAGTACTTGTTCCATGGAAGATCTGATCTTTGGCTTTAAAAAGTTTTAAATATGTTTAATTATGTGAATCCAACACACACACACACACACACACACACACACACACACACACTTCCTTAAAATAATAAGCTTTAATTTTTTAAAGTGTGACTTAACATTAGATAGTTCAGGAAAACACTTATTTCTCCTAAAGTGAGATCAGGTTGTAGTGAAACAAATCTTATTTGAAGTGTCCTAAAATACAGTGTGTTTTAAGTTGTTTTCTGTTCTCTTTGGTCCAAAAACATTTTGCAAAGACCTTCCTCTGTCTCTGTGTCGTGTCTAGATTCTATAGTGGAGCACAAACAACTGCAGGAAAAAATGTGAGAGTGCCTGTAGATACTGGAACATGTTAACAGAGGTATTTGAGAACCCTCAGGAAGAATAACATTTTACAGTGAGGTGATTGTTATCTTTAACAATAAAAGCCATATGAATGTGCTATAATTAAGGCTAATGTGGAATGCTTAAAATCATAAAACAGGTATGATCATTGGATTCCTATTCACCCAGGGAATGCAGATCCCAAAGATAAGTATGCCGGAACATGAACTTTGTGAGAAAACAGGAATCCACCCACCTCCAATAAACAAGAGACTGTCCTTCATTTCAGTTATAGCTCTTCAGGGTTTAATTTGGATAGATGTGAGGTGTTTTATTCTAGAGCATAAACTAGATGCTTCTTTCAAGTTAATGGGGAGCAACTGATGGCTACTGGATTAACTAGAAAAGAAATGTTCCTCTCTGCAGTTCTGGACAATACCACAATTTAATGACATTTTACCTGAGTGGACTTTTAAGAAGGATAGATTTGTCTTTTGCCTGTCAGGGCATAGATCCAAATTCAGAGCAGATGGTGGGAAAGATGAATGGCCACAGAGATCTCCAGGTAGAATTGGTTGGATTTCCTCAATCCTCATTAATTCCTGATTGATAGTCATCCATCTCCATCTTCTCTAACCATCCCTAATGAACCCTGATTTCTGAGGATTTTCTGGGTCTAGAATAACTAAAATGTGCTGACTTAAACCCAGAACAGATAAGATAACTACCTGCCTGATGTTTCAGGCTTTTGAAAGAAAGGGGCTTGTCTCAACCTGAAACCCCATTTTCCTTACGTTTAGCAATAATACAGTCATGGATTTTCTGTTCTGATAATAAAGAGACACAAATGGGCAGGATGTGAACCCCAAAGCTCAGGGAGAGTGTTTAAGAGACAAATTGCTTCTATGTTGTTCAGGTAAAACCTAGTAAAAGAGAGACTTTTTGGTTCTTAGATTGTCTGGCAAGAGACTCTAAGCCATCCTTGACCAAGCAGGACTGACAGGGTGTCACCCCAGCTATGGGAATGAGGCATAAGAAGAAGCACATGATTGTGGGGAAATCCCAGAAGTGTTCTGGGCCACTGAGGTGAAGAGAGGGCCCCAAGATCAGTGGAAGGAGGGACCCAGAGGAAGTACTGGATATAGCAAAGCTACATGGATTTAAAACAATGCCTGTGTGGGCGTCTTGATTAGTGGCCTGATATTCCTCATTACTTCCATATTAGGGCAGGCTTAGTGACATACAGTTGTCCCTCCATATACACCAGGGTATTGGCTCTGGGACCCCCTGGATACCCATATCCATACATACTGAAGTGCTTCAGTTGGCCCTGCAGAACCCACCTATAGGAAAAGTCGGCCCTCCATATGTGTGGATTTCATGTCCTGCAAACACGGTATTTTCAATCTGTGTTTGGTTGAATAAATCCGAGTATAAGTGGCCCTGCGCATTTCAAACCCTTGTTCAAGAGTCAACTGTAATTGTTTTTGCTTATCCTGGCCATTCTCCTGCTAACCAATTTATATTATTATTTTGATTATAATTGTATTAGCTCCCATTCTGAGCCAGATGCCATCAGCTTATAAATAGCATGTATTGTCAGAGACACTTAACTGAGAAGACAAATGATTCCCATTTAGGATGGGAATTTTTGTGCAATTGACAGGGAGCATTAACCCTTTGATTACCATAAGCCTATAGACACATAGGTACCCCCAAATGTTGGAGGAATGGCACAAGCTAGCAAACCAAACACTGTCAAATCATGGGAGCTTAAGACCCTGGAAGAAAGTGCCCAGGAGATGGACTCTTAGTTTTAAGAAAAGTTAAATAAGTGTAACATTTTTGGTGGTCCTTTTCTTCACTTGAGCAGAATGACAATATTTTACTAGTCCACCAAGAAAGAAATCGAGATTTAAACCAACTTCTCACCTTTTGTGCAAGGCCTAACCTCAGTAGCTATTAAAAATAAATGGGATTTAAATAGATGCAGAAGCACCTATTTAATTTTTAATTTCACGCTCTTGTATTTTGCAGAGCAATTTTAGGTCAGCTTGTGAGGGCTGGTTGAGGGGAAAACAGCCCTAAGAGACAGCTGGGAGAGAAACAGGTTTTCAAGTGCAAGACAAAGTCGTTAGCTCAGGGTTCAGCTGTTACCAACTCTGCAAGTGACCTCAGCTCAATATCCTTATCTTGAAAATGGAAATGATAATGCTTACTGTGTCTTTATGAGATGTGATGGTATCCATGATTGGTGGCTTTGAGCTGAAAGTTTGAGGGTGGAACTTCTCTTTTCTTCCCTAGGGGTCTCCATGTTTGTAGGTCAAAGTTCCAGGTACAGGGAAGGCATTGGCTTTGCTCTGTCCTGTGTCTGTGCCTTTGTTACACATGGTGACCAGGACAGTCAGCCACAGTGTCCAGTTACCCTGGGTCATCTCATTGAAGAGCCAAGGAGAGGCAAATGTCATTCTTCCACATCCTGCTATTCACCTGGGATCACCAGCCTCTCTGTTGCCTTCTCCCTGTCACCCAGGGCGAGTGACTTGTGGGGACGGCTCTGTGGAACCCTTCTCTCTCTTGCTGTCATGTGCAATTTGTTTCACCAGTAACTCAGGTGGATAGTAATTTTTCAATCACAGCTTATCTCACACCCTTTACTTTATTTTCTGGGTCCTGCTTACTGAGTCTTTACCACACACCATGCATTCATGCTTAGCCTTTGCTTATGTTGTCTTCTTTTTAAATGGAGAGAACTGTGGACAAGAGAGGTTACGTGAGCGCCCCAGACTGGACAGCTGTTCAGTGGTGGGCCTGCCTGCCTCGGGAGCCCTGAGGGCCTCACCCTCTGTTTCTCATGCCTTCCTGGCACAGTTGTCTTCCAGCTGTTCTCTCCACCCCGGCCCTCCCGCAGGCTGCCACCAGATGCATCTCCACACACTGCCGTTCTGATCGGATTTCCGCCTCAAAAACTGCCCATTGTTTTATAACACACCAGCCCTCTACAAGTTGACCTTGTGAGTTTTTGTCCCTCCTGCTTTCCCAAAACCAGTTCTCAGATACAGCCCCATGTTCTGTGGCCTAGTTCCTACATACAACTTGTGCCTTTGCACAGTACCTTTCCTCTACTTGAAACAGCCTCTCTTCACCTCCATCTCCCAATCTCCAAGCCATCCTCGAGGGCCGAGCACAAATTCTGGGTCTCTGATGCCTTCTAGGACTGGCCCAACTCGAAGCCATTTCTCTCCCCTTGGAGTTTAGGGGGTACTTATCATAGAATCGCTCAGATGGCATGATATGTGAGGCCTGGCAGTGAACTTATTTTCTATTTGTCAAGATCCCCTAAAAGGATCTTGGAGTTTACAGGTGAGAAAGCCACAGAGGGGTTAATGACAGTATTGGGACCAGCGTCCAGTTTCCCCAAATGCCAGACTGGTGATTTTTTCTACTGTAGCTTTCTATCTCTGTCCTTACTTGGGCAAAGACTACATCCTGTCTGTATTTATTTGTATTAGCTAGTGGATATTCAATAAACATTTGTAGAAACCAAGGAAAAGAAAGAAGATAGGAAGGAAAAAAAATGCTAGTTAACACCTATGTGGCACTTACTGTTTTAATTTAATCCCCCTTCTGGTTTTCTTCCTATAACATCCTTATGACATAGATACTATTCTCATCATCTCTATTTTACAGGTGAGGAGACCGAGGCAAGAGAGGTTAAGTAACTTGCCTAAAGTCACAAAGCTGGTGAGTGACACAGTTGGGTGTGAAGCCAGGGAGTCTGACTCCTGAGTCCATGTTCTTCTCTCTCCACCATATCACTCTGCAGGGTCAAGAAGGAATGACAGACAGGGAACTCTGAAATGTTCACAAAGAAGGCTGAACCTCCAATCAGTGCCCGAGGCCATAGAGCAGAGGACATTTAGGTTAGGCTACCATGCTTTATCTTCCTTTAATTTAAATTGAGGAGAAATACCACCATTAAGCCATTCGTGGGAGAAGGAGGCGCAGCCACAGGGCTGTGGAGTCAGTAGCTACAGCTTGGATCATCATGAAGCTCTCTGAACCCTTGACCCACATTTTCTCCCTTACATCCTACTCATTAGAGGAGACACAGCTAAGGTACTGTTCAGTGGTTCACATGCCCCAGCCTGGAGCCCGTTAGAGAAGGGGAAGCTGCTGCTGTCCTCCTTGGAGGCTCTCCCTGAGCACCTGCTTTCCACGGAATGCTCAGGAAAGAAAAAAGTCACAGGGTTGAAATGTGTACCGAATGTGTCAAGTTTGGCTGAAACAAGCTGATAAAGAATATTTAAGGAGAGCTTTATTTTTAGAAGCAACGCTTCTTTCTTTTTTTTTTTTTTTTTTTTTTAGAGAGAGACAGGATCGCACTCTGTTGCCCAGGCTGGCTGGAGTGCAGTGGTGCGATCATCGCTCACTGCAGCCCTGAACTCCTAGGCTCAAGCAGTCCTCCTGCCTCAGCCTCCCAAGTAGCTAGGACCACAGGCGTGCACCACTACGCCCGGCTAGCACTCCTTTCTTTAGTCCACTGTTGGTGTTGGTTTTTAACTAGGCCCCCACTAGGTATTGCTGTTCCTGCCTATAATTAGCACCTCTTTTCTCTCACACACAGAAAAGTCTGTCTTAAACATATTGTGAGCTTCAGAGCATGTTAAAGAAAGTTGTCTGTCGCTTAGTAGCATGGAAAGATGACGTTGCCAGCATGCAGGGAACGCTTTGCACCAAGAATCCCGGAGTGAATCGAATAATATTCCAGATTCTATGAATCAGAGCTGAATCATGTTTAAGTGTATGCTGCGTTTTGAGGGATTCCCTTCTGCCCCCCCAGCCCCCTGGGGTGAAAAGCACTGCTTTTCCTGTGTAAAGAAAAAACGTTCACACCCAGACCAGTGAAATGTTTTTGTGGCCACGTTGTGAACGCACTGAGTGTTTGTTGTGGCCCAACTAAGACAACTTTATAGATTAATGAAGAGTGATGTATCCTTTCTTCCGAACAGAACATTTAGTTCTCGCTCTGCCTGTCTGACCCCAAGCAAGTCTGTCTGGCCCCATCCCTCATTCCCCGCCCCCATCTGCACCACCCTCTTGTAAATCTCTTAGTACATTTTTGTGATCGCCGTCCAGTCTGTTCCTAGGCATTAAGGACTCTCTGAGCTTTGTGAAAGTAGGTTACCGTTCATCTGGTTTCTTGGAAGAAATGTGCATGTGTAAGGGTAGCTTTTCACATAAAAGACCAAAACCACGAAATCCAGGAAGCCAAGAATGAATGGGCCCAGGTGACTTGCCTTTCTTAACTCTTACAGAAAGCGAAGCTCCTTCAGGGCTAAGAAAGGCATTGCTGTGTAGAGGACGGAGCCAGACGAAGCCTGGGGGAGGCAGAACTGGGTTCAAGCCTCAGCATTATGTTTTACCAGCTTTTGACCTCGGCCAAATGACTTAACTTTTCTGAATCACAATTCCCATCTGTAAAATAAGGATAATAAAGCCTGGCTTGTAGGCTTATTGAAAGAATTACAAATATAGGATATAAAGTGCCTAGCACGTGGTATGTGATTGATGGTAGCTGTTGTTATTGCTGCAATTGTTGTCTTCATATCATTGTTACCACCTCTACAAGTAGCTCTTGTATGTGGAGGGAACAGAGGAGAACTTAACTGCTGTTGCCTCCCATGCTCATAAGACATAGCTTTGACCTTCAAGACTACCTGCATTCCTTACCAATAGCAGCTAAAATTGCTCCTAAAACAACAAAAGTAAATATAAACATTGCAGCCACATAGAGATGAACACAAAGAAGGAAGTGTTCCTCATTCCAGCAGGAGATCCCTTAGCTGAGTGAATTCTTTTTCCCCTCCTTCCACCGATAAATATTGACAGGCACCCACCGAGGATGTGCAGAGCTCAGGCGTGGCTGAGGGGACCCAAGTTGAATCAGACATGGATTCTGTCTTCAAGAAGCTTACCATCTGCCAGGAAAGATGAAAAATGAAAGATAAGTGTGGCGAAAGTGAGGCAGAAAATGGTTAGATCGTAAGAGAAAGATCACTGAAGGGCTCTGGAACTTGGAAGGAAAAAGTAATTTTAGCTGGAGTTGGGACATGGGAGTTTTATGGAAGAGGCAGCCCAGCCCAGCAGCATCACTGTTAGGGACACAGATTCTGGGGTTTGAACCTTGGCTTTACTACTTATTTGTTGTGGCTTCTTGTGCAAGCTAGGTCCCATCTCCATGCTTCTGCTTCCTCATCTTTGAAATCTGGATAATAATAGTACCTAGGGGTGTTGTAAGGATTAAGTGAGATATGGAAAGTGCTTAGAACAGCACCTAGTGAGTGCAATGGGAGTGATTGTTAAATGAGTTTGTCAAAGGACAGGTATAGATTTGGCCTTCAAGGAGAGGTGGGCAGTGTTTGTCCAGGAGGAAGCACAGCCAAGGCAGAGGCTGGGCTGAGTGAGGCACAGGGTTAGAGAAGGTGAGAGGTGCAGAGGGCAGCTTGGGACAAGTGTCAGGCCTAGAATCTTGGACTTTACTGAACACGTGGAACGAACTCAGTCTTCCAGAATTCTGTAGTGGGTGTGTGTGAAGCCTGAATCTGAACCTGTCTCAGAGTAGGTTTCTACATCTCAGTGCCAGTGAATGTGGCAATGAACCAGCTGCCAGCAGGCATGAAATCAAAGCTTGGATTATCAGGGCTCAACGCATAGGCCTGAATTGACACCTCAGGGAAGAGGTGCGACAGGGCCCTAGCAGGAAGCTGAACTTTGGGGCAAGAGAAGGGGTGGTGCTGCAGAGGCATTGGGGTGGGGGCAGGAATGGAGAGTAGTGTTAGGGGGAGATTGGGAGATGGGGAGAAGGAAAATGTCACACCATTACCCCCATCTACTGCTTCCTTTTCTGTTTATAGTGTTTTTTTTTTTTTTTTTTTCTTCAGGGTATAGTCAGCCATTCTGCTTTGGAATTTGTTTTTGTTTTTAATTTAAATTTATTTTTTTTTGAGATGGGGTCTTGCCTTGTTGCCCAGGCTGGACTGGAACCCCTGGGTTCAAGCGATTCTCCCACTTCAGCTTTTGGAGTAGCTGGGAGTACGGGCATATGCCACCACATCCAGCTGTTTTTTTTGTGTTTTTTTCCCTCTTTTAAATTTTTTCGAGCCTTGGGATGCCTGTCAGCCACTTAAATGCAGTCATCTTTACTCTTCCTAAGCGCAGAAGGGTGTACGAGGGTGGAGGGAAGGTGGGAAGATTAAAACCAACCGTGGGAGACTATTTTCAGTCATCTGCAGACGTCTCACTTTGTCATGATGTGGAATCTGTCACTCTCTGCCTCCTCTTCTACCTATCTATAGCTGGAATTCCGTAAGACTTCAGAAAAGGCTGACTAAGGTTCACAGGGCCCCTGAGAGGGTGCCCTGTCATCCTGGGATTTGTTTTCCAAATTAAAAATTGGAGGATTTGAACACTAGGTTTGATCTGCTTTTAACTTTAGCTGCATAAAGGTTATCATGAATTTTTTTTAAATCTAACTTATTAGACAAGAATAGTATTATTTTTTAAGGGTTATAAGGATGTAGGGCAATTTCTAAGACCACATGTAAGTCATTTAAAATTCTTTTTGGTACAAGGTAGCATGTAAATAAGTCTATGTATGTACTAAATCAAGATCAATTACCATAAAATGTCTGTCTGTAACATGGGAACAATGAAATGATGAAGTGCAACTGTAAAGTAATTTGTTGCTCTGAAACCAGCTATGCATCTTCCCACGAAGTGACTAAGAGTGAAATATCACCGTGTTAACAGTTAGGAGAGTGATTTTCTGGCCCAAGATACATTTTGCCGGCATTAGAGACTCACCGGAAGAGATCTTGAATGATCTCCAGAGAGGTACCTGGGACCCTTTCTCGAAGGTTACCTTGCAGGCTTGGAAGGTAGACAAGCATATTTGTAAATGATGGGAAGTATTTGCTGATTTGGGCTTTAAAGGAATTTACTTTCATATTCCTCCAGTGGCTCTTTTCCAGAGCACTATAATCCATGCTTGGAAACTATTCTTTATCCATCATATCCTTGCTGAAGAGTAAAGTTTGCCCCACAGCTGTCTGACAGCCAAGTCACCCCAATTTCAATGGGAGCAGCACATGTTTGTCCAGAGCTAGAATTTGGCTCTTTCACGCTCAGGCCTAAAGGGCCTGTTTAATATATTATGTAAGAAAGAATGAGATCATATAAATAGTCCTGGCTCCTACCTTGCACCAAAAGTCATCCTTATTTGGTGCTTCCAAAGTTAGAAAACAATACAGGCAATAAAAACATTCTCAGGATCATGAATAAATAATGGCTACCTTGTACTCAACCATGGGTTTTGTGACGGCAGCGTCAGCATAGCGGGCTGCCTGCTGCTTTTAGCACTGGAAATTTGGACTGGTTTCATTTAACCTCTCAGCTGCTTAGAAGGAACACTCTGGAAGTCCACTGAATTCTCACCTGCTTTCGGGATGCCCAGGCATCACTGGGACAAAGCTGTCTACCGAAGCCCTGGGTCCTGTGGGCAGGGGTGGGAGGGCTCTGCAGCCCTTAGGAGGGAGCAGCAGCCCAGCCCCAGCAGGCCATCTACAGGGCCTTAGGCAGCTGAGTCTAAGAAGAGAGAGCCTAGCACTTCTTCCGGTCATCTTATTGACTGAGCTGAAGGGAGATCAAATTTCGGTCTTCTGTCTGTGTAAATAGTAATGGCTATCGCTCTTAAACTTCAGACCTCAGCTCATGGATCTGGATTGGTTTATTTTTGAGAGCTGAACTCTGGAGGCCACTCTTCCCTACTTTCTGAAGCGTTTGATGCCTCTATCTGAGCATGGAACCTACTCTGAGTCATCAGACGCCACGCTTAGGGCACATAGAATTAAGTCGGGGGAGTGATGAAAATTCATTCACTTCTCTCCTCTGGGACCTAAATCCATTTTAGCATTCCACTTGAATCCAACAAGGAATGCCAAAATATTAAAGTGTGGCATTCTCATTCTTTTCTCTGGAAAGAAGTGTTTATGCAAAGGAGGCCTAGGTCCCTGCAGAGTCGGCAAGAAGCCTGGCAAGAGGTTTGTCTCATTTAAGCAGTAAATATATTCAGTGGCAGCAGAGATACTGCCAAGTAAGTTTATTCCATTTTTAGGGAGGGAAGGGCAGGAGTTTTGCTGCTCCTTTAAGTTGCTTTTTGCTTTTAAATTTTTTGCATGAGGTTCTCTAAAAAAGTAAGACTGTAAAAGCAGCTTGTTCAAAACTTGACCTCTTCGGCATGCCCAAGAATTTGTGAAACAAAAGAGAAGGCAATGGATAATTGATTCTGTTCTCTAAAGGCCCTTCTGACACTGGTCAGGTACTGGTGTGGTTTCTACTGGTGTAGAAACTGGTGTAGATACTGGTGTAGATACTGGTGTGGTTTCTACTGGTGTGGTTTCTACCATGCAGGCGTTTAGTCTCTGCCAGCAGGAGGACACAGATGGTGTCTACCTTTCTACAGATGTCTTTAAATGTCAAAGACATGAGAAGAGAATCTATTGACATTCTTATCATTGTGACAATGTGGTAGATCCCTTAGCATTACCTATGCCCTAAATGATACTCAAATAAGTGGGCTAGGGAAAGATTTTATTTTATTTTTGAGACAGGGTCTCACTCTGTCACCCAGGCTGTAGTGCAGTGGCATGATCACGGCTCACAGCAGCCTCAACCTCCTGGAAATCAAGTGATCCTCCCACCTCAGCCTCTTGAGTACTGGGAATATTAGGCCCGTGCCATGATGCCCAGCGAATTTTGAAATTTATTTTTTGTAGAGATGAGGTCTCACTGTGTTGCCCAGGCTGCTCTCGAGCTCCCAGGTTCAAACGATCGTCCCACCTCAGTCTTCCAAAGTGCTGGGATTACAGGTGTGAGCCACTGTGGTTGGCTCAGTAGGGAGAGATTTTAAAAGAAAGCAGAAGGCCAGGCATGGTGGCTCGCGCCTGTAATCCAAGCACTTTGGGAGGCTGAGGCGGGTGGATCACCTGAGGTCAGGAGTTCGAGACCAGCTTGGCCAACCTGGTGAAACCCCGTCTCTACTAAAAATATAAAAATTAGCCGGGCGTGGTGGCGGGCGCCTGTAATCCCAGTTACTCAGGAGGCTGAGGCAGGAGAATCACTTGAACCTAGGAGGTGGAGGTTGCAGTGAGCCGAGATTGTGCCATTGCACTCTAGCCTGGGCAACAAGAGTGAAACTCCGTCTCCAAAAAAAAAAAAAAAAAAAAGGCAGAGAATCCCCTACCATGGAGAGCAGCTTATTTTATGACCAACAAGTCACAGAACCTTTGAAATTTTTGCTTGAGAGTCAAACTTTAAACTTATTCCTTAGCTATGCTTTAGGTCTGACTAAGCAATAGTGTAAGGACATGAGAAACAATGTTGCAGCAGGGGAGAGCTTCAAAGTCTTTACTTTGTTACTAAATGTGAGATTTAGGAACTGTGTGATTTAATTGAAGTGATTGCTTCTGGTAGAATTCAATAGAGTTGTCATATCAAATTAAGTTTTATCGAGTTTCACCAGATAGGGATATTCACTAGCCTGAATACCAACACAGTATGTGCTCACCACATTTTTGAAAGTGAGGCGAGAGTCACCCTGCAGTACAAATGAGCTTGCCATAATTGGCCTGTTTTAATACTCTGTGGTTATGGGGACATCAGAGCTCCCATGAACAAGTGAGAGGTTTGTTAGGAAGATCTCACGGTAGAGAGTCCTTGCTCGTGAGGTTTGGAAAACTCAGTTCTTCAGTCAGTGTCTTGCACAGGCACAAACCTTAGCCTAAATATAGAAGGCTAAAAAAGAATCCTTCCACGGGAGGGCTCCCTTAAATTAGCTCAGTTAATCTATTCATCTGTGTGTGCTGACTCGTGCCTAAACATTAGAGGCCAAATCCAAAAAAAGAAAAAGCAAGGCCGCGACTCAATACTAAGAAAGATGGAGAACAACTGAGTATGATCCTGTACAAAGGAGCCCCTGAATACCACAGCAGCTCCATGTTCGATCTGAGATGTACTGGCTCCTGACAGTCACCCTAACTACTTCACCTCTCATTTTGGTATTAAAAGTGCCTTTGGCGTATTCAGATATCTCCATTTTTCATGGTTGTACTCAGTTTTCAAATCATCCTATGGTATTGGTTTCAAACAAGATCAGAAGTTCTAAAAAGATGTTAACCATTTTATGCTTTTAGTACTTTCCTTTCTTTTCTTTTTTCTTTTCTTTTCTTTGAGACAGAGTCTTGCTCTATCACCCAGGCTGGAGTGCAGTGGCACAATCTTGCTTGGCTCACTGTAACCTCCGCCTCCCAAGTTCAAGCGATTCTCCTGCCTCAGTCTCCTGAGTAGCTGGGGCTACAGGCACGAGCCACCACACCCAGCTAATTTTTTTTTTTTTATTTCTAGTAAAGACAGGGTTTCACCATGTTGGCAAGGCTGGTCTCAAACTCCTGACCTCAGGTGTTCCACCCGCCTCAGCCTCCCAGAGTGCTGGGATTACAGGCGTGAACCACTGTGCCTATTCTGCTTTTAGTTCTTTCAGTATATTTCCACCTTGCCAGGAAATTGCTAGCCTTCTAATATTGCTGATTTCTTTATTTAGTAGGTGGTCCAGGATGACAATGCTTTAGGCCTTCATCTCATAAACACAGTAAGCAATTCTCAAGAACGTGTAGGGTTAAAGAGATTTGGACTCCAATTTCCAAAACCGAAATGGCAGCAGGGAACATGACAGGATGCAGAAGAGATCCTCGCAGTCTAGAGCCTTGCATTATGCATTTTGCTTCCCACTGAAGCCAGAGATCCATTTTTATAGTCAGGTTTGTTGTTCCTGCTGAAACACGGCACATGCTCTGCCTGAATTCTGGCCATGTGTTTCCGTCGTTTAGTTATCTAACTTGTTATCTCCTGACTTCCCATTTCTCTGTGAAAGTCAGGTGGTGTAAGACACCCAAAGAAGAAAATCAGGAAAGGAGAAGGTGTTTGGAAGTGGTTCAGAGGTAGTGTTCTCTGTGTTAAGGGGGCTGTGGGACTGTCCTTGAAAAGCTATTTTTGATCCTAGCAGTTTTACTACACTTTGTAATGTTTGGGCAACCAAATTGGTCATGGTGTTAGAATCCTTATAATTGGGTGGATCTATGTTATTTTGCTATCTTCAGAGAAATGAATTTTATGAATATTTCTGTTTTAAAAGAACAAAACAGCAGCAAAAACCAATCCCTATTACCCTAACTCCTCCACGCACATAGTATTCTAATGTGGTTTATTCCTGAAACTGACTCATTCAGCTTTCTCCTGGAAGTTGTCAGAATGTACGCCTGGTTAATGGAGAAAATCAGTGCACTGCCCAGGCTGCACAATGCCATGACTCATTCCTGGCATTTCAGAGGCTTTGTAATGGAAATCGTAGTTCCAAGCTACGGTTCTTACCAAGTGGATATGTGAATGTTAATGAAACAAAGCAAAAGTCTCCGAGGATCCTGCATAACTCTCACCATAGATGTGGTGTTTGCTTGATGAAATGAAGATTTTTGTGGGGCAGATTGTTCCTCTCCATAACCCACACATTCTCGAATACCACAATATTGTTTTAATTAGTCTTATAAAACATAGTAAAATATTTGGCTTTGAAGAAAGAGGAACATTCTCTCCTATGTTGGAATTGTTTGGTTAAAAGGGCATTTTTTTCTATTGAATTAGTCTTTTGGGGTTTACACTAGTATCTGAATCCTTTCTAAATAGCTTCTAATGTTCTTCAGCAATTTGCATTCATTCATTCTGTCTGTCTGTCTATCAATCGTAAAGGAAAAGAAATATCTTTCTTTCCCAACACTAGGTTCGTGGCTGAGGCTCCTACAACAAAAGACAGATTTTAACAAGAGAAAAGCATACAAATTAATTCAAATATAAGTTTTGCATGACATGGGAGGCTTCAGAAAAGAAGACCCAAAGAAACAGAGAAATCTGCATATTTTATGCTTAGGTTTGATAAAGAATGCACAGTTGTGCAGAAGTATGATTGGGGGACAAAAGGATGTGATCTAATGGTAATAAACTTAAGGGAGTTTAGCAAGGCCTGTTTGTTCAGATTCTTCTTGGCATCTCTGTGTCGTTAAAAATAAGGATGTTCCTTTCCTCCAGGTACAGGGAGGGTACCTCTAGAATGAAGGTTTTATGACCTGCCTCAGGGGAGAAGGGAGGAGAATTTAAAAGTGACCTTCCTAATTCTGCTGTTTTCTCTAATACCAATGTGTCGTATTTTGGGCAGTCACCATTTGTGTGTGTGTGTGTGTGTGTGTGTGTGTGTGTGTGTGTGTGTGTGTGTGTGTGTGTGTGTGTGTGTGTGTGTGTGTGTGTGTAGGTCAGGTGGGGAGGGGTATGGAATATATGATCTTTTTTTTTTTTTTTTGAGACGGAGTCTCGCTCTTTCGCCCAGGCCGGAGTGCAGCGGCGCGATCACGGCTCACTGCAAGCTCCGCCTCCCGGGTTCACGCCATTCTCCTGCCTCAGCCTCCTGAGTAGCTGGGACTACAGGCGCCCGCCATCGCTTCCGGCTAATTTTTTGCATTTTTAGTAGAGACGGGGTTTCACCGTGTTAGCCAGGATGGTCTCGATCTCCTGACCTCGTGATCCGCCCGCCTCGGCCTCCCAAAGTGCTGGGATTACAGGCGTGAGCCACCGCGCCCGGCCTGATCTTTAGGGAAAGCATGGATAATTGAAACCCTGCATAATCCCAGCCTTTTATGCTACCTTCTTGTGGACTCGATCTTGTCTCCAAACTTCATTCAAATGCCATTCCTCTTTCTCTGTGCTATGTAAGGTTTAAAAATAGTAAATAGCCAAGAGATAGCAGGGAGAAGTGGGGGAAACAAGGAAGACAGACAGTTTGAACACTTATGTTTTATTGACTCGGATTTGGATTTTGTTTATGACAGACTAGTAGGACTTTGGGGAAACTCGCAGATAAGCTGGGTTTTTTTCTATCATTTTTGGAGATTATAGCAGGAGGTCAAATATTTAAAGTTGTTTTGGGTGATTCTAATGTGTCTACAATGCATTGGACCAGGAATATTCTGGAGCTGCTAGAAAGCAGACATTTAGAAGCAAGAGAAGAGCATGAGCAGTATCCCTTATCACTTAGCCACTTGATTCTGATCCTGGCTTCTCTAACAATAGCTCCTTGCTATGTGCTCTTAAAACACAAGTGCTAATATTATGAGAAATGAATTATATGAAAAACAGTCTAGTCTTTTCTAAAAATGCCAAAAATACCAATCTGCAACCAAGAACGTGTAAGCATGTTCTCCCCTTTCCAGATGATGCGGGATGCCAGGCAAAGACCAAGTTTCCATGGCTACCCTGAGGCCTGCATGGAAGTGGAGGCCTTAGTTTATAGGAGTGAAGGTCTTTAAATGAGGGCATCCAAAGTGAATGCCTATCATTATCCCAGTACTAAGTCTTTAGATGCACAAACCATTGTTTTCCATGTCATCCTTTGGAAGTGGCGGGTGATGGAAGACCATTTTGTGTATTTTTAATAGGAGGAAACTGAGGCACAAGAGATTACATTCCCAGAGCTAGAACCAAGTGCTGTGTCCCTGAGGTCCTGTCTGCAATTGGGAGACAACTCTGAACTGACCCCTTTTGCATTCCTGGTCTCTGCACAGTAACTCTTCCCTCTGCTCATCAAATCCATTTCAGAATGTGTATACAGTAATACTTCTGTTTGAAAGTCTTCAAGATTTGACAAGAGGATTCTGTCTGGGCCTAAGATAGGACATGATGGGATAGTGACCTCGAGGATTTGGAAGCCAAATGATCGTGGACAGGTGTGTGCATCAAGAAAAGATGGAGCATGTGTGCTCACAGTCCTACCGGGGCCACACTCCCTTATCTTCAGATCATGGGTGGCTCATGCCCAATTCCCCCCACCATTTATTCCCTTGTTGTGTCTGTTGGAAAAATCTCACAGGCTTGCCTGAGGTCACTACATTTTTCTTTATACAGAAATCTTTTCTTAGGCTTCATGTAGTTGTAGACTAAGAACTATATAAGTGAAAATTAACAGTATTGGTTTTAATACAATTGCCAGATTTTCTATTTGAAAAAAGTCACTGCTCAGAAAATAAAAATTATTAAAACAACCCATGGTGAATTGGGCCTGAATTGCCACTCATTTTTTAACACATCTGCAGTGGAGTTGCTTCTTACCAATGTGGTGTAATTTTCAGGTCTGTTACTGAAAGACAGATTGAGTATGTTTCTGGACTGTGAGTAGATGATGTTTAGGGTTGCAATATGGGTATTGGGGCTATTCTTTTCCTGTGTCATTACTTTTTGATAGGTTTGTTTTAAGAGAAAATTAATGAAATTGAAGTTACTTAAGTTTGGCCGTATTTGTTAAATATCCTTTTCTGAGAAATTGAAAAGTGACTATTAGTTGAAACAAGATCAAGAAACTTCCAGCATATTTCAGCACATTCCTCAGTTTATAATGTTAAGGTTTTAAGAAAGCTTAAAGAAACCAGCATCACTGGTAGTTAAGCGGTTTATATTTTTACTGTATTTTCTTCAGAAGCTTGTTGCCATGTAGAGTAAAAGAAACCTCATGTTAATCTTTTCAGAGGACACTGCCAGTAAGAGTGTTGTTATTGTTAGATAATCATAATGGTATGTTCTGGAGTCTCTTCTCCCCTCACTCGACACACCCGATTCACTCCCACCCTGCCAGCGGAGCCAGAGAGAGAAGAATAAAGCAGGATCTTATTTGCTTTCAGAATTTGATTCTGTATTGCTTTGGAGACATGCTGGGATTTGTTCTTAAACTATTATTAAATTTCTAATGTCCGTCAAGGTTTAGATTCCTTTGTAAGAGAACCAAGAACGTAAGTGAAACTGTAAGGCTTCGCTGTGCAGACCTTTCTTCCAGCAAGCATCAGCTTAACCTCAGCAGTGAACCGATGGGGGACCAGCTGTTGGGCTGGGAACCAGGAGTAAGGCTGCAGAAAGACCCCCCCTCCAGCCCCCCAGCCCCCCAACCCCCCAACCGTGTGTCACTTCACCACGATGAGCCTCAGTTTCCTCACCACAGTCCCACTTGTCTTGCATTTGAGATGTGATAATGTTTAGAAAGAGATCTTGCCCACTTTTGAAAAAAGTACTCCACAGATGATAGATACTAATCAGACATGAAAGCAGAGATTAAATAGGTAAATGTGATTGTGTGTGTGTGTATTGATCATTATGCTCATGAGACACTGATTATTTTACTTTATTTATTTTTCTTTTTGGAGATGCGGACTCGCTCTGTTACCCAGGCTGGAGTATAGTGGCATGATCATGGCTCATAGCAGCCTTGAACTCCCTGACTCAAGCAATTCTACCACCTTGGCCTCCTGAGTAACTGGGACTACAGGCATGCACTACTATGCCCAGCTAATTTTTAAAAATCTTCTATAGAGATGGTATCTCCCTATGTTACCCAGGCTGGTCTCAAACTCCTGGGTTTAAGTGATCCTCCCACTTTGGCCTCCTAAAGTACTGGGATTACAGGTGTGAGCCACCACGCCCTGCCTTTTAGAAAACTTTTTTATTTTAATTAGTTTTTTGATGGAGCCCCAAATGAAAAATATGCAGGGAGATGAGTTTAGCAGGGCTTAAGTTCAAACAAAGTAAGAATTGGAACTCTCCCAAAAGATAAGCGGTTTAAGTAAGCTGTGACAGACCACTGCTCTGGAGGATGGAAAGATTTATGACTGCCGCAATATCCCACTTTAGGAGGAAATGCAGAGCCATTGAAGACAGACCACAAAATAATTATGCTGTCATAACATGCAGTACCTGGGTCTAGGACTGGCCTTACAGAGTGTTAAGGATGAATATTATGAACATGTGCCTGAGGTAGGTATTTCATTAGTGTGTGACTCAGGAATCTCCGGATCCCTGTTCTTATCCCACAATGTTTGGGGTTGTGGCCTTTAATGTTTGGGATTGTGGGGAGTCTGCTGTGTGCACAGAAGAATCTTGAGGTATGAGTTTATAGGGGAAGAGTCCATACGTCACATTCCCCTGACTCAAAAAGCAACAGAAGTAGCCAGAACTTGCTCAGTTCCATGTCGGCCTCCTGTCTCTTCTGTTTGATTCCATTTTCACTCCTCTGAGGCCTTTCTATCTTCCCTGAGCCATGCCTGTGTAGGAGGCAGCCACAGAATAATAAGCAGGTTTCCCTGTGGCTGTTGAACACTGGTACCAATGGTAGCCACGTGACAAACACACCACCCCATCTGGGTCCCAAACTCTCAACCAGTGCCCCTCTTTGCACACATCCCATTGAAGGCTCATTTTGTGAATCTGACATTTCCCAGTTCCTGATAACCCTGTTGATAATAATGGTTGCTAATCCTTGTCCATACTGTATTTGAAGCATTTACTTATGCATACCTCAGCTTGTTCCAAAAAGTATTCAAGAGGGGAGTTTCTGAGCACATAATCAAGTCTCCAAGGTGTTCGCTCTGGATCTGCACTCTGACTATGGCTGTGTCCTCAAAACAGTAAAAAGATAATGCAGTGGAAGATGAACATGTACCAAATTAAAGCGTAAAAGGAAATAGAGGCCAAATTCCTACACTATCAACATAGGCCAGCCCTGTTTTTCAGACATTCAGTGACTTATGCAATGCTGTATGTAATAGGCCTGCTGAAAGAAAGGAAATGAATGAACAAGGATAAACATGGGTTTTGGTATTGCTGGTACCTGAATAACCAACCCTGTGTTCCCTGCAGCCAGCATATTGTCCTCTCCCATTGCTGGCTGCCGTGCAGTGCTTCCGTCATGTGCTGCTGGAGGGGGCCCTCCCTGGGAAGCTGAGTGCCCCAAGGGTACCCTGCCTGGGTCTTGAGGGACAGAGTGTGTACTGACACTCTGGGCTTCATGGGCTTGGACTCCATTATATACACGTCTGCAAGATACCAAAGGAGGGCCACCATCTCTCAGTCATCTCCTTTCCAGGTACCCCTGAAGGGGATGAAATAGGGAGTGGCATTGGATCTCAGGACGATCCTTATAGGGATGGCTGAAAATACAGGTGCGAGCCTTTGTGAGGCAGGATAGAGTCTGAGGCACAGGACCATGCCAGGTTAGTGAGAGTCTCCCAGAAGACCCAAGTGGATGGCAGTGATGTCTGGAGCCCAAGGCAGTCACATAGGATTTCTAAGATCATGACTAAAAGGGATAGTTCCAAGAAAGATTGAGGAAAAATGCTGGTCATGAGATCAGGAATCCAGAATGACTTTTTTTCTATCAGATCTATAACCATCCACGATACTTCATGGAGAATCACTCCTGAGCTTGATGTATTCCTGCATCACAACCTGTACCACACAAACTCATCCCCTTCCTGGCAGAGCTCTGAGTATACTCCTCTGTCTCCATAGTTTGGATCAGAAAATGTAGATTCCTTCCTGAGGACCGCCTGTCTCATGAAGGAGGAGGAGAAGGTGGCACAGGAGTCTTTTTAAAAGGATTTTAAGGTGATCATTTGAGCCATAAAGAAACCAAGTTTTTATTCTTCAAGGCAAAAGGCTTTTTCAAGCCAGGTGATGAAAGTCTAAATTGCTCTACACAGAAGAACAGGAGGCACGTCTCCAGATAGATCCAGGTGGGCACAGTCTTAGTGAGGGGTAGATATATGAGATCATCCGTATGGGATCCCAGAAGCCAAAAGACTCACAGGAAAGGGAGTTTTCAAACCCCATCATTTCAAACTCCCAGCAAAATATTGCCATAGAAAAGAGTTTTCCAAAGTCAATCCATTACTGGCTCAGATATTAATAGAAAATCAGGAGTCAAGAAAAGGAAGAAGGTAGAGATTTTAAAGTCAGGCCTGGTTTTAATTTATTTGTGGTTATTCTAACTAGTAAGTGAAACACACTGCCTGTCTGGTGCCCTGTCCCAGGCATAAATTGCTCACCCATCAGAAAGGAATTAATTTTTTTCAAGGGTGCTACCTTAAAGCCATTAGTTTAGCAAATTAACTGATATTCCTAGAAAAGCTCCTTGCTTGTGCCAATAAATATTTACCGAGTTAGTGACACCTCTAACAGCACCCCCAAATCGCTGGGCCACTTCCAAAGGGGGAGCAGCTTACTTTCAGGAAATGGATTACTCACTTGTGGAATGAGACCAACACCCAGGCTACTCAGTTTCAACACACTTTAAAATGCAAAAGGGAACTTTCCTGCCTCAAGCTTTCAAACCTTTTCCAGATGGACCGAGGCGGGTGAGCCCATTGTGGTGCCCAACAGGCCTGGCTTAGGCTGGGGCTGCACACATCTAGCTGTGCCTCCCATCCCTGCCCTGCACACCGTACCATGAAGGGGGTTACAGACTTCCAGTGGGTTGCTGATAAGAGGCATCCCTGAGGGCCTGCCCTGTTTCCATTGGCCAGACACCCCCGCCCCCCCCCCCAACCAGAAACGGGAAACCTATGGAAAGGGCTCAGCTGGGTGCCGCCCCCTCCCCCAGATGCTGTTGTTAGTTTCACTTCTCAGCTGCAGCTGCCCACAGCTGTCTGGGGATGGAGCAGCAGCAAGGTAGTAGGGTGGTGGCATCTTTTTATTCTTCCAGACCTGGGCCTTTGGCCTGGTAGCCAGAGTGGGCAGGCAGCAGGCCTGCTCTGTGCAGCGTTTGACTTGGGGGTTAAGCCGGGTGCCTCAGGGCGGGACCTGGAAGGAGAAGCTGAGCGCAGTCCACCATTCAGTTCTGGGTACCAGGTTTTCAAAGAGGCATTAAGTGTAGCCAGAGGAGGGTGGCCAGGAAGCTGCAGGGGCCTGGAAATCATACCACCTAAAGATTGTTAGAAAAAACTGGAGACTGTTAGCCTGAAAAAGATTTAGGTGAATGGCTGTCTTCCCCTGAAGGGAGAGTAGATTTATCTTTTTGTATTTTTTTATCATAACATAAAATCTGCCATTTTAATCATTTTTAAATATACAGTCCTGTGGCATTAATTATATTCACAATGTTGTGTGACCATCACAGCTATCAATTTCTAGAACTTTATCATCATCCCAAACAGAAACTCTGTTCCCATTAAACAATAACTCCCCATTCTTCCTGCCCCCCCCCCCAGCTCCTGGCAGCCACCATTCTGCTTTCTGACTACTCAAGAGACCTCATACAAGTGGAGTCATACAGCATTTGTCCTTTTGTGTCTAGCTTAATTAACTTAGCACAGTGTCCTTGAGGTCCATCTATGTTATAGCATGCACTGGAATTTCCTTCCTTGTTGAGGCTGAAGAGGATTCCATTGGATGTATATTCCGCATGTTGTTTACCTATTCATCTGTTGATGGACATTTGGGTTGCTTCCACCTTATGACTTGTGAATAATGCTACTGTGAACATTGGTACGCTAGTACTTGTTCGTAGATTTTTTTTCTTTGTGGTTTCAGAAAAACTGATCTTAGCCAAATGGTTAGAAGTTGCAGAGAAGCTGATTGTGGCTTTAGTAACCCCAGCTCTCTTCAGTGGTGGAAAGGCTCCCCATGGTTGGGAGTGGTGTGTGGTAAGAACACTTACAACCAGAACAGAGAGAACCAGAAAATCTCTGAGGTCCCTTCCATCTCCAGAATTCCATGATTTTCAGGCAGATTGAGGTATGCATCCGAAGGGTAACATCTGGAGAAAAAGGAAGTGGTGTCAGATCAGCTTCAGTTTCCTGAGGAAGAAAAGAGGGAATTGGGATGTTAAATTATCTACCAGTCAGGAGAGGTTACTTGCTAAACTATCTCTGGCCTGGACTTGACAACAGAAAGTGATGCTCCTGTGAAGCTCATACAAAGGTCCTATGTAGTCTCAGGGAGATCTTTCTAAGCTCCAGCGAAAGCTTTCTTGTACTCTAGCTTCCTGGGGGATAGGGTGGTGAGTCCAGCTTTCTCAGCACAAATCCCTCATGTCTGCCTAGAAAGAAGGGATGCCTTTAGAGGACCTGAGCCCTGTCTCCATGCAGGTTATTCTGAATGTGGGTGAGGGAGTGGGTGAGGATGGGGAGTGCTGGGTTGGGAAGTTTCAGGAGTGAATATCAGCTGAGGTGGGGATGCCCTGGCTCCCAACACAATTAGCTTCATTCTGCTACAGTTGGGGGTTTTCTTATCATTAGTCGGGAAGGCCTAGCCAGAGAATTCCAGTATTCCAGAGCAAGTTTAATTGTGGGTGATTTCATTCTGCCCTTTTTATGTCGCAGCCAGGGGCTTGCGTCATATAACAGTGAATTCAGGGAGATTTTTATTTGCATGTGAATCATAGCTTTTCCAGCTGAATGTCACTTACTTGGAATTTTTGTCTGATTTTGTTTTTGTTTTTGTCTCTTGGTGTTTTTCCATCGGGCTCTTTGGCTAACCAGAAAAAAAAAAAATAGAGGAAGGGCTCAATCTGACTGAAACAGGGTTTGAGTTGGCAACTCAAAAGGAGAGTATTATGAATGTGAAAAAAAGAAAACGGATGCTTTATTTTGCTTTGAGGGAGGGACCGAAGCCAAGTCAAATTGAGAGCTCTAATTTGGGAATAGTGTTATTACAGGTCATTGGGAGTTGGTTACGCGCTAAATTGGGAGGCCAGTCACATGAGGAGGCAGCAGAGGCAGATCACATGGGGGACAGTTGGGGCCCTTTTATAATGAAATTTTGTTTTATTTACTACACAGTTGAAATGTACTTATGTCATTTTGAGAAACCAAGTCACCTTATTGGCTGGGAGTTGCTCCCTGCCCTGGCCCATCAGTTGTTTGATAAATAAGCCAGTTCTTCCAATCTTTGTGCTTTCCGGGGCTTGATTTTGGCAGTGGGATCTGTGCAGTGATTCATGGAGCTGACCCTGTGATAGGGGTTATACATCTGCCCTTCCCCTGACTGACTCCAAGGGGCTTGATCTCTTCTCCTCCAAAGGCTCTACCCATTTTAGACCTCAAGGTCAAGACATACAGAAAACTTCTAACATTATATAAAGAAGTGATGACCTTTGTTTTTTAGATTATCTTCCATTTTCTCAGCACTGTTCCTCTTAATGTCATCTTGCAAAATAAGAAAGAGAAAAGATGGATCCTGCCCCTCCATGGGCAGTTATGAACCAAGTATTTCTTCTTACCTCAAAACTGCAGACTTTGGATGTTCTTGGCATCTCGGGGAGGACCAGGAAGGGTGGTGTGTGGTCAGCTGCTGATTTTCCTTGAAGAATCAAAGTTGGCATTCTTGGTGTCCACAGCCCTGATTAGTTAGCTGTGTTTGAAATAAAAACAAACAAAAAAAGGCAGCCAAAAAACAATATCTAGAATTCAGTTAATTCATTCCCACTGCAAACAAGTTGTGCTCATGCTCCTAAATGGGGTATGTTACTAAGCCGGTGACACAGAGCATCTGGGCCGGCGATGCTTGTGATCGAGGTTAGGAATAGAAGGTGTGTGGAAACTTTCTATAAAAGGCAGCCAGGTCCCCTGGACAAGGGGTCAGGAAGCTTCAGCACTGTTCACGGTGGCACCAGGGCATTACTGCATGATTTGGGGCAAGTGTCTCTGCGCCTTGGTGTCCCCTAAGTGCCGTATTGATTTGGGGGAATGGGAGGGTAAGGGCCTCAAGAAATGTTTGAGATGTAAAATGTTAAATGTTTGAGATGTGACATGTAAGATAAGTGGAGGGAGCGTGATGTCACAGGAGCTCAAATCAGGGCCACGTGTCCCTGAATGGGGCTGGGCTGCTGTCCCTTCTCAGGCATCACCCTCTGTGGCTGATGCCTCTGACATCATAATACCCAGCCAGACACTCAATAATGATGAGCTGTGCCCAGTGGACACCTGAGGAGGGAAGAAAAGGAGAAGGACAAAGTGGAGAGGGAGGAGATGGAGCAATCTCTTATGTGATCATTCCATCAACTCACAAATTTTTCACCTAACACCTGGTTCAACTGTAATGTGCTCAGCTCCGTATAACCTGGACAGCAGCTGTGCCCTCACCCCTAAACTCAGCAAAATATTATGGTCCTCTAATCAAGAGAATTTTGCTCCTGTTACTGCATGTCTTGTGGGTTCATCGTCAGACCAGTGAGTTGATACCAAACTTCACCAAACGGTTCTCCGGAGCAACCGTTTAGAGGTAACGTACTGGCTCTCACGCCCAGGCTTCTCTGGGCTTCTGCAGACTCATCTCAACTCTCCTCCTTGGAGCAGCACATAACTGGGGATTGTGTGGGGGTGGTTTGTGAGGGTGTGAGCCTGTGGTAAAGATGCTTTAAAACTGAAATTCTCACCTTCGTTTGATTCATGAGCCAGCACAGGCTTGGCCAGACTTTGTTTATTCTTATGGCACTCTTCAAACCCAAACGGGCCAAATCGTGGCTTCCCTGTCTATCCTTAGATGCAGCGATTGCTGCTTTTAACTGGGTAGGTTGCTATGAATAGAAAACTTGAGAGATCAGCCCTGTCTTAGAAATATTATGACATTTTGCTTATTTATTGTTGACTTAAAAAAAAATCCAACAACTTCCTCTAAAAATAGGTCCTTGCCACTCTTTCAACTGCTTCCTCCTAGCCTTTCTCCTGGTAAGAAATCATGGTTCCCACCTGGTTTCACATCAGCCTTACTCGATCCTCCAAATGCTATCAATTGGAGGCCATGATTTTCTTGGGTTCTCAAATGTGAACCTGGATCAAAATCATCAGGGGGCTGGTTAAACACAGTTTTTGATTCAGTAGATCTATAGAGAGGGTCCCAGAAGTCGTAATTCTTTTTTTTTTTTTTTTTGAGGCGGAGTTTTGCTCCTGTTTTCCAGGTTAGAGTCCAATGGCACAATCTTGGCTCACTGCAAACTCCTTCTCCCGAGTTCAAGCGATTCTTCTGCCTCAACTTCCCGAGTAGCTGGGATTAAAGGCGCCCGCCACCATGCCTGGCTAATTTTTGTATTTTTAGTAGAGACAGGATTTCACCACGTTGGCCAGGCTGGTCTCAAACTCCTGACCTACAGGTGATCCACCCACCTCAGCCTCCCAAAGTGCTGGGATTACAGGCATGAGCCACCGCGCCCGGCCCAGAGGTTGTATTTCTAACAATTTTCCAGGCATGCCCCTCCTCCATACTTTGTGAACCAGTGCCTTAGGGCTTTGGGTCTCCTCCTGTCCCCATCCTGTAGGAGAGAGCCCCATGGAGCATGATCCTGGTCCCTTAGATTGGTGGTGAGCAGCTAACAACCACATAGTACTCACCATGGGCCAGATGATGGTCCCATGCTTTACAAAGATTAAGTAACTCAAACATCACCAATCTTAGGAGGTAGCCCATTTTCCAGATGGAGGAACTGAAGCACAGAGTGGTTAAGTGAATTGCCCAAGTTCACACAGCTCATTCAATGGAAGCTCAGACAACATGGCTAGCATCTGTGCTCTCATTCCCCACGCCATATTATCATTCTGTTTTCCCCAAGTCACTTAGAGCACCTGATACTCCTACAGTTCTTAAGAGTGAATACCTTAGAAAGGAGCCGCCAAGACAACTGAACCCATCTTAGGCGCTAACAACCAGCATCTTGGGCTCCGATTGTCCAGGTGACTTGACTACCCTACCTGTGTCTGTGACTGAGTAGAGGCAAGAGGAGGGGGCTCTTAGCAGAAATACATTGGACATGTGACCTGGTGAAGGCCAAGGGAGGGGTGTTGATGTGAAGACGCTGGGGACATCATCTGTGAAGACAGGCCAGCCCTCCCCTTCTGCTGGAGCCTCAGTGTCCCCTCACCATTCTGCGCTGGTCCAGAGATTTCCTGCTATTGATACTTATCAGAGACACAAAGCTGAGGAGGAACAGATGTGCCATGTCATCAGCCATAATAGAAAAAGTGCATGAATCTTTTTTGGACCAGGTTGGTCTAGCAAGGCTGTGTGATCAGCACTAACCTGGGTGAGGGAGTAGGAGACACAGAAGTGGATGGACTGTCCCCACCCACAAGGAGGGGTGAAGTGGGGGGGGTGTTATACAGATATGCAAGTCACTGAGCTCAATTGTGGTAGAGAAAAGGCAATGAGGGCCCAAATGGGTAAATGGCATTTGGGGAGAGAGGTGGATTCTTAAACTACATCACAGATGATGATAGGAGCAGGAGGGGGAGGGTTCAGATGTGTCCAAGACATATCTACAGCAGAGAGTATGTAATGATAAATAATAGTGATCTCTTTTGAGATTCAAACAGCCAGAGGTTAAGTCTCCACTGGTATAGTGATAATAGACTAAGCTCTTTTTTTTTTTCTGCCAAATAATGTGTTGAGTCCTGGCTGGAGGGCCTAGGAGTACTTTAGAAGATGGATTCTACTCCTTACAGTGTTGCCTGTTGGTTCTAGAAATGGAGCCCTTCTCCAAGTATTTCTCTACCCCATTGGTCTGATTCTCCCCAAGTTATTTGTGTTACAGACACTTCTATGGGTACAAAACTTTCCCTTTGGCTATCTCTGATACCACAAATGTCATTGAAAAGGACAGATCCTAGCACTAGGCCATATACATTGATAGGAACCAAAGACAGATATCTGATAGATTAATAAATACAACCACTTCCAAAGGTGATGGTATGAAGCTAGATTCAAACAACACAGTAGGCCAGTGCTGTCACTCCCAGCTCAGAACCATTGTGGCTAGAAGTTAGCTTTGTCTTTCTCCTCACTGAGCCATGTGTCTCAGACCCTGGGGTAGAGTTGAGGGAGGGCAGACAATGGTTAGTTTCCAAACTCCCTGGACATAGGGGCCCCTTGCTGCCTTCTGCCTTCCTCCATAGAGTTTAGAAGGTTTGTTTCCAGGAAGGAGCTCCTTCCTGCCAGGTTTGTCCTCTCTCCAGCTTCTCAGCAGTGCAGGGTGCTTACAACACAGCCCACAGGCCTGCCTGCACTGGGCTGTGTGGGTCTGTAGACAAGGTTCTCAACTCTGCCTCTGCGTCTGCTCCTCTCCGTCCTACTGGGCCTTTCTGCTCCCCCTTACCTTTCCCTGCCTGAGCCCTCTCACTGTTTTTGTGCCTGCCTTTGTTGTAGAATTCTAGATGGCAGCATGCTTGCAACTTGGGAAGGATGAGGCCCTTGTCTGGAGACATTATCCCTATGAGCTCTGAGGTCTTGTCTCCTTCTGTAGCATCCCCACCAATGTGGCCAAAGCCAAGGGCCCTCATCTGATCAGTCCTCCTGATTCTGGTCCAGCCACTGAGCCCTAGGTCTACTCAATTTCATGGCAGGATACCCAGAAGGAGGGAAATGGCCTCAGCCATTCTCATTCCTATTTAGAGAAGTGCATTCTTCACCATCATCCTTCCTACCTTTTCTTCTTACCCACTGCCCAAGGACTTCAGCAATGAAAAAGTAGCTTCCCTTCTCAAAAAAAAAAAAAAAAAAAAAAAAAATCTGAAAAATCTTATTCTGATTGCATCAATAGACCTACTAACCTGAAAATGAGTTTGGTGCACAAGTAACAGGTGAAAATCAGCAGCCTTTTACTGCTTACTGTTGCAGAAATTCCCAGCATTGGCTGGCGGCTGGAGGGGAAGCAGGAAGGGAGGTGTGCCTCTAGCTCCCTCTACAGGGCTGTGCCCCAGGAGGACAGGAGAGCCAGGCTGAATATGTTCCAGGGTCACCCAACTCTGTCCTTGTACAGTTAGCCAGGCCTTTCTTTCCAAAAAGAGTATCAGTTAATTTGTGACTATGGACTCGAATATCCTGCCTCCACAAAATTGTTCATTCTGTCCCCCATTGGATGACTTGTACGTGTATTTCATATTTCATACCTAAATGAGTGATACATACATTTTACTATCAACATTGCTAACATGCATATTTTGGGAATATCTACATGCTGTTCCTTGGTGACAATATTTACATGGTTACACACCACACCACAGGGCTCTTACATTCACACTTACACTTTGGATCCCATCTCTTGAGTTGGGAAATTTTGTCTATAAGTTGTTGAGCAACTTCCTCGTTATTTTAGAAAGCGTGGGACCCAGTGACTTCACAGTTCACAGTCATGTAAAGATATAGAATGGCTCCCTGGTGTCAGGGGTGGGATGTGTGCACTCCAGCCCTTCCCAGACTTCCTGAGGTGTATAAACCTGTTGTGTGGCATGGCTGTTGTTCCGTTTGCTCCACTGAATTAAGCATGAACTATTCTTTTGTGATTCAGTCTGTTTATACTCCTCCCAAGATACTCCTCTGTTGACTGTCTGGACATTGCCAAGGATGCTGGCCTTGGAGTTCTTTGTAAAATATTATTGCAGTTAGGTTACGTGGACAATGCCGTGCTCCTTTTGGGACTCTCATGTCTAGAGCCTCTTGTGCAACAGGGGCTAAATCTAAGTGTAGAAGCAGAAAGCACACTTTTCTCCTTTGCAAGGTCAGCATGAGGATTGCTAATTCATTATTTTAAGGTACTATTGGAGTGTCACTCTGTGGTGTGTGGGGTTTTGGCAGTGGTGGTCTGGAGTGTGAGGGCGGCGCTGAAGATTAGAGAGTGGGAAAGCTTCCTGTGTTTAGAACACTTCCAGCCTCTCCTCTGAGGGGTTTTTGGTGTAAAAAACTAGTCGAGTGTGGTTTACAAGAATGTGTCTTGTGTTTGTCGAGTGAGGTAACATTTTTTTCATCTCTAATTTATATAACTCTTAGGAGACCCATTCCTATGAGGCCTTATTGAAACAATCACTTAGTGCCCCCCCCCGCAAAAAAATCAGACATATAACAGTCTTAACCCTGTTGACATTGTTTTTCTTTCCTTCTTCAACAGATGTTTGCAAGAGTTGTATTAAATATATTTCATTCTGCTGTCTCAGCCTCTCAAATCCTTTTCACGAAGATTACTTTAATGGGTGTCAGTTACAATCACAAAAAGCACCCATTTTGCTTTTGTTTTCTAGCAAAAAACAATGGGGAAACTTTCCATCTTAAACAGAATATTGAAAAGGGGGGGGTAGTAAAGACTTTGAAAATTGAGCTAATCATTTTATTTTCCTCTTTTCCATGTTCCTGTTTTTATTTGATGTTAAAGCTAAAAATAATCAGAATACAACAAAGTTGAATGAGAAAGGGGCAACTGAACAGTTTGTGTGTGACAGTTGGTACCTACTATTGTTTATAGGTCGTCTATTCTATCTTAAGCCTTCCATTTAAAGGAAACTTCTAGGAAATACCTAACATTTTGAAGAAATCCAAACGACTATTAAAACACTATCAAACAAAAGGCCATAATTAGCTGGGCGCAGTGCCTCATGCCTGTAATCCTAGTACTTTGGGAGGCTGAGGCAGGAGGATCATTTGAAACTAACCTGAGCAACAAAGCAAGACTCCATCTCTACAAAAAATACAAAAATTAGCCAGATGTGGTAGTAGATGGCTGTAGTCCGAGCTGCTTAGGATGTTGAGGTGGGAGGAAGGCTTGAGGCTAAGAGGTTGAGGTTGCAGTGAGCTGTGATTGTGCCACTGCTCTCTAGCCTGGGCAACAGAGCAAGACCCTGTCTCAAAAAAAAACTGTAATTAAGAAGGAACTATTAATGCATGAAAAAATGGAGACACCCTCATTACCCTCATGGAGCTTGCATTCTAATGGAGAGGGGCCAGAAATAAGCATACTGTACAGCAGGTCACATGGTGGTAAGCGCTATGGAAAAAACAAAGCATGACCTGGGAATAAGGGAGTGTAAGGTGAGAGAGTGGGGTGGGCAATTTAAAATAGTGTAGACAGATAAGATCTCATTAGGAAGGTGACATTTGAGCAAAGACAGAGCTGAGAGAGGCTAAACATGGGTGTGGGGGAAACGTGTTCCAGGCAGAGGAAGCAGCAAGTGTGAAGGTTCTGAGGCAGGCACGCGGCTGATATGTTGAAGGAACATCACAGCAGCCAGGATGGACTGAAACAGGAGAGGGTCAGTAGTAAGGGTGGAGGCTAGATCATAGAGGGACTAACAGGCCATCATAAGGACTTTGGCTTTTACTCTGAGATGGGAAGCCATTGACATGTTTGATCAGGGGAGTGACATGACTTACCTTCTAGTTTTAAAAGATCCTTCTTTTAGAAATGATTGTTATGGTTGATAAGAGACTACTGGAGAGGGTGGGGATATGCAGAAACATGGTGAGGGGTAGTCACATTCCAGATGTATTTTGAAGATTCAGCCCATAGGATTTATGGAGAGGTTAGATGCAGGATATGAGAGAAAGGAGTCAAGGATACTCCAAGGTTTTGACCTGAGCAATTGGAAAGATGGAAAGCCATCTGCTGAGATAGGAAAGAGGAGCAAAGAAGCAGATGTGGTGAGAGTGAGAGCAAGAGTTGGGTTGTGGACATGTTGACTTTGAGATCATCTGAGTGAGCATGGAGAGGGTGCAGTTGGAGTGTGAATCTGGGGCTCAGGGGAGAAACCTGGGCTGGAAATACAAACGTGGAGTTGTCTGCATACTCATGGGCCAGAGGTCAGAACCGAGGCAGGTGGCTGGGGGAGCTGGCCTGGTTTTTGTGCCCTCTGGGAATGGCCAGCCTCAGACCTCCTGACTGGTCATGGCCAGGAGGTCAGAAATCTGAAGGTGAATCCTAACCCTAACTTGAGTCCTTGGCTGAGATCTCAGGACTACTTCCCAGCTGGCCTGGGTCCTCAAGGAGTAAAGGAGCAGTCCTGGAGCACCCAGCTGTGCCGGTACCTGGGGAAAAAGTAACTACAGATGGAAAGTCTCCATGGAAGAAATGACCAGATCTCTACTCTGGAAAGGTAAAGGGCTCATTGGAAGTATCTGCTAGGGCAAGAGGTACCTGGTTCTTGCCTTTTGAGGATGGTCAGATGCCTTTGAATGACCAGCACCTGATGACCTTCTGCTGTCAGAAAAGACTGGAATGGTCATAATGGTCTATACAGTCCACTACATAGATGCCTGCCTTTTCTAGTGAATCCAAGGGACAGTAGCATTTTGAAGTGATCTTTACCAAGTAACCAAAAGCTCTCTGTATTCATTAACTATTGCTGTGTAACAAACTACCCTAAAACTTAATGACTTAACATAACAACAAGTTATCTCAGTTTTCTGAGGGTCAGCAATTTAGAACAGCCTGGCTGGGAAGCTCTGCCTTAAGGTCTCCAACAAAGCTGTAGTCAAGAAATAAACTAGACCTGGAGGAGCCACTTCCAAGCTCACTCACATGGCTGGCAAGTTGATTCTGGCTGTTGGCAGGAGGCCTGAACTCCTCCCCATACAGGTCTCTCCCTGGGATGCCTGAGCATCTTCATAATTGGTGTGACTGGCTTCCCCCAGAACAAGTGAACCAAGACAGCAAGGTAGAAGCTGCAATGCTTTTTATGACCTAAGGTCAGAACGCCTCCACTGCACACTCTTGGTCACATAGACCAGCTCTCATTCAGTGTGGGAGAAAAGCACATAGGTGAATACCAGTAGTCTAGGATCAATGGAGGCCACCCTGGAAGCCCGCAATCACCTTCCTTGAAAATAGGGGGAGGGTTAGGGCCGGGCACGGTGGCTCACGCCTGTAATCCCAGCACTTTGGGAGGCCAAGGCAGGTGGATCATGAGGTCAGGAGTTCAAGACCAGCCTAGCCAACATGGTGAAACCCCATCTCTACTAAAAATACAAAAATTAGCCAGGCGTGGTGGCGCATGCCTGTAATCCCAGCTACTTGGGAGGCTGAATCAGGAGAATCGCTTGAACCCAGGAGGCGGAGGTTACAGTGAGCCAAGACCATGCCACTGTGCTCCAGCCTGGTGACGGAGTGAGACTCCATCTCAGAAAAAAAAAAAAAAAAAAAAGAAAAAGAAAATAGGGGGAGGGTTTATATCTTTTCAATCCTTTGTACCTTTTCAAAACACTACTTGCAGCTGTAAGGGCTCATAACTCCAGACTGGGTTCCCCATCACAACTGGTCTAATCCATACCACTAGCAGGGCTCCCACCAAATTATGGGGATTCTTCTCTGGTCACCTCTAGCTCAAGAGGGTACCTTGGGAGACAAACTCAAGTGCAGGTGCCAACACAAGAATCCCACCATTTGCCATGTTGGTATTTTTGCCCTGATTTTTCAGGTGCCCTGGGCTGAAAAATATCTCTACAAATAAATACATGGTGTGTGTGGTTATCCACTTTTGAGTTGTGCAGAGTTGCACTATATTTAGAAGCTTTTAGTACATGATGTGTCTAGGATTGACTTTGTAACATTCTTCCAAGGAGTCTTTGACCATGTAAAACCCACCAATATTCCTGCCTTTTAGCACATTTATTTCACCAGTACTTCTTCTGTGTGTGCATTTAATTCCTAGCCATTTCTTGCATGAGCAAATTGCCTAAATGCGCTTGTGAGAAACCCTTTTATGGCAAACGTTATTAAACTGAAAACAAGGGTATAATAAAATAGCAATTTAAGAGTAATTTACTAACAACTAGAGCCCTTAAGCATTGACATACCATTGTGTAGCAATAATACCAGACTTGGTATTTAAACACACTCTTTGTCACTCCAAAAATCATTGGGACAGTTTCCTAATCCTCATGGTCTTTAATTATAGCTCTTCTAATTTTTTTTACTACTCCTATGTCACTGGTTTACAAATTATAAATCATTAACTTTTATCCACATTAAACATCCATGTAATAGAACTGTTACATCTCTGCTCCTTATACAGAGAAATAACAAAGAAAATATTCAGAAAACATAGTAGAGGTGAGCTGACATCATCAAACCTTGAAGTTCTTGCACTTAAGTTTTCCACTGTGTCCTGAATCAGGTGATATTGGGGTGAGTAATGGTAGAGACTGGATCTCAGAAGTGATCAATTAATTGAAAATTCTGAGGATTCCTGCATCTTCCCCAGGGAGGAGAATTTGTCAAATGCAAATCTCAGCAAAGATTCTTTGCTCTCTGGAAGATAGTGTGGATGCCACAGAGGCCAGTGGGCAGTTGGACAGGACCTAGCCAGTGTGACCAAGTCCCTGCATGTAGGGTCTGGCTTCCGTTTGAAGGTAGAGATGTTCACGCTTGTCAGCACCCTGGGGATACTCTCCTGAAAGACTGACTCATGCTAACTAGAAAGCAGGGAGGTAGACACTGCAATGCTGGCTGGTTAATTTGCCACGAGGAGCCATCATCAGAGAGACCAGACGTACTCCAAGTCCATATAATCAGCACACATTGTCCTTGTCGGCAGGCCTCCACAGGAAGCCAAATCATAATCAGAAATTATGTATTAAGTTGCCCTGACAAATCATTATCACAGATTTTGGAAATACCTCAAGTCTCTATGATCAGTTCATTCTCTCCTTGAGGGTAGCTGGGGAGCTAAATCATGGTCCAAAGGTTGTTTTGTGAGTGGATAATCAGGACGGGGGCGCTGAGGAAGGGAAATGTTTAGTGGCAACGGGAACTTCATGGGTCCATGCCAGAATGGGAATGGCTTTGCCAGAAAGACTGATGTATTCAAAACCAAGTGGCTAAAACTTCCTTTTACCTAGAGGGACAGTTGGATAGTGTATTAATTAACTTAGCAGCTTAAAACAATAAACATGTTACACAGTTTCTGTGGGTCAGAAATATGAGAGATTCTGGCTTAGGATTCCTCAAAATGGTATGTGGGCTGCAGTTGTCCAAAGGCTTATCTGGGCTAGGAGATCTGCTTCCAAGATGGTTCCCTCATATGGCTGGCAACTTGGTGCTAGGTATTGGCACGAGGCCTCGGTTCCTCACTACAAGGACCTCCCCATTGGGTTGCTTGCATGATGTCACAACATGGCAGCTGGCTTTCCCCAGAGTGAGTACTCGGAGACAGCAAGGGGAGGCCATAATGCCTTTTATAACCTAATCCATAAAGTCACATACCGCCATTTCCCCTACATTCTATTTACTGAAAGTGACTCACTGAATCCAACCTGCACTCAGAAGGAAGGGAATTAGGCTCCACCTTTCAAAGAGGTGTGTCAAATAAATAGTTAACATATTTTAAACCACAATAGGTATAACTTACATTGTCTCTGTAACTCCTTTTTATTATACTTCTGTTGCTCACCAACTGTGATTATCCATGTACTCTATTAATACATTTATATAATGTTTATAACTATTACATATTTGTATGCATTTATATGTAATTCTGTATCATATAACTATAGAACATCTAATTATGTTATAAATATCAATATATTTGGCTTATGGCCACGCTGTTGTAGCAGGACAGCCATTATGTATCTAATATCAAATTTGCCTACCTCCATTCTGCCACTTCACTAGCAGGGGGCTGGGGGCAAGTAACTTGGCCCATTTGTGCCCCTGTGCCTTCATCTGTAAAAGAAGGCTAGTAATAGGACCTACCTCATAAGCTTCTTGGGAGGATTAAGTGAGTAATTAAATGCACAGGGCTTAGAAGAGTGCCTGGCACTTCGAAAACATTCAATACTGTTGGCTCTCAGCAGTGGCAGCTGGAGTAGTAGCAGAAATAGTTTGATCCAGTAGGTGTAGTTAGCCCTCAGAGAGCAATCTGATTTCTGTGTTCCCAGTGGTAGTAAACAAAAGCAATACTTGTCTTCCTGGTCCCACCATCCAAGCCCTGTCCTGAGGATAAAGGGACCGGGGCCAGCGGCCTCTCGTTTTCCTTCCTCTTTGCTATGCTTGTTCCTCCTCTGAATCCCAGGTTAATCCACAGCAGAGAGCGGTTACATGGAGATAACATGTTTCGTTTGTACTATGACTCCTATTTATGTTTTGTTTTTGTTGCTGATTTTTTTTTTTTTTAGGTTGACCTTTTGTGGAAGGGTAGAATGTCCAATCAGGGAAATGACCTAGCAGAAAGCTAGGGAGTTCCTCAGCCTCATGAATTTTTTATTAGAAGTCATTCCTAATTTTTATCTTTAAATGTACATTTTCAAGGATGTACACTAGCCACCTCTGATTACAGTAGGCTTACAGCATAACCCCTTTTGCTTCTTGGCCCCTTTTGCTTCTTTTCAGTGCCTCTTGGGCTTAATGAATAGATTTTATCTTCATGCTAAGCACATTCATCATTTAAAACATGCCTGGTATTTGCTGAAGATGAATTGAGGAGAAAGTTAGAATTGGAATTTTCTTTGCCTCTCAGCGCTACTTTAAAAGGGAGGCTATACCTAGTGGAATGTGTGAGAGTTGTCTTGTGTCAGGTGGCAATTAGCTAAATATAGAGTCAGGGAGCTGGGAGGGACTTGCTGAGGTCATCTGTGCCCTCCTGCCAGCCTTCCCCATCTGAATGTCTCCAGCCCTGTGCTCAGCAGCTCAGTAGTCACCAGCCACATAAGGCTTCTAAGCTCTTCAGCTGTGGCTGATCCAAGTTGAGATGTACTGTCCATGATAAAAAATACATTGGCATTTTAAGACTTTTAAAAGATTTTTAAGACTTAATTCAAAAAAAGGAAAAATGGCTCATTAATGATAATGGATAATGAAGTGATAATTTGATTATTTAAATAAAATATATCATTAAAATGTACATTACCTGTTTATTCTGTCTCTTCTTTAATATGGCTACTAGAAAGTTTAGAATACCATATATGGCTTATATTTTATTACTGTTGGACAGTGCTCCTCAAGATCGTCTCACTCTGTTACTGAATAACATTCAGACCCCAGGGCAGAGATTCTAAAGCCTTCCTTGGTGATTCTGAGTCTTTCATTATTCTGGCAATTCTGTTCTTCTCCACGTCCTATCTTAATCTCTCCTGCTTCGGTTTGGAGACTTCTACAAGTAGTTGACTCTTTGGCATCTCCTTATGAAATCCCACTTGAAGTGAGTCAAGCATCTCTTCATATTGTTGTAAGCACAGTAAACCCATTTTCTTTTCACCTTTTGACTTTCTACCTCCTTGATCATTTTTAGTGACTTCTCTTGGGTCATCTCTGGTTTCTCTATATTTTGTTTTTTAAAACTTGGCATCCCAAACCACCCACATTGCTCTAACATGATTCCAGCTATGCAGAGACAAGCTGAAGGAATTACCTCCATCATCAAGTACTTGACCAGCCCTTTTGCTACTTTACGTTATTTAATCCCACAGCACATGGAGGGGCAGATGCTATTTGGGGCTCAGAGAAGGTATTTGGGGCTCAGAGAAGTTAAGTAACTTACCAAGGTTCTACCACAAATTAAATGGCATGTCTGGGATTTGTGTCCAGCTTTGCCTGACTCCAAAGCTCATGCTCTTTCATTATATACCATGCCTCTTTTTTTGCTGGTATTTTTCTTGAAATATTCTTTCCCATAGTCTTGAGAAGCATTGCAGCACAGGCTGATGCATTTGTAGCTTATGGTCAACAGTGATAACTGGGCTTGTTTTGTTATGTTTGCACCTAGCTGGAATTGCTAAGCCCTTCTGCTAAATTCCAGAAACCCCTTCCAACCTTCTAGATATGGCATAAAAACCAGCAGGACTGTCCAGCCCTAGCCCTTGTAGGGTCATCAGTGGGCCAGTGTTGAGATCTCCAGGTGTCAGGAATGACTTCCCTGAAAATGAGCTTTCTTTCCTCTGGCCCAGAGCCTGTGAATAACTGTCAATCCCAAGACAGGCTATTTCTCAAAGGCTAATCAGTGAGAGGGGATGGAAAGGATCCTTCTGAGTGTGTTAAAAACAGATCTTCCCAGAGCTTGAAACTTGAGGACATTATGCTCAGTGAAGTAAGGCAGTCACAAAAGGACAAACACTGTATGATTCTACTTCTCTGTGGTACCTAGAGTAGTTAGAGTTTCAGTTTGAGAAGATGAAAGGGTTCTAGAGATGGATGGTAGTGATAGTTGCACACCACTGTGAAACGGTGAATTTTTTTTTTTTTTTTTTTTTTGAGACCAGGTCTCCTCTGTCACCCAAGCCCCAGGGTACAGTGGTGCAATCACAGCTCACTGCAGCCTCGACCTCTGAAGCTCAAGCAATCCTCCCACCTCAGCGTCTGGAGTAGCTGGATCTACAGGCATATACCATCACACATGGCTATTTCTTTTTTAATTATCTGTAGAGATGAGGTCTCATTATGTTGCCTAAGTTGGTCTCTAACTCCTGGGCTCAAGCCATCCTCCTGGCTCAGCCTCCCAAAGTGCTGGGATTATAGGCATAAGCCACCACCCCCAGCCTGTGAATGTTCCTAATGCCACTGAACATCCACTTAAATATGATTAAAATGATCAATGTTATGTGTATTTTACCACAATAAAAACAAGCTGATCTCTACATAAAGCAAAACAGCAATTAGAGGTGTCTCAGGAGCCAAGTCTTCGGTCCATTGCATATTCTAGCTTTGAGCCCATAGTCACTCTGAGTTAGCTTCTCATGAGAAAGGTGCAGTCTTACTGCACAGAGATGAGGGGAGCTCTTTTTTTCCCTGACAAATTTCTCCATCTAGGAAGTTTTTCCAATTTCACACAAATGCCTTTACCAGGATTTAAATCACTTTCAACAGATGTCTGGGGGAGGTGAAGCAGCCTCACCCCCAGGACTCTGGAATGGGACCTTTGTTCATACTCACTTTTCTATGGAGAGCTTCTTAGTCTTAGCCCCCTGTCTATCAGGGGGTAGGCTAGACCTTTCTCAGAAAGAAAACAGAGCTGCACATTGTATTTGATTGTACCAAAGTAGTTGTAGCTTTTTTGGAAACACGAATGAGAATTTGATTGAGTACTCAATATCTAAGAATGTTTGATCTGTGTTTCATTGGAGCCTCTGGCCCTTGAAAACCTGGGGTCAGTTAACCAATCTGATTCACAGGCTCTTTTGAGAAAATATAGCCAGACTATGTAGATTGGGACCCTAATCCATAAAAATTCTCTTTAGAGTATCTGTTTAGAGTCACTGTGGGTGTATTTGCTTATTTGCCGTGTATATTTCCCTTTTCAGGAATCATTAACCAATGGCAACAGGAATCCAAGGATAAAGTGATTTCCCTCCTGTTAACTCATCTGCCTTTGCTGAAGCCAGGAAACCTCGACGCGAAAGTAGAATATATGAAACTGCTGCCCAAAATCCTGGCTCACTCTATTGAACACAACCAGCACATTGAGGAGAGCAGGCAGCTGCTGTCCTATGCTTTGATACATCCAGCCACTTCGTTAGAAGACCGTAGTGCTTTAGCCATGTGGCTGAATCACTTGGAGGACCGCACGTCGACCAGCTTTGGTGGCCAGAACCGAGGCCGCTCAGACTCTGTGGATTATGGACAGACACACTACTATCACCAAAGACAGAACTCTGATGACAAGCTCAATGGGTGGCAGAACTCTCGGGATTCTGGGATTTGCATCAATGCCTCCAACTGGCAGGACAAAAGCATGGGGTGTGAGAATGGCCATGTGCCCCTCTACTCCTCCTCATCTGTCCCCACCACAATCAATACGATTGGAACCAGCACAAGTACAAGTAAGTTCCCCGGAATCCCTTTAACGTAGTCTGGTTTGGCGATTTGCTGTGTATGTGGCATGTCCTGCTGACAGTGTCTGCTCCATGCACCCTGTGACCCTGGGAGAGAAGGACTGATTGGAATTGGCTGTGGGAAAGGTCCTTTGGACCCCATATTTGTTGCTCTTTGACTCTGCAAAGATGAAAATACTTGGGAAGGTAAAAGTGACTGATGGTCCAAATTTGGGTTATAAACAGACCAAAAATAAATAGACAATAAATGAAAGAAGGAAACTTGCCGTTTCCACAATCAGAAATGCATTTCACCCATGTCTTTCACCCTGGGGTTTTGGATTTGCTGAGACACTGAGTTACTGTGTGATTCTCTAAACCTAATTCTAACCCATGGTTAACCAGGCAGCCTCATGGGCTTTGTGCTTTCTCTTTATTTTTTTTTTCCTCTTTCTTTCTCTTTATTTATTTATTTTTTCTTAAATTTCACCCTGGAATGTTTCCTCCCTTTGCATTTTCTGGTTTTAATCCCCAATTGTTGGGGCACTTTTTTCCTGACCAGTGGGAGCAGGTTTGCTAACTGAGAATGCTGCTGTGTGCTGTGGCCTGGTGAGAATGCCATGGACTTCTCTCGCTCAGTCCAACACCTTAGGAGAGGTGGGTCAGGAACTGCTTTGTGCGTGGGGAGAGCGGAGGACAGCCCTCTGCTCTTTTGACCACTAAAGCAAAGTATTGCACCCTCAGCTGGGCACTGGGGCTGGGAGTCCTCTCTGTGTCTCCCCACTGAGGCTGAGCAAAGTGACAAACACACCATTGGTGTCTGTATAAAGTAGCGGTGTGGAAGTGCACCCTGTCTTCAAACAGCGTTCCTTAATGCTAGTTTGCACCTGTCCATGAATGCAGTGGCAGTGCCAAGATAACTTTCTTGAAGGAATGCTTTTGCAATTAGACCTCGTGTGCCTGTCTTCATGCAGGAACCCCCAGTTAAAAGATATGAGAGGATTAATAATTGGGGTGCCGGCACAGAGACTCAGGCCTGTGATCCCACCACTTTGGGAGGCCTAGGCGGGCAGATCACTTGAGGTCAGGAATTCAAGACCAGCCTGGCCAACATGGTGAAACTCTATCTCTACCAAAAAATACAAAAATTAGCCGGACATGGTGGTGTATGCCTGTAATCCCAGCTACTCGGGAGGCTGAGGTTAAGGAATCACTTGAACCCAAGAGGCAGAGGTTGCAGTGAGATGAGATTGTGCCATTGCACTTCAGCCTGGGCAATAGCATGAGTCTCAGAAGAGAAAAAAAAAAGAAAAAGAATTGGCAGTGATGCCTTCTTGGCATCTGTTCCTACTTGGATCTTTGGTTACCAGGACTCTTTAAATGGCTTTCTCAAATAGGTAGGATTGTTGAGTTACAGCTACATGAACTGAAACAGTACCTCAGTGGAATAACCAAGCAAACACTGAAGATACTGCATTGATATTGCTACAACATGGGATTTTTTTAAATTCTTTTTTCTGCTTTTCCATTTAGATATGGTTAACTTGCACATTATGGGAATTAGGTGATTACTGCATCTTAATTTATTATATAAGAGGTTCTGATGACACTGTCTTTCACAGACTATAATCCAGCAGGAACAGTTTACTCGTCTCTGTATGATAAGGAGTGATGACATGCAGGCAGATGACAGTCTCTTGGTCTAAGTTTCCTGCATCAGCAACAGAATCTAGTAATTGTTACAAAACTCTTGAATAGCTGGGAGAGATGCAAACTCTAAGCTGCCTGCCCTCTTAAAACTTGGTCTTTTGTATTTTAAACAGTTGAGTTTTATGTCATTTGTCTCAAAATTAGTCTTGGGTCATTATATATTTCTATCTACTGATTTATACATTCAGGATCAGGTCTTGACATTTAGTACATTTAAGATGGTTATCAGGTTGTAGTCATCAAGCACCTATTTCTGGCTGTGGCCACCCAGCCAGACCCATAGAGGGTAGAAAATTTGTAGATGACTGTCATGGCCTTACTGACCTCTGAACCCCTATGTAATACTTGAGTGAAAAGGACTTGGAGGCTTAACCAGATGACTAGCTGACATACCTCTGGAAGAAGGCAGGCATCGGAGCCCTCTTCCAGAGCATCAGAGAAGATCAAAGAGCTCAGATCTCCCCTCCAGAAAGTTTCATTCAAACACTCATGACCATATCAACACTTATATGTCAATAATATCTCTTTAAGAAAATGCGAATGTCATTGCTGTACTCCTCTGTGTTGCCTATGGTGGTTCAATTGTGTGAGTCAAAACTCCAAGCCTTTGGGTCACTTGTTCACTCATGCCTCTATCAATAAACCCTGAGCACCTGGGAGGCAGCCTGACAGAGGGAAGAACAAGGACTTTGGCATCAACGCCTCCTAGGTCCAAATCCCAGACAGGCAATTTGCTAACTACAGCTTGGCCAAGTAATTTAACCTCTCTGATCAAGGTGCCCACTTGTAAAACTGGAACATTCACAATATCTACCTTTGAGGGCTGTAGTGAAGGTAAATAAGATTATGTAAATGCCCAGCCTGGTTGCAGCAGCAACAGTAAGCACTCCAGGGGTACCTGTTAGATGAATAAATGAAAGAAACTGGGAAAGACGGTGAGGAGCTAAGTGTTAACACTGATATGCAGAGTCTTTGCCCTCATTTTCAGTTCTGATGGGCGCCTGACATAAGCACCTTACCCTGAGCCCAGAGCCATGCGCAGTATTCTAAGGGGCCTTGAATATGCTGTGATTTTTGGCCATTCCACTGCAATAGAAATTGGGTTGGACTTAAGGCTTCTTCTACTGCACTGAAGAGCTACACTTCTTACCTCTTTCAAAGTGGAAAAACAATCTGCGTAAGACAATATGATGTTAAAAACAAATCAATTAGTACTACACATTTTCAAATTATCAGCCACGTTAATGATGTTGAATAAAAGGTAACCAGAAGGCCAGCCACCTCCTTAGTTTTTGTTTTTGTTTTTGTTTTTGTTTTTAACCTTGGTTTATTCCACTGCTATTTTATTGCTCAGTCATTGTGCCTTCAACAGAATGCCTTAGCATTCGTGGCTTCCTCCCTGTATGGATTCCCAATCATTCAACTACCCCGCAAATGCTTCCTGTCCATCTTCTGTGTGCCTAGCACTGCGTGTAAGTCCATGGGAAATACCAGGAAGCTGAAGACCCTGTTAACACTTCCAGGGAGCCTGTAATTGGAGAGATATGATATATGAATCAGTATCACAATTAAAAATTAAATATTCCTTTTTGCTGGACTTATCATCCATAGAAATTTCATATAACAATTCATGAGTTATATAAAAGTGCAGTAAAATAATACTCTAAGAGCTGCCACAAGGCATATAGGATGAAGTGCCAGTTGAATGTAGGCCTATCCTGTAAGTGCTGTGAATGTACAGAATGGAGAGATCCTTGTGAACTGGAGGGTCAAGAAAGCCTTTGGGCCAGGTACAGTGGCTCATGCCTGTAATCCCAACACTTTGGGAGGCCAACGTGGGAGGATTGCTTGAGGCCAGAAATTCAAGAACAGTCTGAACAACATAGCTAGACCCCATCTCTTCAAAAAAAGAAAAAAAATTAGTCTGATGAGGTGGCTGAAGTGAGCTGTGATCGTGTCACTGCACTCCAGCCTGGGTGACAGAGCAAGACTTAGTCTCAAAAAAAAAAAAAAAAGAAGAAGAAGAAGAAAGAAAAAAAAGACCGGGCATTGGTGGCTCACACCTGTAATCCCAGCACTTTGGGAGGCCAAGGTGGGCAGATCACTTGAGGTCAGGAGTTCAAGACCAGCCTGGCCAACATGGTGAAACCCTATCTCTACTAAACATACAAAAACTAGCTGGGCATGGTGGTGCATGCCTGTAATCCCAGCTACGCAGAAGGTTGAGGCAGGAGAATTGCTTGAACCTGGGAGACAGAGGTTGTAGTGAGCCGAGGTGGTGCCACTGTACTCCAGCCTGGGTGACAGAGCAAGACTCTGTCTCAAAAAAAAAAAAGAAAGAAAGAAAGAAAAAAACCAGGAAAGAAAAAGCAAGCTTTTGCAGGGGAAATGGAAAGTGAGCTAAGATGGAAAGAGGAAGGAGAGTCTGGAGGGGAGGGGGCCCCTGGGTAGGAATACGCACTGAGAGCAAAGGGACGGGGGTCACAGTGTGCAGGCAAGATGGAGGACAGTGAAGAGGAAGAACAGGCTCATGAAGGGAGAGGTAGTGAAGGCAGGTGGTAAAAGTAGGCTGAGGGAACTGCCCCGAAGAGGCCAAGCATTGACACCCTAGGCATAGGAGTGACATGCTGTATTGGGGAAATGGATTATGAGCAAACCAGATGAGTGGCATCTGACAAGTGCAGAGTCAGCAAGTTTCAAAGTTTTGAAGTAATAAAAGTATCATTAGGATAGGAGCACGTATGGAGCAGAAGGAATGGATACTAGAAATGTTCCTAGGTGGAATTATTAGGATTGGGATTCAGTATTGATATGGACATACTTTTTTTTTTTTTTTTTTTGAGACAGGCTCTTGCTATGTTGCCCAGGCTGGAGTACAGTAGTGTGATCATGGCTCACAGCAGCATCAACCTCCTGGACTCAAGCAATCCTCCCACCTCAGCCTCTTGAGTATCTGGGACCACAGGCATGCACCACCACACCCAGATAATTTTTGTATTTTTTGTGGAGACAGGGTCTCCCTGTGTTGCCCAGGCTGGTCTCAAACTCCTGGGCTCAAATAATCCTCCTGCGTAAGCCTCCCAAAGTGCTGGGATTATAGATATGAGCCACCACACCCAGCCTGACATACATTATTGATTTACTCATTTTTTCATTCACCTAGAAAATGTTTATTGAGTGCCTACTGTTGTGTCTTCCCTGCTCAAGGCACTTGAGATGTATCAGTGGATAAGACAAAGCTGCCTTCCCTTGGGGCACTGGCAGTCTAGTGTGTACAAATTGTAGTATATAAATAAAGTATATGTGTGGTAGAAGATGATAGGTGATGTGGAAATAAGAACAAGGGTAGGATCAGGCCTATGTAATGAGGTGACTAGACCATGAAACAGGGTGGTCAGGGTAGACCCCTTTGAGAAAGTGGGGTGTGAGCAGAGAGTTGAAGGAGTGGAAGTTAGCCAAGTGGGCATCTGGAGCAAAGAGTATTCCAAGCAGAGATAAAGCTGGAGCAAAGATCCCAAGACAAAACAGTGCCTGACTTGCTAGGGGGAAAAACAGGAAGGCAGACTTGCTAGGGGAAAAAGCAAGAAGGCTGGTGTCTGAAAGGGATTGAACGAGGTAGACAGTGGTCGGAGAGGCTGGAGACAGAATGGGCATTGTAGGTCATTGCAAGGACTTGGACTTTTGCTGTCAATAAACCAGAAAGCTATTGGAGGATTTCCAACAGAAAAGTGACATGATCCAACTCACATTTTAAAAGGTTCTCTTTGGCTGCTGTCTTAAGAATAGATAGGGCAAGGACAGAAACAGGAAAACCAGTTAAGAGTCTGTTGCAGTAATCAGGCAAGAGAAGATGGCTCAAACCAGGATGGCTACAGTAGAAGGGTGAGAAGAAGTCAGGCTCTAGATATATTTTGAAAATAGAACCAACAGGATTTCCTGACAGAATAAATGAAGGGTTTGAAGGAGAGGATTGAAGGAGGACTCCAGTGCTTTTTGCCTAGGCAACTGGGTGTTGCTATCAGTTGAGACAGGGAAAGTCTTTATCAGGTAGAGTAGGATTTGGAGTAAGCTCGGGAGTTCAGTGTCATATACGATGAGTTTGGCATGTCTGTTGGAGATACTGAGTAGGTAGTGGGATATATGAGTGTGCAGTTTGGGAGAGAGAAGTGGTCTAAAATAGACATTTGGGAGTTAGCAGCACATGGGTGGTATTTAATGCTAGGACTAAATGAAATTGCCAGAGACTGGCAGAGAGAAAAGGCAGAGACTGTAGATAAAGAAGGCCAAGGCCCCCAGGCCTGGGCACCTCAACCTGAAAGCTGGAGAAAAGCAGGGGAAGTAGTAAAAGAAACTAAGGAGAAACCCTTGAGGTTGGAGAAAACTCAAGTGTGTGTGCCTTACAAAGCACATGAAGAAAATGTTTCCAGGAGAGAAGAGTGATCAACTGAGTAAAATGTTACAGATAGGTTAATGAGATGAAGACCAAGGATTGACCACTGGATTTATCAAAGAGGGATAACAGAGGTAAAACTGAGAGCACTTAGCACATGGTAGGTAATTAAGGGATGAAAAAAGTTAATGACTCCAAAGAGATTGGAGGTAAGAGGGAGACAAACTGGCCACATGCTAGATTTTGGATGTATGTTTATGTTGAGATGTTGGAGCACTGAGATGGAGAAAAGTGATGTTTAGAAGGCATTAAAAATAGGTGATAGAGGCCGGATGCAGTGGCTCACTGTAATCCCAGCACTTTGGGAGACCCAGGCAGGCAGATCGCATAAGCTCAGGAGTTCCAGACCAGCCTGGGCAACGTGGTGAAACCACATCTCTATAAAAAATACAAAAATTAGCCGGGTGTGGTGGTGTGTGTCTATAGTCCCATCTACTCAGGAAGCTGAGGAGGGAGGATCACTTGAGCCTGGGAGGTAGAGGTTGCAGTGACCCGAGATCACACCACTGCACTTCAGTCTGGGTGACAGAATAAGCCTCTGTCTCAAAAACAAACAAACAAACAAACAAAAAACAGAAGAAAAGAAAAAAATAGGTGCTATAGTTACACAGAGTTTTGAAGGACAGGATTAGAATAAGGATGAGTAGGAGCCAAAACCTAAGTCCTAATCTAATGAGAATCTACGTATTTTCATTCATCGAGAGGCAAGAGTATCTTTTATTGGTTGCAGAGGTTAAGTCAAGTGACATCTCAAGGACCTTTTCTACCATGAGATAAGGGAAGAGTGGGTTGGGATAGGTTGAAAAATCTGTTATGCAGCCTTTTGGATGACATCAGAGCACTTCAAAAGAAAGAGAAGAATGTATTTTTTTAGCACCTTGTTCTAGTAAGGCCACTCAAGGGTATGCTGACTAAGAACAAGAATGTGTGTGTTCTTCACCACGAGCCTGTAGGACCAGACAGGATCAAGGTATTGGCTGTGACAAACCTTACACAAGGCTTGGTCAACTTTGTTTCACCCATCAAGAGCAATTAATTCCAAATATAGGCAGATAGAACCCGGATTAGCATCTCTAGGTTTGCTTCCTGTCTAAGGTCTGTTATAGAAGAAAAGTAAACCATTCAGGCAAAGAATAAGTATTTCCTGGCTTTCTTAAGAGCCTACAGAATTCCCCTGTGTGGTTGTCAGTGCTACCTCAGTTGCCCCAAACTGCCTTTCTGACCCTTGTCTGTTCTTCCCTGGTGGACCTGGACCTGGAAGAAATCTCTGTGCTACAGCTACAAATGAAACTTGTTTTTATTCAAATAATTGCAACACTTGACTTTTCTTTGCATTATTGACATTTGGATTTGAAAGCATGCTGGCCTTTGTTAGCCCAACATGAGGTAAGAACTCAGAAACTTTGGATACCTAAATTATGCCAAAATGCTCCATTTAATCTGTCCACTTCTACAGATTCATGGCACATTGTGGAATCTTAGTATTTATTTTATTAATCTTGATTTTTTTCTGATGATAAAAATGATGTGTTTGGTACCATAGAAGATAAAAAGTAAATTAACAATGATAGCACACACCTACATAGTGTTTACTATATATTGGGTACTGTTTAAAACCCTTTACATAAATATTAACTCATTGAATCCTCATAACCTCATGATGGTGGGTATTATTGTTATCCCCATTTAACAGCTAAGGGAACTGGAGCACAGAAAGGTTAGGTAATGTGACCAACATCACAGACCTACTAAGTAGTTCAGCTGGGATGTGAACCTAGGCAGTGAGGCCCCTGGAAATCGATGTTATTACTTGCCTCTCCCTCCTAATCCTATCCTCAGAATTTGAATGAGTAGCTAGTAGACTCTTGCTTTTCTCTGACCCTGGATTTGGCCCCATACAGACCCTCCAGCTTCCGTGGTCTCCACAGCCCACAGGTATGAGACCCTGCCTGAATTGCCCCATCTCTGTGACTCTCTGAAGCAGGGAGCAGTCTTTGCACCGATCCACACAACTCGGTGTCAGCTCTTAGCATTTTGTGTCAGTTTTTGGTCGCCATGTTCACCTATCCTTCCCGACTGTGAGCTCCTTGGGGATAGGGGTTGTATCTTCTTTATCCGTATTTCCCAGCACCTGGGATAATGTGTGGCTCAAAAAGTCACAGAAATTTTGGAAATGTCAAATTCCTGGCACAGATTCAGCTGCAGTGGCAGAGCACCTTGTTGGACGATGGCCGTCTCTTGCTAAGCCCAGATGTGGCCTCTGAATCATCCTCAATATGCCCCTCTAGGCAACCACTATAATTCAATAAGAGATGGCATGTGAGCTGAAGCTTGTCTGCCCACCCTGCCATAAATGTTTGCTGAACAGTAGGGACTTAATAAATTCCTGAGCTCACTAGGCACATGTTCATGAAAATAATGAATTTCCAAAATAAACAAGAAAATGTCCCTAGGAATTCACTAAATATTTGGTGATAATATTGATCATTTAGCCTTCTGTCATAATCACCTTAGTGACATTTATTGTTACTCTTGCTCCTTTTTGACTTATTTGACCAAATCAGTTTCAATACTAACAGACTTTTAAAAACATACCTTGATTATAGAGATAGTTACATGAATTTATACATGTGATGAACTGCCATAGTTACAAATGTATACCCAAAAAAACTAGTGATCGTAAAAACAGCTGAGATCTGAATAAGGCCTGTAGTCTAGTTAGTTGTATTGCATTAATGTCAAGCTTCTGATTTTGATAATGCACTATTGATACGTAAGATGTCACCTTGGGGGAAGCTGGGTGATGGGTACATGAGACGTCTCTGGGTAGTATTTCTGCAATTTCTTGTAAATCTATAATTACGTCAAAATTAAAAGTTAAAAAACAAAAATTACTTGGGATATTCAGTGCCTGGATTTTGGAGGGGTTCGGGGGAGGACATTGGTTTGGTCCTTGTTCTTGGTCTTCCTGAGGGGTAGAGGAAGTCCTTGCATTTATGGAAAGGATGGCTGCTAGGCCTCATAGAGCCAACATCTGAAACTAAACAACTTCTGCAAGCAAAGTGGAGGACGAGTAGGAGTGAATCTCAGGGAAAGTGGCTCCCTTAGGAGCCCCTGATCTGCTACGGGAAAAAAACCTCCATTTCTCTCAGCCCCTAATGCGGCAAGAGTCAGCGATTTCAAAGGTACTTGTTTTGCTCATGAAGTCCTTCCTCTTCCTTTTGCCCTTCACCTTTTTTCACAAGGCCACAAACCGCTTCAAGTGCATTTCAGTCAGCCTGTGAGAACCATCAGAACACAGATATTCAAGAGAGGGAGAGACACCAGGCAGCTCAGCTCTAGATGGGTCTGGCAAGGAAAGAGGCCTTTGCAAATGGCCTCTTGGAACCTAAAAAGGAAGGGTGAAGCCTGGGGACCCTGATTCTATCTTGCAGGCTGCAGGTCATCCCCACCCAAAGCCTTTGGAGCCACTGTTGTAGTCTGGAGTTCCTTTGAAATCTTTCATGGAATTATTTTGCCTTTTACCAGCAGACTTTCTTTCTCGGTGGAAAATTTCTTCCTCCCAAAAATCTAGCCAACCTGGCATGTAACTGAAAAATTCCATTATTTCCTTAACCCCTCATTTGCTCTTCAAAGAGGTAACTAATGAAAGAGTTGGTTTGCTTTCTTTGAGAAGCATTTATAACAGCTGGCATGGTATATTTTTAGCTTTAGCTTCCTTCCCCTTTGGGGGAAACTTTTTTTAGTATGGCACTGGCCTTCCTAATACATACTACATTGTAAACATGACTCAGTGATATCTCAGAGGACTCGATGTTGCCACCGGCTGATCCTTCTCCTGTTTCCAAGAGTCCAGGGTTTTTACCGGACTGTGTTTTTCCTCATCATGCCTAGTGTCTGTTTTCCAAGGCTTGGGGAGGAATGATCAGAAAAATGCTGTAGTGGGCGAGAAGCCTGCTAGTTGATCATGTGTTGGAGATCCCTCTGCCTGGAAAAAGCCAGAGACCTCCATGGGCTGCATGCACCTTGGGTCATGAGGCTGTGCTCTCCATCCCCCATCCAGGAAGATTTTTTTAGACTTCAGTGACAGTGAGGGTTATTAAACACTAGATGAGCTACAGAGGAAGACAGTTGTGTTCTCATTCCCCACCAGACTTTAAAAATAGGATGGATTCTGGCTGGAATAAATGGCTTAAGTTGGACTAGCCTGGAAGAGGGGAGGAGGAAAGGGGAGATGAACAGGATGGCTTCTGTAAGACCCTTTTTGAGCCCTGTAGTCTTATGATTTCTGTTATTTCACAAGATTTAGAGTCATAGACTAACTATAGCTGTTCTACAAACAGACAGGAAAACTTTTAAATTTGCATTTACTGATTTTTTTTTCTTTTAAGATTTCCCGAGTAAACTCAGGCTACACTAAAGAAAGATGTCTCATGACTGTAGCTTACACATATCTTTGATATCTTTAATTTCAAAAAATTAAACCTTTGAATTTCACGGTCTTAGGTACCGAGGTGAGGGTAAATGTTAGTGCCATCAACTATTGTCAATCTAGGGTATATTTTCTAACTGTTAAACACTAAATCTCATTCCGGCCATCTCCCATCCCCACCCCAGCTCTCAACATTCTATTAGGTAAAATACATTCTCAGGAAATCTCAGGTATCAGTCAGTTAAGAGCAGGGTGTGGAGATGAGGAAGCCAGGTGAGCAGGGGGCTCCAAAATCTGGAAAATGCTATAAAGGATTTTTGTGGGTTGGAGGAAGGCTAAAACTCCCAACATACTCCAGGGTAGTCATTCCTTGCTAAAACTTTGGACCATTTCCACAGACAAATTCCATGGCTAGAGCTAGACAGTGAAGCCAATGGGAGCACAGGGTTTGCTTTAGAGATTTGTTTCACAGCCAGCCTTTCTGAGATGCATCCTTTTGGAAAAGCCCAGCAAAACCCATATGGAGCTAAAAGATTTATAATGGATTACTTTATGCTTTAGTCTTCTGCTTTGCACAGTAAGACATTGCTATATAAAGGGAATTAATTATAAGGCTGTGAATAGTGTTTGAGAGATTCAAGTTGGTACATAAACAATGAGGCAGTCTTGATTAAGAACAACTTTGAAGTCAGACAAGTTGGTTTTAAAGTCCAGTTTTTCCAATAACTAGAGGTATAGTTATGGACAAGTTACTTGACCTCTAAGCCTCCTTTCCTCATCTATAAAATGAGAATAAATTTCAGTAGAAGGCTTCTTCATTGACTTGATCCAGATAGGTAGTTGATGCATTCATTGTACTAGCTGTTTAAAGAAGGGAATCATAACAAATAAGACTTTAAATGTATAATTTTATCTTAAAACATAAATATCTATATCCATTTTCAGCCTTTCGTATAGCATGATAGCCTTTTCTCTAAGAAGAGGGTACCTGACAGGTTGCTCTATGTCTTTCCTGCATAAATCATACCCTTAATACGTTACTGTCTTTGATTTCTTTAAAATGGAGCAGGAATTTAAAGGCATTTGCAAAAACATCAGAGCATAGACTCTCTAGATTCTAGTTTTTCTTTTTACAATTTAGCTTATAGTTTTCTCACTCACACTGAATTCAACAGTAGATTTTTAAGCAAAAATAATGAATATTTCTAAAGCATTTAAGTTTTTTTGCAGTTAACTTTATAACTTGTGTGTCATTGTTTCTGTGATGTGTTTTAAAATTACATATTTACAGTAAGTACAACTGGCATAAACAGGCTTGGGAACAACCTGTTTGACCCTTGGTACACCTACAAGTCAGCTGGTGGGAGCAGAAGGGCACAAGTAAATTACAGTGCTAGGGGAGTCAGTAAGCCATGAGCATCAGTAAGTAGTTTAAAGGGAATGGAGAGTAGTGGTTGGTCCAGAAAGTTGGTTAAGTGAAGATGAGTTAAGAGAGCATTTAAGGGTGGTTGTGAGGATTAAATGAGAAATGTGTGTAAAGCACTTGCCAGTAGGATAGCCCTTATTGTTGTCGTTATTACTGCTGGTAATAGTAAGGGTGCTTCTTCCACAAGCCCAGCCTCTGCAGTAAACTATGATGGAATAGGATCTCTGGGGAAGCCCTATGACAAAGCTATCCCATTATGCTAAATTGAAATCAAGATACTTTGAATCAGTTCTACAAAGAGCCAGCCTTCCACAAATACCATTATTCCCTTAAGGATTGTTCTAGTGATATATATTACTAAATACTTTAAAGTGGACCAGATTTTAAAATAATAAAGAGTAAGGTAAAATTGTGTTGATGTTGCTTCTTTGGGATCCATTATGAATAGGAATAGTTTTTTAAATTAGTAATAATTATAAGAATATTATTCACACTTTTAAAAATTATCCTTAAGTAACAGAATAGGATTTAATAGGAACAAATGAGGCTCTGTACACACATTCAGGCCAGGGAAGTGTGACCAGTCCCAAGAGGGCAGAGTATTTGAAAGAAAAAAAAAATTGCCATAGTGAATTCACTTCCAACTCAGAGTGTGATCTTAAACTCACGGGGATTCTCACTTCTTTATGAAAGTTTGGGGTTGGATGACCCCTAAGGCTCCTTCTTAGCACTTTTATTCTTTGCTTCCAAAGTAGAATCTTCAACTCAGAGAGTGCTGCTGATGAGTCGATAGTACTCATTTTGGGCTGGGTGGGGGAGGAGAGTGAAATGTCTAGGAGAAGTGGGATGTGACAAAGCCAGGAAGAGAGCCTCCTGCTGTATTCAGCATTAACTACATACTACGTGAAAAATCTAATACGGTTTTGGTCCCCCTAATTTTAAAAAAGAATGTGAAAAAATCAGTAACTGCTACCTGGAGTGTGAAGGGAAGTCTGGTGGACAGGGTGGGGGAATTATTTATCATCCTGCTCTTTGAAGTAAGCACCATATTAATGTCATGTATTACCTATTAAAAATATATAAAATGAGAAATACATGAGGATATTAGTGAAGAAAGAGGGGAAAAAGAAGATAGCCTAAAATAAAAAGCAAAATGATTCAGCCTGGAATAATAATGCTAAATAAGGGGTGATCTGATAATTTAGAAACGTATTAGAGTTTATTAATAGGAAACACAGTATCATGAGTTCCTTAGTCTCTGCCATATAGAAAGAAAAGAAAATTGGCAAAAATAATACTGGTTTAAGGTCATGGTGATGATGAAACTTCAGGAGCATGCTACAGTTATAAATGTGGATTCTAAAGAAAAAAAAATCAGAGGATCACCAAGTTCTGTTGCTTGGCACCTGAATCACAGGCCACTTGAAAGCCATTCTTGCTTGATGATTGTGGTTTCATCAAGACAGATTCTTTTGGAAGAAAAGTGGACTATTCGAAGGCTCTTTGTTTTAAGAGATCTGATAAATATTTAGCATGTTACTGGTCTTATTCAAGTACCAATAAGTCAAATATTTTCACAGTGGAAGCAGGGACACTCAGCTTTTGCCCTGTCTCAAAAACTACCCATTTTCGGTTAAAAAACAAACAACTTTTGCTATACCCAAGTCAAAACAAAGTCAGACATGTATTCCTCAGCTCCAGGTTCTTGAGAGGCCTCGATCGATAGGTAGAGCACCCAACACTGTCCTACAGAGCCTAGAAATTAAACTTTCTCAGAAGACAAGGGCTGACGAGAGGGTACATAGTATTAAGAAATTGAATATACTCTCTGTATCTCTTGTTAGTACCCAGGTGAAACATAGGAGACAAAACACATATTACAGAGGTGTCTCATTTTACACAGTGGGTATATTTCCAAAAAGTTGTTGAAGCAACCTTTTTTTAAATCAAATTATTTTCCCATTGAGTAAAACTATGATTCAGGATATGAATTTTCTTAGTTGCTCGTTAGTCTTCATTTGCCGGAACTCTTAAATGGGGGTAAGGTCCTCAGTTCCTGAGGGTCTCTAACAAAGTGAATATAAAGTATTGAAAACAAATACTGAAAAGATTTCTGTAGATGATTTTTTTGGCAATGTGTCTAACAGTCTTCTCTGATTGTATGTTGGGATTATTTAAGTATTAAGTATTCATGTTTTTTTCTTCTTCTCTGATTGTATGTTTGGATTATTTAAGTGGCTTGTGTTGTTTTTAACAAGTCACATTTATATGAAGTTGCGGGGCAGGGCAGGTGGCAGCTACAATGCCCCTCTCAGTGGTGCTTCTAAATGCAGAGGATGTAGGCTTCCCAGATACATCAGGAGTTAGAGAACTTGCTGAGGAGAGACATTGACATGATGATTTGGCCAGAATATTGCCCTGGGTCTGCATCCAATGCATGTGTTGGGAGAATGCTCAAGACTGCAGCATGCTTGCAAAGTTGGGAGAATTTGGGTGTAGTCATGAGGCCTTAGGGAGCTACATTGTGAGAAAGGGTGTTGTTCACATATGTTCATCATTATTCAAGAAATTATTTTGGCAATGGCCCACACCTGTCATCCCAACATTTTGGGAGGCCGAGCGGGGAGGATTGCCTGAGTGCAGGAGTTCAAGACCAGCCTGGGCAACATAGCTAGACCCCTATCTCTACAAAAAAATAAAAAATTAGCCAGGTGTGATGGCTTACACCTGTGGTCCCAGCTCCTTGGGAGGCTGAGGCAGAAGGATCGCTTGAGCCCAGGAATTTGAGCTGCAGTGAGCTATGATTGCACCACTGCACTCCAGCCTGGACTACAGAGCAAGACCCTGTCTCAAAAAAAAAAAAAAAAGAAAGAAATTTTTTTCATGCCTATGATGTTGTTATTCATTCTGCTAGATTTAGCAGCATAATGTTAATACCCCAACACAATGTTACATCCAAGTATTAATCTAAAAGTCCATAATGACATCTCTGGGTAAAAATGACCACATTTATAGATTTGTTTACTTTTGGCAATGTAGCTCTAAATTCACCTGGAATCTCAAAATATTGTGGCTAAAGTTCAAAGTCTGAGAGTCCTTGATGCCCAAGAGTGTCTCTACTTTGGGTATGAGACTGACAACGTGATTGAGGCTAGGCAGTCCCTGAAAGTGGATCTGAACTACAGATCCTAAATTCAAGGTAAGCATCTTTGCAGACCTCGCTGTTGTTCAGGAATGAGTATTGTCAATACTCAGAAAAAGGAGATGTCTTGCAAGCAAATATGTTGCTTGAAGGTTTTTTTTTTTTTTTTTGCTCAATCTATGAGATTTGTGAAAGAGAATTTAAAGCTGTGTATGGTCACAGTTCTTTCCCAATTTTCTGTTGGTGATTCTCTCTTTTTCTTGCTAGAGACAGCTGCATAATTTTTATTTGCTTCTAGAGCTATTCTCTTGCTCCTCTTCCCCCAGCCACTCAATCTATATGCAATTCAGAGACCAGGCTAATTATGGGGTGCTAGAGAAGCAGTTGCCCAGAGAAAAGCTCTTTAAGCACTCAACTGGGATAGAGCTGGGGTCACACTCGTGACCATCTCTCCATTCACGTCTGCATGTCTGCGTGTGAGCTGCCTTCCACTCTTTTGCAGTTGCATAAACAAACTTTTTAGAAAGGTCAACACAAGGAATGAATGCTTTTTCTTAAAGAACAGAGCAAGGAAAGATTTCATGTTTACTTCTTGAGGCTTCACTACTGGAAGAATAGCCACAAAGTGGCCAAGAAAGAAAGGATATGTTCCTCTCCTTAACCAGGGCTTTGTGTTTTTGGCTGCCCCAGCAATGGCTTAGGAGCAAGAAGCTTTATACACTCAAGAGCTGTACTCTCAAAATAGTGTGACTCTTAGTAAAAGGCCTGCTGAAACTCTTTGACCCAGATTGCTTTTGCCTGCAGGCTAGTTTTTTTGGGTTTTTTGTTGTTGTTGTTGTTGTTGTTTTTTCTAACTCCACTACATCATATTGGGTAAATGGTTTACTTCCAGAGATGTTAACCCTGTGAGACCATTCTGCCACCCTAAATGACACAGACTGAGAGAAACGAAGCATGTCCTGGAGAGTTCCCTTAAGAATCCTGACTTTGGGCCAGGCACAGTAGCTTACGCCTGTAATCCCAGCACTTTGGGAGGCCAAGGCAGGCAGATCACCTGAGTTCAGGGGTTTGAGACCAGCCTGGCCAACATGGTGAAACCCCATCTGTACTAAAACTACAAAAATCAGCTGGGCGTGTGGCGGGCACCTGTAATCCCAGCTACTTGGAAGGCTGAAGCAGGAGAATCGCTTGAACCCAGGAGGCAGAGGTTGCAGTAAGCTGAGATCATACCATTGCACTCTAGCCTGGGTGACAGAGCGAAACTCCATCTCAAAAAAAAAAAAAGAAAAAAAAGAATCCTGACTTTGGGAAAGAAGGGTTCAAAGGAACGCCTTTCCCCATTCCCCTTCCTTCTTGTAGAACAGCCAGCTTAGACTCAGCCTTTTGGAATCCTCCAGACTGACAAGGATTTGAATGGGGCTTTGGCTGGGCTATCAGAACTCTAGAGGAAAGGCAACCTGCTTGACACCCAGATTTATCTTCAACTTAAAGAACCCCACTGCCAAGTCTACACAATTGTGTAGACCCCACTGCCAAGTCTAAAATGGGTCCATGACGGTCATGAGGGTCCCATTGGGAATCACAGCCCTAAGCCCGTGACAGAGTAGACTTGAAGGCTTCCTTTGGTGCTGGAGAAGTTTGCTTTTCTTCAAGTCCTATCATTCAAAGTTGAGTCTGACTTTCCCAAATTGTTCCAGCTCTGATCCACAACTCCCAAATCTAGCAATGGAGGCGGCCTGGTTTCTAGGATTGAAGGGAGAATTAGGACAAATGACCCCTTATTTCTCAACATTCCCTTCTTTGTGACACACTGTTTCATTCCAGAACATGTGTTCATGGCACAGATCTGGCAGGGTTGCTAGTATACTGAATGGCAGAATCAAAGTCCAGAACGGTCTTGGGCAATATCAAGCTGTGGTTCAGAGCACACATGGTGGCGTGAGACTGACCTGGGTTTGAGTCCCAGTTCCACTGATTACTACCTGTGTGACCTTGGAGAAATAGCTTAACCTCTCTTGGCCTTGATTTCATCAACTTAAAAAGGAGTACTAAGTGCCACCCATAAGCGGTTGTGAAAGTCCTCTCTGGGTTTACATACAGTCTTTTTCTTGAAGACATCCTTCTATTCTCCTACTCCCATCTGTGTTAGTTACCCTCAGTCTAGCTTTCCTAGTCTAAAATATTTGCTTCTGCAGCTCTAGAAAATTTTCTTGAATTTTCAAAATAATTTCCTCTCATTAATTTTCTTCCTCGCTCTTTAAAGAATTTCAGATTAGATAATAGCTCCTCTCTATTGATCTTCTAATCTCCTTAATGTTTCTTCTCCTATTTTGTTTTACTTTTAATCTTTCTGTTCTACTCACCAGGTGATTCATATAACTTGATCTTTCAAACATACTATGTAATTTTAGATCTCTGCTATCATATTTTCAAATTCCGAGAGTTCTTTTTTGTCTTTTTAAGGTTCCTTTTTGTATTGCATTCTGTTCTTGTTTCATAGCTGCCAAATCTTTTCTAATGTCTCTGAAGATATCACATTTGATTTTTGGAGTTCTCTTCTGCTCCCAATATTGCCTGTGTTTCTTGGAGTTTTTTCTCTTCTGTTTGTGTTGGACTCTGTCTCAAATAAGAAGCATTCCTCAGTTATCTGTTGATTCTTACTTTCCTTTTATTTAAGAGGAAGGGACCTAGAACCTTATGTGTGTAGATTTCACCACAGAGAGATCAGATAGGAACCTAACCTGGCTGTTTTTGTGGGACTCACATATATCACCATCTGCAATTCTTTTCTCATGGACTAGCCCATTACCATTAAAGAAACCCATTACCAGCCTCCTCCTGAGGGATATAAGCCTTACTGCGAGGGTCCTAGGGCCTGTTAGGAGTAAGGTGCTAAGATGACAGTTGCCTTGCTGAGCAGGGTAGAAGGGAGAATCTGAGGATCTCTCTGTACCTTAAACATAAATTCTAACAAACCTATTTTTTTTTCTGCACGTGAAACCCAATGCAAAAACAGGTTGTCTATGAATGGCTTAGCACCAGGTTCCCCAAACCACCAATTTCCAGCCCCTCCCTGCACCCCTGCCTTCAGAGGTACCTGCTCTCCAAGTCCTGAGCTTCATGGAAGTTCTACCACATAAATTGCCATGTTTTCCCTTGCTATGGGCACACACACCACCTTTCTCAGGTCTTCTGAGCCAGTTCCCTCATGTCCTTCTGTCTTCCAGCTTACAACAGTTTGTTGACTTCAAGTGGTCTGCTGATAACCTTTTCATTTCCTGTCATCTTCTCTCCTGCATTCTTTGTCCTCGTGAGTTTGTGCCTTTGCTGTCATTTTTGTGAGTTTTCAGAAGGAACAGAGATAACATTCGCATAAATTGGCAGTCTATTTTAATTGTCTACTTGTTTATTATCTATCTCCCCCACTAGAATATAAATTCTAAGAGGTCAGGAACCTGGTCTTGTTCACCATAGCATTCCATTGTCTAAAACTCTGGCTGGCATATTGTAGATGTTCAATAAATGCTTGTTGAATGAATAAATGAGTGAATGTGCACATCAATGAATGGCATGTATTTAGATCTCTTTGTGTAGTCCCTACGCCCCAATAAATAGTAACTATCTTATCCACAATTATTTCAATTTTGAGGGTTAGATAATGAAACCAAACTTTATGCTACTTAGAGCCATTGATTTTAAGTGGGGATAAATCTGTCTCTCTTAAATAGAAATCTTTAATGGGGAGTGTCTGAAATGCTTTTACCTCTCAAGAGCTTCCTCTTCAAGCTCTTACTTTTCTTGATAGTAATCTTCCCACCATAACTCTCATTATCAATAGGATGTTGCCTATTTCTAATAGTTAAAATGAGGGCTGCATTTGGAAGGTAAGGGGCTGCCTGAAGATCACGTTGCCACATGGAAGAAGACTAGAACTAGAGCTCAGTTCTTCTCATTGGCAATGGTACCTTTAGCCTGTCACTTTCCTTCTCTCGGTTTCCATTGTCTTATCCAGAAACTAGGCTGGAGAGAATGGAAAGATTAATTAAATGATCCCTGAAGTTTTTTTGAGGCTCTAAAATAAGAGATTCTGCTGTTCTGCTTAGTTCTAAAGTGCCAGCAAATAATAAATAACTATCTCTAGGGCCTAGGTCTTAGAAATAGTGACATCCTTGTGAAAATGCCCAGTCTTTTTAAATGACAAATTGGACACTGTATTATAGCATTTTGTAGATAAATGATGGCTTCTAGCAGTCTACATATAAATATCCCATTTGTAAACCTCTGCATAAATATATTTTCATAATAAAAATCACAGAAATAAATACAACCTAAACTGATTAAAAAGATTAAGTATTAATGGTGAAATAAGTCTTTCATGGCGACTTCAGCTTTGGCTGAAGAAGATGTTGCTTTTTCCAGTCCATAAACAATACTTCACATCAATGGTGGCAGTCCCTCTGACCAGTTAGGCAAAAATGAGAAGGTCCCATAATATGTCTCAGGTGGTGGACAGCTAATATGAGAAGGATAGGTATTCAGAGTGCCCAGACCTGGAAAATCCCAGCCCAGAGTGAAGATGTGACAGCTTTGGTTCTGGAACAACCCCACTGGCATACAGTTGTTTATTTGATGTCCTACTTCCTGCTGTGTTTATGCTGTTCAAGCTGTTGTACAAATCTATAGGCCTCAACATTTGGGTCCTGCAATGCATAGCTCTGGTGTTAAATGAGGAATTATCTACTTTAGATCACAGACTTTATTTTTTTACCCTTCTTTGTCAAAAAGATACTGATACGAAAACTAATGACCATTGATATGCTGTGACGGATGAAGACCAAAAACATTAGGGTTCTAAGTCTTAGCGTCAACATCAACTTTGTTAAGTGACCTTGGGCAATTGCCAGATCTCTCTAGGTCTTTGATTCCTTAACTGATAAAATAGCAAGGGGAGTGGATTAGATGATATTCATCTAATCATGTATTTAATGTTTCTTCCTGTTTTAAAGTTCTGGGATTTTGAGTTAACTCGGGGGTAAATACATGAGGGAGACAAATTGCAGTGTTACCTATACCTTCCAGTCTTCTGAAAGTAATGTTCTTGGAGGAAGAGATCAAGAAATGTAGCACCATCATTTAAATTCCCTCAGGACGAACTCTATTGGACACATAAACAATAGCAACAACTTCTACTTTCAATAAAATGTCGGCATTGCTCTCTGCCAATTACCTTGACAGCCTGACTCAAGAATGAAAAGCTCTATACCAACCCCATCTGGTACCTTGTGAGTCAGTGTTCATTTCTGGGAGAACCATTCTTGAAGCACAGCTTTTCGTTCAGAGAGACATTATGGTTATCTTATATTTTTAAATAGAAAAAAAAAAAACCCATCTAGGTGTTTCTCTTAGGTCTGCTGCTCCTCCAGCATTTAATTTGAATTTGAAAGATTCTGGTTTGATTTTTTGTGTAGATGCTTGCCTACCCTGCCCTCAGAACACCCACAGAACAGCAGAACCGTAAGCTTTGTGCACCATTTGGGGAAAGCCCAAATGAAAAAGAGATGCTTTCCATGTGGTTGGGCAGGTGATTTCTAATTTAGTTATAGGGAATCTTTATGCTACTCAGAGCCATGAATTGTAAATGATTGCATGGAATAGCCAACTTGCAGACAGGGAAACAATATGTTTACCACAGAAGCAAGAATAGTTTTTTTGACTTTCATATAGATCCCCTGATACTGTCCCTCTAAAATGGAGGATTCAGAGAGGCATCTTGGTCCTGGTGCATTACCACCTCCTCAAAAACTTTCATTAGTCCTAGAAATACTGTGGCAAATTAATTGAAATTGAAATGACCTAAAATTTTTACATCCTTCAGCAATTCTTCACCTTCATGGAAAGTGTTACTTAGAATATTAACACTGCCTTGCGGCTTCTAGCTTCTGCGTGTTTCTGAATGATAGAAGGTGATGGCTTAATAAATGATAGAAAATACTGTTTGCATCTGTGCAGCCTTGTTTTTTATGAATGCTCTTTTTGGCATCAGTATCCCTAGCGACTAATACAGTACCTATGCAGAGAGATGCTCACTGTTCATTACATGAGTGAATAAATGAGGTTAGCTTAACTCTCTGGGAAGTTAACAATTAGCATTTTTTCATTTCATAAAGCATCTTCCCATACATCATTTTAGTTGGCCTTCATTGTCATCCTTCCTAGTGCTTAGCATATGCCCAACACCAGGCAGATGCTCAGCAAATATTGGATGGATGGATGGATGGAAGGAAGGAAGGAAGGAAGGAAGGAAGGAAGGAAGGAAGGAATAATGCAGGACGCATCTATTCATAGGACCCCCACAGCAACCCCGGTAGGTAGGTGGAATAAGGTATTACCATTATTGTAACTATTTTCCAGATGAGCATACTGAGGCCCTGAAAAGCTAGTGGACTTGTTCAGGATTTTGAATATCGATTGTTCAGAGTCAGGGTCAGTAGCTAAGCCCAGAGTTCTTTCTGCCATGAGAAGCAACACGGTGTCAGGCTAAGAACACAGGCTTGCAAGTGAGAGAACCTTGGATTTTGAACTCTGGCTCTTTCCACTGCTCAGCTGTCTGAGCTTTGACAAGTCAGCTATCCTCTGCACCTCAGCTTGCTATCTGTGAAATGGGGGTGGGAAGAGGGTAATGGTAGAATCTGCTTCAGAGAGCATTAAATGAGGATTAAATGGAACAACATGTTTACACATTTAGCCAAGAAGCCGACACATAGTCGGCACTGTCAAATGGTAGCTGATGATATTGTGTGCACTCTCCTGCGGCCTCTTTGGAGGCCAAAGGACTGGGAACAGTGGGCCTCACAGGTGGGTCTTTGGGTTGCATTTGGGAAAACAGCAGTACAATATCCCCAGCTCAGGGCAGGTAAGGAGGAAACAGCAAAAACAGAGTTCATTCATTCAGTTACCCTTCCATGAGATCCTAAATATGCAGGAAAAACCAGACATTAGGAGACCTGGGAACAGGGAAGAACGGTATAATTTGGTGCATTCCTTTCTCCAGAATCCAGCCCTTGTGAACAGCTGGCTTCTTTACCCTGACACCCTAACTGGCTGTTCTACTGGTATCATAAGGCAGACTTTAAAATATGGAGAAATAACGTGGGGACAATAATATCTCATCCAAATGAGCTGGGGTGTGAGAGAGAACCGCACTGCATAAATAGGCTAACAGCATCACAGGCAATTGGCTCTAGGAGGGGCTGAGAGACCATCCACTGGGCTGTAATGTCTTTTTCAACATTGTGACCTCAAGCTTTTAGGGCATGTCACATGGTGGGCACTCCACAAATATCCGATGAATGAATGAATTCATCTGCTCCAACCTCTTGCTTTGCATATGAGGAACCCAATGTTACCCAGACACGTAATAGGTTCTCAGCCTGAATTTCTTAAAATAATGGAGGTACTTAGAATCTTTAATAAGGATTTCAGTCAATCTGTATTGCTTACAAATGTCAGGACAAAGACAAGCTCTCATGAAGAGTTCTGGGCACTGAAATTTAGTGGAAAAGGAGGTGATTCACATCTCCTGACCCTCCATAAAATACACATGAAATGTGGACACTTAAAATGTGTGAGAGGAAAGGAAAAACCAAGTTGAATCTGAATCAAAGAAAAAAGATTCTTACCAGGAAAAGCAGAAGTTTGTCAGTATAGGTGAAGATTTTGAAAGAGCAAGGTGAAGTTTCTCTTCAGTATGACAGACCATGATGGAAAATTTACCTCTTGTAAATCTGTGAAACACTATCAAGTAATCAAGATATATTTTTCATGCCACATGTAATAGGCTGAAAATGCTGCATGAATGTCATTAGATTAGCTAGTACTTTTGAGATGATTTTTCCATTAGCAGTGTTGGTTTATACCAAGTTATTCTTACTCTAACAGCTAACAACTAATATTTCTAGAGCACTTTACAATATGCAAAACATTTTAATGTGCATTAAATGATTAGATTTTTTCCAATAATCACATAACGTAGCCTTTGTTATCTACTAATGGGGAAAACTTTAGGTACGGAAGTACAGAAGGGCCACATGACTTCCAACTCAAATCCCAAATTCTTCTCCCTTCAGCAGTCCGTTTTTGTTTTGGTTGATGCCTACCCCAACGTCAACAGAACAAGTATCAGCCAGCAAGAGCTGCGTATGTAGTTAGAGCATCTTAACCTTGAATGTACATACAAATCTCCTAGGGTCTTGTTAAAATGCAGTTCCTGGTTCAGGAGGTCTGGGGTGAAGCCCAAGAGTCAACCCTTCTAACAAGATCCCAGTTGATGCCAATGCTACCTGTCCATGGATCTAGAATGCAATTTTTTACCATTTGTGAGTTGGTTATGCTCTCACCAGCTGAATTTCCAGACTAAAAGAAAATGTGCCTGGAGCTTTCTGCAGCTGATTCACATTCAAATGGGGCCTGAGGCTGACCCCTGACCCTCTCTTTCCTACTTACAAGGGTGAAAATGACCACAACAAGAGGCAAGCACTATTGCCCAGGAGTCAAAATATTTTTCTGGGGAGTCTTTAGGAATTCCTGCCCAGGTATCATTTGGATTGGAACCCTGGTTCAAAATATCATTTACTTTATCTAGAGAGCAGTGCAAGAGTGATCAACCCTGAGCTAAAGAACCTGAACAGAATTTTGCATGGGAATCCAAAGCAAATAAGATAATCATTGATGGGAAAAGTGAGGGTATGAATTTTGTCTTTTAAAAGCCCCATGAAAACAAAACAAGATGCTCATTCTTTTGAGGCATCTTATTAAGACCAGCAGAAGCAACAGCCAATCTAGGGAGGTTTGGACTGTCCAAGATGTGGGACAAAGTTTGGGGGAAAGTACTGAGGCAGGAAGGCAGCCCAGTGCAGTGGTTCTTGACCCTGGCTATCGATTAAAGCCACCAAGGTGCATCTAAAAGTACAAATGCTCTGACCCTGCTGCAGGGATTCTCAGTGACTTATTCTGGAATGGGACCTGGGCATCGGGGTTTTTTTTTTAAAAGGCTCAAAGGAAGTTAAGTGTACAGCCAAGGTTGAGAACCACCGGTCTAGGAGAAAACTGTGGTAGGTCACAAGATGGAAGGTGGAGTGAAGAGTTTGTATTTACGTGTACAGATAGTCTATTACTCATTCAGGGTAACTGCATTCTATAAAGTTGTTGTGAACACTGAATTATTGAATATTGAATGATTGCTTCTAGAGAAAATACAGGGCTAGGTTCGGTCACATTTTTGTCAACTTATCAATACATAATGTTGTTTTATGTGTGTTTCTGTTTAAAGATAGTTTATTTAATGTATATTATTGATTAATTAATGTTGAACTCACAACAAAGAACACTGTAATTCATACCTGAATGAAGCTTATCACAACAGCCTTCTTTTTTTCCTTTTTTTTTTTTTTTTTTTTTTTTTTTTTTTTTTTTTTTTTGAGGTGGAGTCTCACTCTGTTGCACAGCCTGGAGTGCAGTGGCACGATCTCGGCTTACTGCAACCTCTGTCTCCTGGGCTCAAGCAATTCTCCTGCCTCAGCCCCCCGAGTAGCTAGGATTACAGGCATGCAACACCATGCCTGGCTAATTTTTGTATTTTTAGTAGAGACAGGGTTTCACCATGTTAGCCAGTCTGTGTCCAACTCCTGACCTCAGGTGATCCACCCGCCTCGGCCTCCCAAAGTGCTGGGATTACAGGGGTGAGCCACCACACCCAGCCTTGGGGGCCATTTTAAATGGTGAAATTGTCAACAGAAAGCACAACAATGTGAAAAATATGGCACTAAATAGACCACAAAAAGGACACTTGTTTATAGTAGAGAGCTGAAACAAGAAAGCAGCGCTTCACTTTGCTCCACCTTAGCTGGGAGCAAGTGCATGGGGAGACTTGAATTTTTGGCTACTGTATTTGTGTCTGTGTATGACCATGAAAAGGCCACGAGTATTGACTCAGGTTCCAAATGAATTTTAGCAATATGTGAGTTTACAAATATAGAATCCATGAATAATGAGGGTCAATGGTATATAGACATGTAGATGAACACGCACGCGCACACACACACAGACACACACGCACTACCTAGTTTGTATAACAGGTGAGGGGGAACCAGCAGTAAACAGGAGCAAAGGGAGCCCAGCCTCTGGATCTGAGCTGGCATCTGGGCTCAGCCCAGCCCTCCTGATCACCCTCACAGCCTGTTCTTTTTGCTGCTGGGGTCTGTAGCTCCAGACAGCCCTCTCCATTTCATATCCAATAAGAAATGAATGCTGTTCAATTCCTGTCCTTAAGCTGGAACGGTCCTGGGCGCTGAATTATGCCAGGAACCTCGAGCTTGCTGTGTCTCTGGAAGTCTTTTATTGCACAACTGATTTATAATACCCAAGTAGATGAGTTGAGAGCAATTACGTAAATGCTGTTTCTCTGGGGCAGAGAAGAACGGTACGGTTTAAATGAAAAATGCAGTGCCAAGTCAAAAATTCAAATCGTTATGTATAATTACAGACCACAGTAAATCAATTTTACAAACACAGTACCAATCTCACCATGTTCCAACACCCACAGGGTAAGGTTGTGATGGTTTAGAATTTGGTAAGAGGCTGAAGGTGAAGTGAAAGTGGGAATTGGGGTGTTGTGGAGCCTCCAGAGCTTGTCTGAATCACATGGCGATTCAATCAAATATAATTAAGGAGCCAGGAGAGCCTAAACCATCCAATTTCTCCTAATTAACAACAAAAAAATCATCTAATTAGTAGTGTAAACTCAAATTCTGGTTTTTTTTTTGAATGGTCATTTATGTGTATTGTTGCATTTGACATGTAGATTGAATGCTTTAATGAAAACAAGAACCAATTCCCTAATCAGTAAATTGCCCTCCTCACTGCCATGCTGAGAATCTGCTGTTCTCCTCCTTTTATCAAGGAGCTAAGTTAAGAATTAGTCAGGGCTACATAATACATTTCTAATTATTTACAGCCCTTCTCCTGAAACTAGAAAGAAAAGAAAAAAATACTGTTTGATCAAGGCAGAGTTTAGGGTTTCATACTCAGAGAAATCCTAGTCATGCATGTGGCTGCAAGGCTCTGCTGGCCGTAGGATTTAGGCATCCTCTGATGATGCCTGTCCTTACCTGATCAGTGAGAGCCACTGTTCCATGTTATCTGGGAGCCTTTAAGCTTCAGTGGCAGTGAAGGAAGACCTGGCCTGCGGTTCAGCTCAAGACAGGAGTTAGTAGACACAGTTTTAAAATATCCTTTGGTACCTCCATTCAAGCAATTGACTCACTGCTCTTCTTGACAAGTGCTGGTAGCAACAAGGTGTAAAAGGACACCCTGATGATTTGTTCAGCGACTCTGGCCATCTCCTTGGGACTGATGCTCTGAGAGGGTCTTGGTGGCTCAGTCATGAAATCCTGGCTATTTGAAGTTCCAAACTTGGATGGTCTTGCTGGTTCCCACACTCAGTAGCAGTCTAGGTGGTGCCGTTAAGCGCGGGATGGATGCTGTATTGCATAAACCTCAGAAGCACTTTCTGCATAGGCATGTGAGCTGATGAAACAGCACTTACAATTTGAGAGTTATCTTTTAAGAAAAGGGTAGGAGGCAAGTTTTTGTCATCTAGCTTCCTGAGTTTCTCTACTATCTCGCTTCTCTACACACAGTGACTGGAGCATTTTTACAGATACGTGGGAACATTAAAAAAGAAATATCGGCTTAAATTCACTCCTGGCCACTTGCTTAACTCCATTATTTTCCCTACTTGGTGAAATAATAAAATTCTACAGTTCTGTCTAAACTCATTTCTAGAAATATCTTCATTTTATGTGGATAGAAATTCATGGACAAACTTAAGGGTTTAGTATAATGGTAGATACAAAAAGAAACAGTACAGGAAAGTAGAAGTTAACCCAGTATGAAGGAGACTTCAAAATAGCCAGGTTGATCCCATCGTTTCTTGAATTAGCCTACACATTTGCTTCAAAGGTGGAAAATTGCTTTCATAGTTGATGGAAGTTGTCATTGGTTTTGATAGGATGGAATGAGAGGATTGAGGTAGTGTCCTTTTAGGATTTCTTGATTTGAAGCTAAGTGTGGATGAAATTTACTGATTTCTATTTAAAGTATATACATATTGGCTTCTTGTCTAGGTATTTCATAAATAATGACAATGTAAAGTCAAACAGCCGTTATCTAAAATAGATTTTCTACTGGATGACACCCAGTTTTGCCATTATAGAGGCTGACAAAAGAGGACAGATGAAATATACCAAAGATTAGTGCAATAATAAAAGTCTGCCAGAAGCATTCTAATTTATTTCTTAAAAGCTCAAATGTTTAAGTGATAATGTGAAGGCAGAAACATACATCTTTGCTCTGCCCAAAAACTGAGCCATCTGTAGAGTAGTAAGAGCTGACACCAGTGACAAGGACTCACGGTACTAGGAAAGCCTCCCCATGTGCTTTTCCCTGCATCAGAATGCTTTCATTTCAGTGCTGAATAAAAACGAGATGTCATGGGGGAAAGAGGAAGTTAGCTGTGTGTATTTGTCATCCCTGTTGTGATGTTCTTTGCAGCTTTTTCTTCTTCTAGAGTCTCCCTTTGGTCTGATTTGCATAGGCAAGTATACACTTTCTTTTCACCGAAAGTGTGTGGCTTCCTCCTTGGGCTTGTCAGGAACATCCCGTCCACCAACCACATCTTTGCTTTGTAGCATGTTCTCTCTTCTTCCCCCGGAATGAGGTGGAGTCCAAAGTCTGTTTAGGGGAATCGTCTTCTGGTGTCCAGATGTTCTAAGCACTGGTTTTTCAAGCCTTTGGTCAAGAAGCAGAGAGCAAGCATGCAGAGTTGAGGCTTTTAACCTTTCAGATTGGCTTTTAATCTATTCCCTGAAGCAGTGATGACAGAGCATGTTATTTTTAACCTTAGTGATTAATATTCCCCTCTCTTCCTCTCCCTTCTACCCCACTTACACAAATCTGGTGTTATTTTTTTTGTTGTTTGTTTGCATGATGTCACTGATCAAATACTCTGGTTTTGTATGTTTCAAAATGTATTCTTGAAGTACTATTAATCTTTTCTTCTCCAAAGATTCCCACCACAGGGCTTCAGATTACTGGTTGTGACACCACAAAACCAACTAAAGAAGAGGAATCCAGGGTGTAATATCATTTCACCACTGAGCCTTGCTTAAAATGTTGACTTTTTTAAAGCAAATGCCTGGAATTATTTATACAAGTGGTGTTAGCAGAACATTCTTTGAAAATTGAAAGCCTTTAGTGGTTCTTAGATGCTCTGAAACTGGTGTTATCGAAAAAATTTGTGGGATAGAAACTGGAATATCCCTGAGAAGCAGGCCGAAACCTAACAAAATGAACAGAAACACCCAACCCTTCCCAATTCCTTTGAAACAATCACCTTTTTGTAGCTAGCAGTGGGCTGAGCTTTTTCTTCTTTAGACTTGATAAGTATCAAACTATCTCCTGCAGCAAAACTTAAGAATTATATGCTGTGAAGCCTCAAATTTTTGTTTTCAGCAAAGGTTCTAGTGATACTTCTGAATTTCTTTGGGGAATGAGCCTAGAAAATATTGTTAAAGTAACAGATGAGTAAAATTAGCAACATAGAAGTAAAATTCTGCCCTGCTTTGTCCTAAGTATGTGGACACACAGCATACATCACCTGAGTCACAGGGAATTGGCCAGGACCTCTTAATTCAAGAAGAATATTGTAAGATATTTTAAAATAATGTGCAAACACTTGGCATCCTCATTCTACCTTTTAAAACCCCTAAATTGCTATGACTTATTTTTATAAGGTTTAGTTGTGCTAGCTATTTGGATTGAATTATATCATGTGAGCATCTTGAAATTTGAAAATTTAATGAAGCGTATGTTTTTCTATGAGAAAGGCAGCTTCTTGAATTAAAAATGAAGAGAGACTAGCTTAGAAGGAAAAAAGATTAAAGTTGCAAATCATCTCTATGTGGCTGGACTCATAGGGCATGATGAGAGCACAGAACCCAACCTTGGGTTGAGAACCCAGGGAATTTGGTTTGGTATAGAGAATGATATTAGGAGTGTAGGAATATTTAATGCCCTTATTCAAAAGGAAGTCAAATTTCTGACAGTTTCAGCAGCTTCAGCTTCTAGACTCTAAAACAAAATGCTAAGCCTGGAAATAGTTCAAAACACATAGTGACAGCAAAAAGAAATAATGGTTGGCTTGAATTTGAGGAGATAGTTGAACAATTGAAGGTATACAGCACACAGGTTCCTGAGGCTACCCAGACTGCCCATTGAAGGCTCACTCAACAAAGACGGCATAAAGCAACAAATCATCTCTGTCAAATGAGTGTGCTAGACCAAGAGTACACATGAACGGTGTAAGTTAATAGCTAATATTTAAAAATCGGGGTCCCCATTAAAACCACAATTGTATTTCAAATCTGCTGATTTTTTTAAAAAAGACGAAAGGTCTATGTACTCAGCATAGGTTTAATTTACATTATATTAATTTGTTGTATTAATTCCAATACCCTCTCTATATGTAGAAAAGTCATCCATGACATAGTATTTCATCCACTAACAAGGCTTGGTGTACGTAGGGATTTTGGGGTCTTTCTACTACCCAGAGACCCACAGCTCCCAGATTAGGCATTACTAAATTATATTCTTTCAGAAGGCTTCCAGTTCTAAAATGTTAGGAATATATGTTCATAACATTTTTAAAGCATGCTTTAAATAATTTTTAAATCATTTAATTTATTATAAATTATTAAAAATTATGCTTTAAATAATTTTTAAAGCATAAACTGCATTCAGCGTGTAAATTTAAAGATAGCAGAGAAATACGCAATGTATCTTTGACAAATCTTTGTTAAAGTTTGTTGGGATAAAGTTTTGGTGTAAGACTCAAGCTTCAGTTATCTGGACTATTTGCTTATGTGGATCACTTTTCTCCTTGACAGTGAGGTATGTATTTAACCTAACAATGAACCAAGGAGATAGTTGGGCCAGTATCCCAGACTTTCTTCCATCCATAAACCCCCTTATTTCTCATATTAGAAGGCAGAAAAAAGGTAGTTATAGTTAATTTTCCTTAAAGAGTACTAAATATTCTGAAACATCTTTTCCTGACTCTTATTTCAATAAATAAAATCGAGATGGAGTCAAAGTTGGTCAAAGGAAATGGGAAAGAAATCTGAATCCCAGGGTTTAAAGAAAATACTTAAATGAACAGAATGCAGAGCCAGGTGTCATATTTTCCCCGTAAAAGGTGCTGAAAGAGTTCTCATTAAAGATGCTAGGAGATGAAAAAATCATTAGGTTAGATGAGGTCAGAAGAGTTGACTGGTCCTGATAGTATGACCAAGTTTAAAACAAGATTATAAGAACCTCTGAACTCCCATCACACTGCCCGACTGCTGTAGCAAGATTACTTTTAACTGCTGTTTCCATATTTCAACTAGACTTACCTAATACTTATTATTTACTTCGGATTCATTTGAATTTAAAAAGTTCCAAAAATTAGTGTCCTAATGATATATGCATGCGTGCATACTGGCATATATATGTGTATATACGGATCTAAAATTTTTATAGAGGTTTTTAAAAATACAAGCAATTTTGGATTCATACTGTATACAATTATTAAATGTTGGTTTCCATGTTTTAAGAGGAAAAAGGCACAATTTTGTTCCCCTGAGTAATTTTCAGTATGCTTTTCAATATAATGAATCCATCCTGAAATATGCTGTCCCTCTACCCACACTATTATGAAAGTCACAAATGCAGTATAAATTGAGGACCTCAGTTCTGCTGGACTTGCCAATTTCTAATCTAGGTTGAGATTTTTTTTTAAAGGTATACTTAATTTGGCAGCATTTGAATAGGACTTCTGGGTAGCTGAGGTCTGAATGAACCGTTAGCCATTGTCTGCTGCACATCAGTCTACAAGCAAGAACATCTAGAAGCCTCTGGCTAGAGACATGCTGGGGCAGCTAGCACCACACTGCTAAGCTTCTCAGAAGTCTGTATTTACTACTCTTCCTGCCTACTCATAGGAAAAAAAAAAAACTTCTGCCCGAATGTCCATATGACCCTCTGTTTGTCATCACTTCAAATGAGATCTCTTAGTTTAAAAAGGGGAGGGGCTGGGGATGAAACAACCACTGCTACTCTGCCACTGGCCCCCTCGTCAATTCCACAACTGCATGGCCTATTTTCTTGTAGCCTCTTTCTGCCCATGACAGTATTTCCTCTGTCACTTTATGCCAAACAAAGTGCTCCAGCACAAGAGGTAACACCAAAATCAGCTTTGTGGTCACCATTGCCTAAACCTGAAGATCTGTCTTCACCCCAAATTGGCACTGTCGCCAAGGCACCTGTCACCTGTTTTAATCTCCTTCCCACAAGAATACAAGCCTGTACTGCCTCCAGGCCTTGGTTCCTTTGGAGAACAGAGGCATTTACCTAGCACGACTTTTGATTGAGGTGTGGCATTCAGCCTGGCTCTAAACCCACGGCCCTGTCTGCAAATCAGAAGCTTGGTGTGAGGCACTGTGCTTGGTTGCCACAGCACGTTGGCTCCTACGGAGATATTCCTGAATTTGGTGGCAGCAGTGGGAACCAAGAAGTGTTCATTATGATATAGAGTGTATGAGCCCTTTATAGAAAGTCATCAGGAAAAGACCCTGGCACCTCAGGTATAATTGATGTTTCCTTAGAGGCAGAGGCCAAGTTCATGTCATATCCCTTATGACTTCAGTTAAGCTCAGAAAAGTATGAAGAAATGGGTGTGGGTTTCTATGTACAAATCCCTGTAAGTCCATTAAGTTAGGTAAACATTTAGCTCCAATCTCAATAGCCAGTGAAGTCCTTGGATAACTGACAGCTTCCCCAAGGATGCCTCTCAGTGGAGGAGATAGCATGGATTAAAAAATCAGATGGAAAGAAGCATATTGGCTCCATGAAATAATGGAATTCAAGTACAGTGTACGTATTGTATTGTTCTCAGCATCCATGTGAAGATGAGGACTATCCTAGCAGTAACCTCCCGTGGTTAGCGATTAGTTACCTATTCAGTTATGGCCTCTAACCAGCCCAGGTACTAAGAGTCCCACTGTCTCTGAGCTGTGTGTCCCTCTTTGACAAGCCCTGTTTCTGTGATTTCAGACTGACTCTAATCCTGGCTATACAGAGGAACCCCCACTTCCACTTGGGGTACACCTGGCAGGCACCAGTCAAAGCATCCACCAGATAGTCTGAAACGGTTGCAGAAGTACCAGAAAGCAAAGATGTCTAAGCTGGAATGTCCCAGCACTCAGGGCAGCCGTAAACAGTCTGCCCAATTTTATATAAATACTTAGACAGGCATGAAATGGATTTTCTGGATGTCTGGCTTTTCTTCCTATTGGCTTCTCTTTTCATTTTTGCTGCCGCTTCGTTTTTTTTTTTTTCTTTCTCTGCTTTCCCCCCACTTTTCCTCTTGCTAATTCTGGTCCAACCAGGTAGCAATGCATTTTCCAGGGAGCCTTTTTAAATAGTTTCTTCCCGAGTCTATTTAGTAGCAATGCAAGCCATTTAAGCCTGTTAGTGTCGATATTTTTTAAACAATGTTCCCTTTGCATATTTTTAATTTAGATGACATTTCCTTGCCTTTGATAGAATCTACCCAAATTGGAAATTTCTCAGGTTACTAATACTAAACTCGGTAGCTCTCTTTTGTCCTCCCTTTTCATTCATAAAGAAGTTTCTAGCCCTTCCGATTGTCCCCACTTCACATACAAGGCTGCCCTTCTGGCCACACAAGGCCAAATGGAAACACTGACCACAGAGGCCTGAGCTCCGTGGCTCTCAGGCTTGGTGACTGCCAGCTGCCTGGCAGCAGCTTACCCAGCCCACTACTGCCCCAGACACACTTTCTGGAAACATCCAGCCTTTTGACTCTGCTCTTTATCTTTTGAAGTAGGGAACACAGTAATCTGCCCAGGCCTTTATGTTGGGACTGCTCTACCAGAAATATGGTTTAACCAAAAGCAGGACCTCTCACCATTGAGATGCCTGGTCTGCTTACTGAAAAACACAGATTAACACCCACAAAGAAGTGCTCATCTAAATTTGGGAGAGCAAATGCCTCATGGATGGGGATACAGCCTGAGATGGAATTTAATGGCTTCCCTGAAAAATGTTTAAAAATGCATGTGGCTCAATTCCGTGTTAGTACAGCAGCAGTCAAAATAAACTGGACCTGTCAGGAACTGGTGCTGAGAGAATGTTATGAATAGACTTATTTTGTAAAGTTGTCACTTTACACACCAGAAAAACCAACCAAGGGTAACATCGGCTCCTTCAGTGTTGGTTTTTGTTAAATCCCTCCCTCGAATGACTTCAATTTAATTTGGCTAGTTATATGAGTTATGTTGCTTTTTCCTAGTTTTCTGGAAAAGAAATTAAAGATGGGGGCTGCGCAGATGTTGCCCACTGTGTAGAAGGGCTGAACATGCTGGTAAAAACCATTCATTCCCAGCTTCCTGAATGAAAGCCTTGTTACCTGGAAGTGTTTGCAATACAAAGTTTGGCATTAACCTGTGAGGCTAAGGGAAAGAATCGGCCCTAGAAGAAGCAGCCCTTTCACCGACAGGTAGCTGCAGTGCCCCATACCCTGAGGTCATGTTAGTACTGGGGCCCTTGCTGAGCCATACCACCCTGCAGAGGCCATAGTTCCCTGAATCCTGGTTGGAAAGATTAGTCCACCTTCTTCTGGTTCAGCCCTGCAAAGATCCCAAACAATGGCCAGCCCGGCTGCCCTTCAAGATGTCCTCCTGAACAACATGGGTAATGTCAGAATTTCTGTTTAAAAAACAACAGCAACAAACTTGTCCAGTACATGTTCTTTTTGCTTTTGGCAGATATGGCTGTCAAGCCTTGCCTGATTTACGGACCCCGTCCTATGAATCCTGATTTCTAGAGTTAGAACCAAAACCAGATCCAGACCCACAAAGGCTAAGGACCAATGTGTGGGCACTATAGGTTTGGCCTCCTTGGAGAAACCTAACCCACTGAGAGGGACAGACTGCATCCTTTTAAACCACCTGAAGAAAACGACCATGCCAGGCCTGTATTCAACCTGCTGTGACCATGGATGGAGTTGTAAGACAGTTAGTGGTATCTCTCAGGGTTAAGAGGTATTGTGGGTTCTTCGGTGTCCCAGGATAAAGGGGGGGGAATAACCTATTTCATTTTATTTTTTTTTCCAGTTCTCTCAGGCCAGGCACACCACAGCCCTTTGAAACGATCTGTGTCCCTTACCCCACCCATGAATGTGCCAAACCAGCCTCTAGGACATGGATGGATGTCTCATGAGGACTTACGAGCTAGAGGACCCCAGTGCCTCCCATCCGATCATGCCCCCCTGTCTCCACAAAGCAGTGTAGCCTCTTCAGGAAGTGGTGGGAGTGAACACTTAGAAGATCAGACCACTGCTCGTAACACATTCCAAGAAGAAGGTAGTGGGATGAAAGGTGAGTGACTAAATGAGAAACCACTGGGGAAAGAGCCCCTCCCTTTATTGGAGACCAGAGGGTAAAAAAAGAGAGGTAGTCAGCAAGAGAGAAGGAGCCCACCCCTTCCCCAGGCTTACGCATTTGATCTGTCCCTTCCAGAACTCCAGGTTGACCATGGCAGAAAGGGCTCAGATTCCCCTTCCAGTGCTTCTTGCCAAAATCTGGGAAATAGGAACCAGAGTAAGAGAGGTCAACCCACTCTCTCTCTCTCTCTTTTTTTTTTTTTTTTTTTGCATTGCAGTGACTTGTAGACCATTAAATGAGTCACAGCTAATGGTGATAGGATCTTCTGTTTGTAAAGCTACTGAGCTGCTCCAACCTTGTACCTCATTGCTGTGGCCAGGGACCTGTCAGTAATTCAGAAAAACAAACCACGGGATTTTTTTTTTTCCTTTATAAGTCTATGTTAATGCAGAATTGCAGTAGTGCTTCCTTTCTCTCTCCTCTTCTCTTTGATATCCAAAGAAACCTTTAAACCCTTTCCTCTGCATCTATTTAAGGGACATGAAAATACCACTGAGAATCTCTAACAGTGTTTTAATCCTGATAACAGATTTGCATACAGGTGATAAAGGCCTTTTGTGTAGCATAAATAAATTCCTCCATTGCCTTGTGAATCTACCCTCTTCTAAAAGATATTCATCAGGAGATAGATTTCCAAATTACTTATGATAGGTACAAAGAGGATACGTGCATGCTATATTTTTAGACTCCACTTGTACAAGGGCTGGGAAGCCCTTAGGCAAAGATGCACATTCAGAGACACACTAGTAACAATTTTAGATGGTGAAACAGTAACCACTCATGCTTTGGGGACTAGCATGCTGAAGGGAGGCTCTGAGAACATCCTGTTTGCTGGCATTAATAGTCCTGAGGTTTGCTGTTTCCGATCTTCCCCTTGTGAATGATCAGTGTTGACATAGGAAGCTCTGTACTGATTCCCCTCCCTTCACGGAAGCCTGGCACAGAAAGCATGCCCATGACTGCCCAACCACTGGTTATAAGGGAGCACCGGACTGAAAAAATGGAGCTTGTCAACTCTGGGAATGAGGCTGACAAGAAGCTGCTCCCCTGGCACATTCCTTGAATCTTCCTCCTGCTTAGGCCTGTGTCCTCTCCATCCCACCCCCATTTCATTGATGGTTCCAGGGCTGAGTGCCCAGAGTGAGGGGATGTGTCTTAATGCTGATACAAATGGGTCTTTAAAGGTATATAACAGGCAGCAAAAGCCATGTGTCACTTGGGTACGAAGGGGATGTATGTCCTCTTTCTACTTCAGAGTTTTCAGGGGACTGTATCACAATTTTGGAGCACTAGCAAAACCCACTTCTGACTTTATGCTACATGGTTATGTGTTTAAGCAGCTGAGCCCCAGGTGATGCGTAGCAGGTGAGGCTCAACCCTGCTGTAGGTAGACTGGCTTGGCATCTGTCAATCGGCATCAAAATAGCTGAAAGACCAAGGGAGGCTGAGACAGCCGTTGCTTTTAACTAGCTTCTTTCCAGGTGAAGTTCAGTGTCTGTTTCCAAGAAAGCCTGTGTTGCGGTTCTAGTTGGTAACTGTGGGGAGGAAGCATTGGCCTTTGTGTTTGAAGGGTAAGGAGGATCCTATAGAAGGGCCATTCACCAGGAGAAAGATCTTGTCCAAAGAAGAATGCTGATTCCACTGTCTGGTTTTTGGACACTTATTCTTCTTCCTTTTACTTTGTTTTCTTTCTTTCCTTTTCTTTTTTTTTTTTTTTTTTTGAGGCCCTTATGCACACTTTCAACATTCTCCCAAAGTAGGTCAAGGTATGCTCATTGAGTGCTGCCATTTTGAGGTGAGAAATAAAGATAACAGGTTTTTTAAGAGAAATGAGAGAAAAGTTGAATAAATGCCCTATCCCCATTTTGGGACAAAAGCCAAAATATTGCAAAGGTTAAGGAATATACCATATCTAAGCCTCTGTGATTCCTTTCATTAGAATTGGTGAGAACTGTCTCCTCAGAGCCTATTCAGTCAGAAAAAAATGGCACAGACAAGATCTCATATCCAGGATTTTCTTTATAGGCCCAAGGGGTGCAGCCAGAAAACAGGTTATTTGATGGCCTGCTGTATTTCCACCTTCTCTGACCTATTGAACTTCCCTTCTTCCAAGAACTTCCTTGGATTGGGATTCCAAGTATAAAGTCAATAGCAAGTTAAATGGCAAAAAAAAAAAAAAAAGTTTGAAGGAAGAAACATTATAGATGATGAAGGATTCTATTTGTGGGAAAAGTATATTTGCAGTTTAGCTGACAGGTCAGACAGAAAAAATGTCCACACCCAAAAACACTAGCATTCCGAAGTGTCACGGGCCAGTATTTGTTCAATAGAAATGTCCCTCCCCAGCCTTGCTGCAAGATGCCATTGCTGAGGACTCTTCCGCCACCAGATGTTATTCAAAACGACTTCCTATGAGTGCACCCAAGGAGCAGCCCTGCTCCTAACCCAAGGGTTTGTCATTTGATCTCCGTGTCTAAGAGCAGGTGCTGGTTTAAATTTTCAAAATAATTCACACTTTTAAAGAAATGAGATATGGCTGGGTGCGGTGGCTCACGCCTGTAATCCCAACACTTTGGAAGGCTGAGGCAGGCAGATTGCTTGAGGTCAGGAATTCGAGACCAGCCTGGCCAACATGGCAGAACCCTTTCTCCACTAAAAATACAAAAATTAGTCAGGTGTGGTGGCACGCAGCTGTAATCTCAGCTACTCTGGAGGCTGAAACTGGAGAATCACTTGAACCCAGGAGATAGAGGTTGCAGTGAGCCAAGATCGCGCCACTGCACTCCAGCCTGGGCAACAGAGTGAGTGAGACTCCATCTCAAATAAAAACATAAAAAATAAAAATAAATAAATGAGATATAAAACCAAGTGAGGTGCTTTGAAAAAGAGCTGACTCTTCCTCTTGGCTCTACAATCTTTCTTTTCTATGACCCAGGCCCTTTGGCAGGAGTGTCAGCTGTTTTAAAGTACTTGCTGGTCCACTTTGGGGTGCCATCATCTAATGCTATTATTCTAATCGTTAAACGTCCAGTTTAGAAGAACAATAAGAAAGCTTAGTAGAATTTGGAAGAGTTCTCAAATCCATATGGAATGTGTCTTGCTCTCATCGTGCACCTTGGGAAAAGAATGAAAAGTTACTATAGTTGAACTTTATTTAGTGTGAATTCCTCTTTATGGCCAACAGCTGTGAATATCTCTCTGAAACACTGTGGTAATCATCCATTCCTTCCTTTCATCTAGCTAGACTGGCCAGGTCTGGCTACACATCCTCCGTTAGGAGTGTGCCTCTTGGGTCAAGGGTATGGAATAAATCTCATGGTCCAGCATTCTTGCTCTTTGCGTTTTTCCCATGCATGGATCAAGCCCCCTTCTTGTCTTGGTGTTAGCGTTCCCTGCCAGGGACTGTCACTAAGTTCTCTCCCAAGCAGACCAGCTCCTACTCTCAAAGGATTAATGACATCTGCCCACAGTGCTTTGGTTTTCCTTCTTTAGTAAATGTCCATCCTTATGGTTTAAGTAGACTTCAAAGTACAGATTAAATGTCTCTTGAGGTAAAGATCTCACGCTAATATCTCAAGCTAAAGAAAAAATGAGATCCACAATTTAGCTTGAAACTAACCCAAGAGAAGTGGGAAACAACTGAAATAGGAACTTTCTTCCCTTTACCCTTCCCTGTGGAGGCTACTGGTTATACATGTTTGGACTAAGGAGGCTGGTTTGGTTTCTACATCCAGTTGTGTTTGTTCATTTCAAAAACTTCACTGTGACTTATCTCAGAGGAAAGATTCTCAATTGTGAGTTGGTACTCAACAGTAATACCATTCTTTCCCTGGGCAACTCATGAGTGGAATGTGCTCTGTTGCCTCTTGTCTCATACAAGACTTTCAGGTGGCCAAGAAAAAGAGAGAGAGAAAAGACGTTCTCTTAATTTCCTGGAGAGAAAGTATAGAAGTCATTTGGCAGAAGATGCACATTTCCCACTTACATTAGCACCATGTTCTCAAAGATGGTACATAAACCCAACACGCTAAGACTTAACAAAATGCCACAGCTATGATGAATGATGTGGCTGCATTATATGGGAGGAAAGAGCAGGGGAAAAGACTCATTCACAGGTTACTTTTGTCCTCATTCAAGTCAGTTGACTTTTTTGAGCACCTGCTGAGAGAAACTTTGGACTAACTAGTTTCTGGGCAGACAGGGCTGAGAGCTACTGTTCCTGCCTGAAGCGAATCACTATCAGATGAGCAAAAAACAGGCACTTAATGCAAGTGCCCTGCTATGAAAATATGCTGTCTTAAAGACTTGCCCTGGGTCAGGGCAGGCACCATGAATGACCCTCATTCAAAGTGGAGATAAGTCAAGGAAAGTTCCTAGAGGAGGAGAGGCCTAGAGCTGAGTCTCAGAGCATGACTACAGGTCAGCCAAATAGTAAGTGAAGGAAGGGCATTCTATGTAGAGGGAACAGCATTCACGAAATCACAATGACAAGGGTGCTTGACCAAGTGGATCCCATGGCTTGAGTGTTAAGGGCACATGGGAAAAAGAGGTCTGGAGAGGGAGAAACCAGACCCTGGGCCTTGCAAAGGACATTCTCTTTTATCCCAAAGCTATTGAAGGAACTTCTGCAGCAGAATGACCTGCTTAGGTCTACATATTAGAAATATGACCTTCAAAGCAGAGTGGAATATACATCAAAGTGCGGAAGGGACAGAGGATTCCAGATTTGAAGGCCAGCAGAGAGGTGGAGGACGTTTCAGTAATTGAGGGGGAAAAGGAAGTGGGACCGATGCAAGCAGCAGTGAGAATAGAGACAAAGGAGTATTCGGGGTTCTTCATGAGATAGAGCTGAGAGGGCTTGGTAACCAATTGAATAGACAGTGATGGAGCAGGAGAAATTTAGGATGATGCCCAGGTGTCTGCCTGGGACATATGGATAAGCCATGGTGTCATCTAAGGCAAAGGACATAGAGGAGGAGAAATAGAATGGGGGGGGCAGCATGGGGCCTGGTGAGTGTGGGAACTGTAGAACATCCCAGTGGAGGTGTGCAACCCCCTCAGTGGGCCCCACAGTGCACCATGCTCTTGGCTGACCCAGCCTCACTAACAGCCCCGACTTCCTCTCCTCGCCTGCAGTTTCAGCATAATATTACACTTACCTGAAGCCAAGTTCATCTGAGGGACTTCATTCCAGATAGCTGGGTAGAAAAAGCCATAGATTTGGGCTCCTAGGAAGCAAGGAGCTCTATGACTTTCTTGTTGTACTTGCCTGTGTGAAGAGGGGTAGAGATTGGCACTCTGTTTCTCTTGCTGCGAGCTTCAGCCTCACTGTTACGAATCAACACCAACTGAGTATGCTTATGATGTTTGGCATTATGTTAGCACACAAATGTAGAAGTCATTGAAACTGATGTATTATTTGTGTATAGACATGATAAAAGTAGAAAAAGAAACAACTGGCCCCAGGAACCTTGATGGAAATATAGCAATTAAGAGTGGAGGGGCCATTGACTGTGAAAATATGTTGTTTGCCTTTTCTAAGGAGACTTTCGTTAGATGAAACTTAGAAAAACTTTTTCTCTCTGTAGTAAAGGAAATATGTGGTCTACTCTGAAATAGCGGGTTTGGGGTTTTCAGTTCTTTTTGAAATGTAGACCTTTGAACCTCTGCTTCTCCAGAATGAGAATGGAAAAATTATGGAGAGGTGAGATCCTCTTTAAGAAAAAGGAACCTGTCAGAAACCTTTGTAAGAAAGGTTGCAGATACAGCAGTTCTGAGGGTCACAGAGGTCTGAGTGATGGAGTGGGAGTGGCAAAGCTCCATGAGTGGCTGGGACATGTTTCAGCATGGCTGTCATTGAAACTGGTCATTATTTTCTTGATGCTGACTTTCTAGCTGCCTGCTCGAATTCACTTAAAGGAAGGCCAGTATTGAATAAATGTGCTTTATTTTTGTTTTTAATTTCCAAATGCCAAGATATGACCCACAGGGATGAGTGCCCCTGGGCCAGGAGTTGTGCTAACTCTTCTCTGATAGGCTGAGAGCCCTGAGGTCTTTGAAAAGCAAGTCCTCAGGATTCCCCCAAATTCGAAAAGTCCTGAGACTTTTAACCTCCACTCTTTACCAAGCATGTATTTTCCTCTGAAGCTTTAAGGACTGTGCAGGCACACAAGGCGCAGCCTTTGATGTGGACACAGCCACTGTTTAATGACACAAAGCAGGCTGCTTTAAAACAGCACTTTCGCCTGTCATCTCTAACGGAAACTGCGGGGAGAAGGTTAGGCCCTCTTTGTGTCTAACATGTCAAAGTGGGTATTTTACTCCAAAATAGGCCACCTCTCACCTTCCAGGACCCATATATGCTTCCTACAAGCCTGGAGCCTCCCCAGAGGCCTCCATGGACACTTCCCAGTATCAAGGAGCACACTGAGGAGGATCCAGCTCCAACGAGGCCCAAGACCAATCCTGCTCTCTTTTGCACAAAGGCTGGAACAGAGTTGGGCTGCTTGTTCTGCTCTGGCCAGAAATAAAGACAAGCTTCTGTAACCTTGACAGTGCTGCTAAACTTCTCTTCATTTTTGAAAGGAACATCTTCCATCCCACTTCAGTAGTGAAGAGTGGGTACCTTCTTACCCCTCAGTTGGCTTTCCTCTTCTCCCCCTCAGAGATCAAGGGTGCAGTCATATCTTGGAGGGAGAGAGCTTTTGAGAGCAGTCTGGCTTGCTGTGGTGAATGGGAGTTGATCTTCCATCTGCAGTTACCAGGACCACCCCTACGTGAGCCCTTGTGTGGGAACAAGGCTGTTCATGTTTCTGTCTGCCAGAGATGCCTTTCTCCCTGCCCTTCATGCTGCATTCGATATTGGGCTCTTCAGCAATATCGATCCCATCTTTCTGTCTTCTGGGGTTTCCTTGTTTGTGGGTCGGGTGCTGCATGGTCTGTTGATCTGACTCAAATTTGCAGCCATTTCTGCAGCATGCATTAGAGACAAGCACTCCCAGTTCTAACTGGAGCCCTGCTTCTGTGTGAACTGTTGTACACACCGCACAGCCTCCCTGTGGCTGGTTTATCTAAATTCTAAAAAGGAAATAGAAATCAGCATGATTTAAAACTGAATCCCACTGGTAAAGACCAGCAGGCAAATATAGAACATATACAAGATGAGTGTAGCACTATTATCAAGAATGACCATGAGAAGATAAATCAGTGTGGACTTGCAGCAAGGTCTAGGAGCTTTCTGAAGGATGAAGACTGTGGGATGAGACCCACTGATGTGCACATGCATGGTGGTGCTTTGTCCCAGAAACCTCCTACCTGTTGGCATTCTCTCCTTGCACTTCCCCCTGAAAGTCTGCTACTCCCAGAGCTCTAGCATGGCTCTCACCCCATGCTCTTTGCCAGAGAGATTCACCCACTTCTGTGGCTAAAACAACCACCATGAACTACTGACAAGGAACCTCGTTCTCCAGCTCAGACTTTTCTTCCAAGACCTTGACTGGTTGACTTCTCCCCTTGTATGACCCAAAGGCATTGACAGCCAGCTGATCTCAAATGGAGTTTACCCTCTCTCTCTTCTCACCCCAAACCTGCTGCTCCCCTGTTTTCTCTGTCTCACCAAACCTGAATCAAAGGAGTCATCTCCAGCTACTTTGTCTCTGTCACTCCCTGCTCTTCCCTGATCTTCAAGTACTGTCAATTTCCATCCTTTCTTTCTCCCCTGCCACGCATCCCAAGCCATCATCAGGATCTTCCTTAAGTTCAGGTCCTGGCCTTCACTGTCACCATCCGCCAGGCCAGCCTTTACATTGATAGCCATTGCCTTTCTAGCACACTCATCTGATTGTGTTCTGCTACTCAGGTTTCAGCAGTTTCTCACCACCCACAAGATGAAGTCGACTCTCTTTGTTCAGCATTGCATATCTCAGCCATTTGACCCCCTGCCTATTTGACCCACCTTGTCTCTAGCCATTCCCCCATCCACCCATGTGTCTGCTCTACCCTGAATGCCCTCTTGACTCTGTGTTTCCTTCCTGCTTCCTGAAATGGCTTCCTCACTGTGGCCATCCTAGTGGAGACACCAAGTTATTGTACTTTGAAGCTGCCCCTCGCTCCCCATGGCAAACCAAAAGGCTCATCGTTCTGTGCTCCCCTAGAACCCTATGTATACTCAGCGCTTGTCCTATTGCTGTTATAATTTTTGTATAAGTCAGCCATTCTCTCTAGATTAAAAGTTCCTTAATGGAAGGGTCATGTCTTCACAGAGCTTGGCCCCCATAATAGGCATGCAATAAATGTTGAATGAGCAAATATCAGGATTCCCACACTTGGCAAAGAAGTCAGCCCAGCATATAGCAAAAGCATCTTTATCTTTCTCACACTGCATAAGAGAGTGACTTTCTAGTTTGAGACCCCCAGTCTCAAACTGACCCCAAGGAAGCCAAACAGGTGTGTGCCAACCAGAGGCATGCATGCCTTCAATCACATATCAGCTTCTGCAGGAAACAGTTCTGCTTCTCCCTGTTTGCCTGCATTTTCCAACCATAGCCACAGCCCACAGCTTCACAGAATGTAAAAGGTAGATGGGAAGTTACAGTAGGTGGTTCTTAGCATTGCATCCAACAATGTGGCATTTGGACCATGGGAAAGGACCTGAGCTTTTAGTTTGAGTCTATCCCTGGCCAACAGCTTACAGAATCCAGCATCCAAGTCATTAGAATTCCTGACTTTGGGGGAATGAAATGGTCAAGGCTCTTGCTTCTCTGGTTTGTTTCTCTTTTAACAGTTTTGTTCTAATCCTTGGCAAGGGAAGGTACCTCACCACAATCCAGAGGGTGAAAGGTTAGTAGGCTATGTTCTTAAGAACTGGGATTTCCTCTTCTTTGTTTTTCCGTTCTCCTTACAGGAGGGAGTGCTCTTTGAGCACATGGCACTGAGATAGGACAATGCTTGCTCTAAAAACAGTGTCCGTGCGTACCTGCCTCAAGAAACACAGGGCCAAAAGGAGCTTACATTGCCCAGGAATGCATCTAGAAGTAACTCTTCAGGAAGGCCTAACTCATCATGTTTTGAAGTTGGATAGGAGCCTTTTTTAGGAAAACTACTCCCAGTGTTTTGACTAAATGAATGAGGCCAGCTCTTCCACTCCTCTAACCAGGGCAATTCTAACTTGTCAAAATAGTTTTATAGAAAAGGATCTAGCACTGATTGAGCTGGGATTTGCACTCCAACCCACACTTTCTGACTCTTAAAACACCACGTTATCACCTTGGTTTATAAAGCACCATGTTTATAACACGATTCAATAGCTCAGGATTCTGTTCATCATCAATGGATTTTGCATGGTTCAGCTGTAGGGCACCCAGTGAAAATTTGGTCCAAGAGCCTGCTACCTTCTCTTTTGTGATGAATTGTGCCCAAGAGCAGCACTGGGTTACCCAGGCTTCTCTGAATCATGATCATTGAGTTTTCTGAGCAGTGACTTGGGACTTTCAAGATGTAAATAGCAAACGTGAAACCTGGTGACAGAGTGGTAACATGCCGTTGGCCTGAAAGCCAAAGCTGTAGTTAAAATCAGTGCCGCTCACTCTGCAGAAGCATTAGCATTATTTCAGCAGAAATAAAAGCATGGTGGAAAATGAAGCCTGGTGAAATAGCTCCAGGATGTTGCAGGATAGAAGGTTCCAGACTCCTGAGCTGCCATGTCCTGGACTCTTGATCCAACTGCAATTTGAGTGAGGATGATGTAAGGGGTTAGTATGATGTGTTGGGGAAGCCTTGTCTGTTTGTGGTTAATAATGGTCACAGAGGGACTCTTGCTTGTCATAGTAGAGTGAAGGGCTTTCAAGCACAGAATGGAGTGATTTCTAGCCTGAGATAACTGAGTCTGTTCTTAAGATGCCATTGACTGTCCAATTTCAATTCTCCAGAAATTCCCCTTCATTGGCCTTTGCATTACTGCAAATCAACAAGTAATCTCACCAGGCCCATCATCCCCACCTAAGTCTTTTGAGTTCAGGAGATTATCCCATACCCGCATTCCCTAAACCTAGAGTTGGTTCACTCAGGAAGCAGGGCCTGATTTCAGAATAGTCCAGGCCTCTTTCATCAATCTCAACATTTATCTACTCTAAACATTGAAAAATTGGAAGGTGCTCGCTTGTTTTGGAATGTGTGTGGTCAGTGCCTCAGAATAAAGCATTTAGCAATTGATAGAATCCTGTAATCGACATGATTGGTAATAGATAATACTTCATAAAAAACAGGAATAACATTTACCCAATGCTTTAGCATTTCAAAGTAGTTTACAGCCACTGTTTTTCAGCCACTGATAGGCTGTTTGGTCCTCATTTTATAAGAATTGGTACATTGTAGGAATGAGCTAGGAATCAGGAGATCTGGGTTCTGGTTGCCATTTCACCACACACTTGCTCTGTGATCTAGGATTAATGACTTCATTTCGCCATCTTTAGAATGATCTAGGGATGAGGGAAGATGATTCTGGAAACTTTCCAAAGATCCTATCAGCTCACAAACTCTGACTGAAAGAATATGGGCAAATACTTTGTTTTGGTTTTATTTAACAAGGTAATAGTTCTCCTGTGGATTTTCAATGCAGTTACCCTTTACTTTTCTTAACTTTAGAATCTCAGACTTGGGGGTTATTTCAGATGCACTTTAGAACTTCCATTATCCTATGGCCTAGCCAATCTTTGGGCCTTTCAAGTCCTGATATATTTTTGGTTGACAATCAAGTAAAAAGTCAAAGATGCATCCGGATACATTCCATAGCTTGGAGAAATGGTCAGCGGACACACCCCCACGACAGAAAGAGTTTTGGGGATCAGGATGCCCTTTTTCCCATTCAGGTATATATAGGGAGGCATTTTTCATGGGGAAAGATCAGGCTAGGAATGAGTGACTCCACCATTTTCCTATCACTGTAGGAGTGGCTGAAACAGTGTGTGAAAATCTGCATTGAATGTACAAAAATTATCTTGAGGTCATAGTCTGCTCATGTAGCTCTAACATTCGAAGCCAGCTCTTTCCAACTCGATGAAGCGGTCCAGCTAATGCAGTTGTTCCCTGCCATCTTTTTGGTCATGAACCCCTTTGGGAATCTTATAGAAGCTATGGATGGCCCTCTGCCCAGAAAACTCCCCATCTACTCACAAATTGGGATATAATTTTAGGGGATTTCTGAATGCCCTGAAGCTCATGGACCCCAACTTAGTACTCCTGGTCTAAGTAGAATAAAGGAGCCCACCAGTAGGAATGTCAGGGCTAGCCTGAGACTTCTGCATCTCAGCTAAAATTAAATACATAGTAACATAAAGGTGTTACTTTTTCTTTTTTTTTCCTTTGACCATCACCCTCTTTTCCTTTCTCTGTTCCTACATCTCTCGTCATCTCTTCTCATTCCCTCTCATTTCTCTCCCCATCTCTTGCACATCTTGCACCACAGATGTTCCAGCCTGGCTGAAAAGCCTCCGCCTGCACAAATATGCCGCGCTTTTCTCCCAGATGACCTATGAGGAGATGATGGCCCTCACCGAGTGCCAGCTGGAGGCGCAGGTATGTGCTTGAGGTGACTGTTCCCTGAGAGGGTGCCCCAGGCAGGACCTGAAGTTCAAGGCCTGGACAACCTTGTTTGGACCCATACCTATGCCCACACAGTAGCTTGCCCTGTGCTGGAAACTGTGGGGTGCTGGCCAGCATTCCATGGTGAGCAAAACTGGGTGGATTCTTGCCTTCAGGGTCCAATAGGAGATGGAAGACAAGCAGATAACTGCAGGGTCGTGAGGGTGAGATCAAGTGGTGTGAAAAGGCATAATCTCGGCACACTTGAAAGTTCCAGGTGCCAGGGAGGAATCGGTGGATTTTCCTAGGAGAAGTAACATTTGACCATGCCACAAAGAATCTACATCCCTGCCTTTGCTTTTCTTGCTCTCTCCCTCCCTCTGCTCGAGCAGGGCTTGGCTTGTTTGGGAAGTGACAGATCCATTGTCTGTTGTCTAGTCCAGTTACAAATCAGCCTGCTTCTAACTGGACTGCTGAGTAGATGCACCAGGTCATGCCTCAGACCCGCCCCAACATTTTTAAAAAGTCATGTTCAGGCCAGTCTTTGTTGAGATTGGAGTAAATTATACAAAATATTTTTTTCTTCTAACATGAGACAATCATTGAGAATGAGATTTCCATAGGTCTCAGATTTCATTTCCCTTCTGCATGCCATAAAAATACAAAGGTTCCCCTTCCTTCTAAGGCATCTTTCCCCGATGTGGATGCCAAAGGCCAGTCAACAGAACCCCTGAAACTAAGCATGTTTCCTACCACGCTGTGCTCGGGTAAATGGATCTGACCAATGTCTTTGTTTCCCTTGTTTAAAATGCTATTTGCATGTTTCACATTGGCCTCAGTTTCCTTTCAGCAATGATTTAAAAGAATCGATGGTCTGAATAGGCTAAGAATATTTCCTTTGCAGGAAAAGGAGATTGTACCATTTGGGCATGGCTGGTCTGGACGCATACCTCCCCGCAGATCACCAGTTCCCCAGTACTTATTCGGTACCCTCATTTAACCCTGCAGGCCTGGCGGACTCCCAATATGGAGACACAACACAAAGCCCAAAGTCACTGCACATTCTCAGAGAATGAAAGGCACTCATTTCAACTTCCTAACATTTCTCCCACCTCTTTTTGGATCTTGATTGCTCCTTGAAATCCCAGGGGTTGATGAGAGCTTTTCTAAGAGCATTTTTGTGTTTGGGTCAGAGTTGAGGAAAAAAATCTAAGTCATCAGTTGTTCGACTTGAGGAAAAAAAACAAGAAATAATTGAGGGCAAAGCCAGAGGCCAGCACAACCTTTTCAGAGTAATTTAATTCACTAGAACCCAAAGTTAAGGGTAAACAGAAATATACCCCCAGTGTTTCATCTTAGAGACTGGGTTCACGTGTCATTTGAGTCTTAATTTTTCTAGTAAAGATGTTGTTGATATTCCTATCTTTTCCTTCTTTAAGAAGAATTCTATGGAATAGTTGCAAGATGTTTGAGTTAGAGACCTTATTTGAGAGACGGCTGTCTATCAGGAAATTTGCAGTATCTATTATCAACAACTATTTAAGTAAATCCTTAGGCTCACCATTGCTACCCAGTTAAGAAGATAAAATCCACAACTCTTACTGTGAATCCTAATCATTTACCTGAAGAGATGACTGAATTATGAATTTAAGTAATTTTCTATTCTAGTTTTCCTTAGAGAAACAAAAGACAAGCTGCAAACTAACAAATTCCCCATGTTTTATGACACTCCATGTGGACTCTACTGGGCTGCTCATCTTTTCAAGATGGGTAAAAACACAGGGAGGGTTTGAGAAAGCCATGAATATCTATATGGGGTTGGGACCTTTAGGGAAACTGAGAGGGGCTGAAATTATAAAGCCTGGAGAAAAGGAAGAGTGCATGACTTAAAAATTATCTTCTAAGGCTGTGAAGAAATTTCATGCTGGGTATAATAATTGGCTGTTCCACATCTCTCTCTAAGATACAGGAAGATACGAATACAGATAAAAAGCACAGTCAAAAGACACGGGCAAATATGTAGCCAGACGGAGTTAGAATTAAGAAGATGGCTGGGTGCGGTGGCTCACGCCTAGAATTCCAGCACTTTGGGAGGCTGAGGTGGGAAGATTGCTTGAGCCCAGGAGTTTGAGACCAGCCTGGGCAACATGGCAAAACCCCATCTCTACTAAAAATACAAAAATTAGCCAGGTTTGGTGGCCTGTAGTCCCAGCTACTTGGGAGACTGAGGTGAGAGAATCACGTGAGCCCAGGAGGTCAAGGCTGCAGTGAGCTAAGATGGCGCCACTGTACTCTAGCCTGAGCAACTACAGTGAGACCCTGTCTCAAAAAATAATAATAATATTTAGTAAGAAGAGGTTTATGATGATGGGTACTAATGCAAGAGATAAGTGGATATTGATCAGCCCGTGAACATATAGGAGCAAAGAAGACAGTAAAAGCCTCCAAGAATCTGTAAGCTGATTCTTAAAAATATGTTTTTAAATATACATTTAAATGTAACTTGTTATTTAATTACAGAATGTTACCAAAGGTGCAAGACACAAAATTGTCATCAGTATTCAGAAGCTCAAAGAAAGACAAAATCTCCTGAAGTCTTTGGAAAGGGTAAGTTATCGGATGAGGGAACATTTCCACTTTCATTATGGGAAAATGGACCAAGGAAAATTCTCCACTGGAAGTGTCATCGACAGACCTTCTAGAGCGTACCATGTGGTTTCCTTACCAAAGTCAGAGAAAACGGAATGATTTTGAAGTGAAACTTCCTGGTTGCACGTGCTTCTTTGAAAGCTGATGCCTCAGTGTGCTTATTCCCTGGGCCCAGGCTGCCTTGCCTGGCCGTCCTAGAGCCCTGATGAAGTGCTGTCAAATGCACCCTTTTTGTATACGTTTGTGTCTCTGCCTCGTATACATTTGTAGAGATCAGTGAGGTGTCCAGTTCACAATCAGAGGCTGAAATCTTGGCAAAACAGGGCAGGGAATATGCAGTGTGCTTTGGTCTCACTGTCCTCCCAGGGGAGGGTCTGTTTTGAGAAAAGCTGCCCCCAGAGTGGTAAATACCAACAGGTACACTGCAGATAGTGGGGTTCAAAAGCATTTGGCAGGCAGACATATTTGGCTCTCAAGAGAATAATTCCAGGCTTTAACTTAACAACAGAATGGGTCCCTGTGACTCTGATAGGAACCATCTCAAAAATGCTAAATGCTGAAAAAAGTTTATTCCAACGTTAAAAGCAGTGATCAGCTGCCTACTGTCCCATTTTATTTGCTGCCTAGACAGGTCCTCTTCTTACCTTTGTGTCTGGATGCTGCCCTGGTAACAATGTCATTTTTAGGACTTAATGATGACATGATTTCATCTAAGATCCAAAGGAGGGCAGGCCTCATGCCTCACACAAGTGTGAACCAGCATTGCTTCTGCCTCAGGGTTGGGATTCTTATGCATGGGTACTGGGAGGCAAGAGTGGTGAGTGGGAAGTTCTGTGGGTATTTGCAGCCTGCAGAGCTTTAGAGGTAACCTCTTCTAGTAATCCCAGGGAGCTTTTGGATTTTGGAAGGGAACAGAGTATTGAGGGAGGTAGCGCTAAAGCAAGTTTTGTGAGCACATCAACATTTAATGGAGTGGTAATTTTTCAGCAGGTGCACAAAGATGTGTGTGTGTATAATTTCGTATATGAAGGGGTGGCCTGCCCCTCCACACCTGTGGGTATTTCTAATCGGGCAGGACGAGAGACTGAGAAAAGAAATAAGACACAGAGACAAAGTATAGAGAAACAACAGTGGGCCCAGGGGACCGGCACTCAGCATACGAAGGACCTGCACCGGCACCGGTCTCTGAGTTCCCTGTTTTTATTGGTTACTATCTTCGTTATTTCAGCAAAAAGGAATGTAGTAGGAGGGCAGGGTGATGATAAGGAGAAAAACATGTGAGCAATAGAATCTACATCATAATTAAGTTCAAGGGAAGGTACTATGACTGGACGTACACGTAAGCCAGATTTATGTTTCTCTCCACCCAAACATCTCAGTGGAGTAAAGAATAACAAGGCAGCATTGCTGCAAACCTGTCTTGCCTCCCATCACAGGGCGGTTTTTCTCCTATATCAGAATTGAACAAATGTACAATCGGGTTTTATAACGAGACATTCAGTTCCCAGGGGCAGGCAGGAGACAGTGGCCTTCCTCTATCTCAACTGCAAGAGGCTTTCCTCTTTTACTAATGCACCTCAGCACAGACCCTTTACGGGTGTTGGGCTGGGGGACGGTCAGGTCTTTCTCATCCCATGAGGCCATATTTCAGACTATCACCTGGGAAGAAACCTTGGACAATACCCCGCTTTCAAGGACAGAGGTCCCTGCGGCTTTCCGCAGTGCATTGTGCCCCTGGTTTATTGAGACTAGAGAATGGCGATGACTTTTACCAAGTATACTGCTTGTAAACATTTTGTTAACAAGGCACGTCCTGCACAGCCCTAGATCCCTTAAACCTTGATTTCATACAACACATGTTTTTGTGAGCTCCAGGTTGGGTCAAAGTGGCTGGGGAAAAGTGGCTGCAGCAAAACTACAAATTAACAACATCTCAGCAAAGCAATTGTTTCAAGTACAGGTCTTTTTCAAAATGGAGTCTCTTATGTCTTTCCTTTCTACATAGACACAGTAACAGTCTGATCTCTCTTTCTTTTCCCTACACATATAGACTATATAAAGTTATTTTTAATGCATATATGTTATATATATATTTATAGAATATACATATATAACTTTGTAAGAAACGTTTCTTTTTAAACCTCTGGCCAGATAGACAGAGGCTTCTCACGTGCACATCCGTGATTAAAGACCTCTTCTTACTTAAAGTGAATTACAAATTACAAGTGAGCTATCCAGTTGAACCTGAGGTTTATTTGTTGTTGTTTTTAATTTTATACTACTTTAGAAAGCAGCTTGTCTAAGTGACTATTGCCATTTTTAAATTGAGAAACCATTCTCTTTGGGGGAACATTCAAAAGGCCAATTTACTCTTTCTTTGTTAGAAAGTACGGAAAACATTTTGCATAAGGATTTCATTGCTAAGTGTTATGGTAAAAGAGTGATTTCTTCCCTTCTTTCTGGAGCAGCCTTGAGGATTCATTCATATCCTCCATCACTGAGGAAGCGCACCCACCTGGGAGACAAATTACCGTTAGCTTTATTCCCTGCAGCCTGGCAGAAGTCAGCATGGGGAACACTCTGGCAACCAGGTAGCAAGGGTGACCCTGACATGCCATCGACTTTCCATCTAGCCTTTGATAAGTCAGTGATGTTTTCCGTGTCCCAGATTTTGCACCTAGAATAATAGTGACTCCCCTGTTCACTGGAATGGGAAAGTTAAAAAGATGCCACATGCAGAGCAAAGTGTGATGGCAGCCAGTGGTCAAGTGGAAAGAAATTGTGAGTTTATCGAGTCTGACTTCTTTGAGAGAGAAGAGAGCTTATGTGTGTCAGATGACTGGTTGAGCTTGCATCAGAATACCCCAATGTTTGGACATCCTGTATATTGTCCCTGCGTGAGCTGATGAGATGGGGTGGGAGGCAGTCTCTCTCAGGCATCCACTGAGGACGCATCCCCTGGCCCTCCTCTGTCTTCTCTGGAACCCCTACCTCTCCTGCTTTGCAAGGGAGTGAGTTGTTTGTAACCTGTTACCACTGACGGCACCGGTGGCAGACTCAAATCAGCCATTTCTCAGGCATTCACAGACACCGCTGGGCTGATGATGCTGTTGGAAAAAAAGTCATCTGCCCTTGCCTGCCTCCCATATTCTTACCTCACATAGATTTCTAAGGAGATAGCTGGGGCCCCGCCCATAGTTAGTTCATAATCAGTGGTGGCTGTCTGAGTTCTGTGTGCAGAGCTCTTTTGTTCAGTTACTGAACCCTTATCAAGCAGCTGCCTGGGACTCAATTTGCCCCATCCATTGGAGATTAACCGTGAGTCATACATGGTTCCTGCAATGGGGAGCTGGGGACGTGCATTGGGACAGTTAGATATGGCACCATATGATCTCACAACCCAGTCTGATCGATGTCATCACCATAGCAGGTGGGGGAAGCTTCCTGAGGTGAAATAGACCGCTGTGCAGTGATGAGGTGGGAAGCCTTCAGAAGAGCTGGATGTTGGCCGGGAAACTCATTAGGAAACTATAGCAAGTCTTGATGGGACCTTGAACCAAAATAGAGGCAGTGAGGATGGAGGAGGAGGATAGAGATCATTTAGAGGGAGTCTGGTGATTGTGACGAGGCTTGGGTTTGAGTGTCATAGTATTTGGGGACAGAAAAGATAGGAGAAGTGGGGGCGGGAAATGTAGGTCCATGAGAAGGGTTGAGTCTGAGGTGCCTGTGAGACACCCAAGTGGAAATGGCAAGTCAGTGGCCGGAAGAGCAGGTCTAGAGTCCAGGAGCCCCACAAGGTTTGAAAGGACCAGTTGTGCATCATGTGAGTGTAACTGATAATAGGTACTCCCCAGAAGTGTGTGCCAAGGGTCAAGAGCGTGGACAGGCCCTGAGGAGCACCGTAAGATATGGAGGGGCTGAACAATAACACAGGCTATGCTCGCCCAGAAGGTCGGGAGGGTTTGAAGGAAGGAATCCCACCAGGTGCCATGGAAGTGTCACGTACAATGGAGACGGAACACTGTCCTCTGAAATTGGCCCTCAGCAGGTCACTATGCCATGATGATAGGAGTTTTAGGGGAATGGGAGGAAACAGAAGCAGAAGCCTGTAAACCAGTTGGTGTGAATGGGTGAGGGGCCATGGGGTACAGAATTGAAGACTTCTCAAGATACGTGGTGGAAAAGGAAAATTAGAATGGTCACTGGAGCAGAATTTTCAACATTTATCTTGAGTAATGAAAATGTTTCCATGTGCTTTTATTCACCATCCTGCCTTTTCAGTTCACTCTCAAACTGTGAAACTAAGCCATGTTCTGAGCCTGGGTCCTTGGCATGGAGGAAGGAAATATACACACACACTCATGCATTCACCTCACTTCCATTTATTGCTGCTTACAGAAGGAGAAAATGCTTCTCTGTAAGCCTGCGCCTTTTCTTCAAACACATCCAGATCTTGTCCTCTTGGGTTCAGATCTGAGACCCCCAATTCCATCAAGTGCTGCAGAGAAACCGCAGATAAACTTAATATTAAATGCTAAATATTTCTGGAGTAATAATGCCTTATACCAGTAAGGTGCATTGTATACTTTTTAAAAATGTTTCACCCCTATCGGTGGATTTGGCCCTTACAGCAAACTTCCTAAGGTAATCAGGAGAGCTGCTGGTATCCTGATTTTAAGAAAAAGAAACTCGAGTGAGTCCAAACTCCTTAGAAAGTTGGTTGCTAAGGACTTGGAAAAGCTCTTCAGCTTCATCTCTGGCCACCCTGAGCCCTGCTCGGCCACGTATAGCGTCCTGTCATCCTTTGTTCCTTTCATGCTGTTTATCCTTTCCTGAAACATGCAGTGGTGGTCAGGGATCCCTCTTATATGTTCCCACAGCTCCCTGCCCTGATGCCCATCATACCGTGTGGGTCCCAGAAACTGCAAGCACCTTAGAGCAAAGATTATGACTTAATTTGTTTTCATATCCCCAGTGTGTAACAGTGCCTGGTTGATGACAGGGCTCAGCAGCTGATGGGTGCATGAGAGGAGGAAAGAATGGATGCGCTAGATACAGGAGTCCTGTCTATTATGTGAGAATCCCAATTCTTACACAAAGGGAAGGATGGAGCTAGAGATATCACATGAGTGCTGAGGACACTTCGGCTGCTCAAGACTCTCTTTTCCAGATGGTTTGCAGCTTGTTGTCATATGCCCAGGAAAGGCACTGAACCAGCCTTCCTCCAAGACCCAAGTTAGCCACATCAGGGCTGGTATAAGTCAGGAAGTAATTTCCTTCCTGCTTGTCTCCTGAGTGATGGCTGTGGTCAGTGGTGGACCAGACTTCCCACTGTCTGCTCTCAAAGGAGCTCCTCAGCTTTGTAACAGCACGTTAGTTAATGAACAGCTTCACTGTGCCTCTTTGTGTTTATCATGTGGGATTATATTTTTGGTATGAAGGATCAGTAAAGACTTGGGTGGATTCCCAATTTTTTGTCAACAAGGAGAATTAATTCTTACAGTCAAGGGTGCTAGATTGATTTCCATTCTGGCCATTTCTCCCTGTTTCCTTCTCAATTTGGGCACTCTGTTTTGAGTTCAGGAATTCATTTTTAAGTGTCAGGAACATGACCTGATGATCACAGTGCCATGCTACTGATGCCAGCTTGAGCACAGGATGAGCTAACTGATTGTAAGCCAAGTGTTATCTTTGAGACAATGGCTTGATGTCTATGAGGGGAAAAAAATTCTACATGATTCCTGGGAAGTTATATTTTATAGAAAGTGTCCAACATTATTCGTTATGTATTTGGTTTCTTTATTTGTGTGTGTGTGTGTGTGTGTGTGTGTGTGTGTGTGTGTGTGTGTTTTGTTTTGTTTTGTTTGGTGTGGTTGCCTCCAATAGAAGAATCAGATAAGATTTGAATGGGGCATGCATATGTTTCCTGTTTGAATGCTCTTCACATAACCAAAATCTCCTCTCACCACTAGCTGGAGAAACCTTCTTGCCATGTGACAAGAGCAGGCAGGGGTTTGGTGCAGTTGACAGAGTGTCCCAAGCATGCATTTGCTCATCCCATTGACAGCAGCTGCATGGGATGGCATGGCAGGGATACATGTGATCACCCCAGCGTGGCTTTCCTAGCCCCTCTTCATGGGGAAGCTTCATCCCTCTCTTTTCCCTTCCCCTCCTTAGTCAGGGGCTGGACAAGGAGGTCAGTGTCCCCCACAACCCAGGGGCTGGTTGGGCCGTTGGCAGGACCTCAAGGTAGGATCCAGGGGTCCCCTAGTTAGCACGCAGTCTGATCAGAAAAGGTGGTAGGTGCTCTCCTGGCATGGGTCAGCTAGCTCACCTCCCTGTGCCTGCACTGGTCACATCATCAGGTCAAGTCAAGGAAGCCAATCACATGATGGTGTCTAGATGCTGGGAAAGGGCCGGGTCTACCGTGGGCAGCAGGGAAGGAGTGATCAGGATCACGCCTGACTCCTGCAGAGACATCTGTCATGTGTAGAAGGAAGGTGGCAGACGCGAAACTCTCCTAAGAGAAAAAGGGACTTTCTCCCCTAAAATAGGCTGAACAGTGGCCCTGGCCAGGTTTGAGAGACAATTCTGGTGGCTAATTAAAATTTCACTTCCTTCATAAACCCTTCGTGCCAACTAGGCTAAGGCATAATCCAGGCTCCACTTCCCACCCCTCCCCGCCAAAAAAAAGCAGGTTCCTGCCAATGACAGGGTGTGGCTGTTGGTGTTCTTCGCTGCCCACAGTTGAAACAGGCACGTCCAAGCCTGCCGTCCTCAGCTTTCCTTTTTCTGATCGATTGATTGGAAATGTTTGGGTGCAGAAATGATCACATTTCATATGTTTGCATTCCCTGACGCCATCAAGCAAGTGTAAGAGATGACCCCAGGAATGGATTGGATACTCATGCATCAGGCTTTTTAAAATGTCCTTGCTATTCTGAGCTCTCAGGAAATTAAATACTTTGGGCTGGGTGTGGTGGCTCACGCCTGTAATCCCAGCACTTTGGGAGGCTGAGGCGGACGGACCACCTGGGGTCAGAAGTTCAAGACCGGCCTGGCCAACATGGTGAAACCCCATCTCTGCTAAAAATACAAAAATTAGTTGGGTGTGGTGGCACATGCCCATAATCCCAGCTATTCGGGAGGCTGAGGCAGGAGAATTGCTTGAACCTAGGAGGCGGAGGTTGCAGTGGGCTGAGATCATGCCACTGCACTCTGGCCTGGGCAACAGAGTAAGACTCTGTCTCCAAAAAAAAAAAAATTAAATACTTCATCAGTGATTGGGACCCTGATTATCAATGTCCTTTCCAGGTCCTAGGAAGACCTTGATGTGCAGAAACACAGGGAGAGCAGCTTTGTTGCAGAGGGCCCACCCCAGCCGCCATGCCAGGCAGGGCCCCAGGCTCCCAAGCCCCAGCCACAAGTGTTTGGGCCTCTGTGAGCATCTGGCATAGAGAAAAATATCTATCAGAATCAACTTTTATTTCTTTTTTTAATAAGTAGTGCCCAGTATATCAAACTATATGTGCAGAATGATCCAATTTTATTATACAACACATAAAGACATATATATTATATTACAGTTCTATACATATTCCTCTCCAGAATGATCCTTGTAAAACTTGTCACTCCCTTGCTCAAAACCTTCCCTGGTTTCCCATCTTAGACTAGATTTCAGCATCCCTGCCCTGGCCCAAGGCCTCCAGGCTCAGGCCTAGGTGTCTGACGGGACACCATTGCCCACCTGCTCCATCGCAGGCCTCCTTGCTGTTCCTCAGACTCCCCCCTCAGAGCCTTTGCCCTTGCTGTGCCCTCCACCTGGAGCGTTTCTCCCCAGGATCCTCATGCCCACGCTCATTTGGGTCCCTGCCCCATGTCACCCTCTCCAGGAGCTTCCCCTCATAGCAGCCCCGACCCGTACCACAGCCCCTGGCATGATATAGTTATCTCATGGCTGGATGTCAACTCCTTGGGGAACCCTAAAGGCAATGAGGCAGCCACGATATGCTCATTTTGTACACAGAGAAACTGAGGCACAAATTGGTTAAGCCATTTGCCCAGGTTCACATGGGAGTGCAAGAATCCAAACCCCAGCCTCTGACCCAGAGTCTCTGCTCTTAATCGCTACCCTGTGCTGCGTGTGCCATGGACTGAGTGATGGTGTGAACAAGCTATTTCATCCAGAACATACACAGGACACAAAGCCATCATGTCACCCAACTTTGTTGTACAGCTCCTAAAGCATGTGACTGTAATATGTATAACTGCATTTTACAGAAATGCACAGAGGAAGGCAGAAAAGGAAATATACCAAATTGTTTTCGTGGTCATCTCTAGATAGTGGGATTTTCCGGTGGTGTGTATTTTCCTCGCTATACCTGTCTGTATTTTCCAAGTGTTCTTCCTGGGCCAATATTAGAATGATGAAACGAAAGTGGTCCCTTTTCCCAAAAACGTCCTGATGAGGGTACCAGCAGCCACGAATCCTGTAAGAGCTCAGGGCAGGGGAGGGCAGGTACGGGGGTGGATGACCCTTATTCCTGAGCCTAACAGAGGTCTTCCTGCTCTCACCGTCCAGGACATCATCGAGGGGGGCAGCCTGCGCATCCCGCTCCAGGAACTGCACCAGATGATCCTGACTCCGATCAAGGCCTACAGCTCCCCGAGCACCACCCCCGAGGCTCGCCGCCGGGAGCCCCAGGCCCCGCGTCAGCCCTCACTGATGGGCCCCGAGAGCCAGAGCCCCGACTGCAAAGATGGGGCCGCAGCCACTGGCGCCACGGCCACCCCCTCGGCCGGGGCCAGCGGGGGGCTCCAGCCGCACCAGCTGAGCAGCTGCGATGGGGAGCTGGCCGTCGCCCCCCTGCCAGAGGGGGACCTCCCCGGGCAGTTCACACGCGTCATGGGGAAAGGTAGAGCCTCATTCGCCCATTTCTTTTTTCTTCTGGATACCACTAACCAGAGCGACAGGCTCCTGGGGGCTTCCCCTGGGTGCTGGATAAATTCCCTGTCCAAGTAGACATCATTAGCTTCATCTTACAGATAGGGAAAGTGCAGTTCAGAGAGGTTAAGCCTTTTGGGTTTGAACTGCAATCACTGTGACCCCAGGAGACCTACTCCTTAATCCTGGCTCCTTTCTCTCCCAACTCCCTCAGACTAGGGGATGCCAGCCCTTTTATTACAGTGCTCATTGGGCCAGTGGACCCTTGCAGGAGGAAGGTGGGAAGGACTTCGAAAAAGATGATTTTGGGAACAAACCGTTCACTCAGCATCTCACCCTCTCTCCAAAGCAAAAGCGGCAGAAAATGAGTGACAAACTGAAGGGGCACAGACGCCTTTAGCCAGAGCCCAAAGATCTCCCTGTGCAGAAAAATGCCAGCCTTGGCAGTGGCCTCTCTCCTCACCACTGAAAGTGTTCTCAGATGTGGCCATGGTTTGGAGAATTCCCAGCATGGAACTGTTTTGTTCTCATTCTCCCGTGTCTGCGTTTATATTCTCTCTTCACGGCTGGCCTGCCATGTGAAATGCTCTAGTACGAATAGCTTGTGCTTATTTAGCTTTTCCTCTATAGCAGACACAGTTCTCCGTGCTTTACCTATAGAGCTTACTTAATTCCCAAGTTATCCCATTTTACAGAGGAGGAAACTGAGGCACACAGGCTAATTAGCCCACCTGAGCTTACACAGCTGATGGCAGGGCTGGAATTTGAACCCTGCAGTCTCTCCATCATGCACGTGGTTACCACTGTGCCTTCTTATCAGCTCAAGATAGAACAAGGTTAAGTTTCATGTGATGGTTCTCTCCGCTGTGAGGTGACAAAATCCAAACCTAAAGAGTCACGTGTCATCTGGCGCCTCCTTGTTACCTCTACAGCCCTTACCACCTCCATTCTACACTCCAGACTTTGTATCTTTGAGTTCTCAAAAGTTTGCATATTTTCCTGGCTTCTGAGCCTTTGTGCACACCTCCCCCTCTGCCTAGAACCTAGGCCCCTACTAGTTTATACAAAGCCTTCATGTGAATTACAAGATGGTGCCCTGTCTGGGTGGACACAGCACTGCTAGCACTCACCTTGGCATGCACTTGTGCAGTGCACAGCCTGCACATCCACATGGGACAGCCTTGCCTATAACACTCTTTTCCTCACCCCATTCCCTTCACCTGGGTCATGCCTCCTTCTCCAGGTCTTAGCCAAGTCCTCACATGCTCCAGGAAGCCTGCTGATCCACTGGGCTGGGTGAGGTACCCCCTTTCACCTGCCCCACGTCCCCCTTTACTTTCCTTGTCTTAGCCCAGTTCACACTAGATTGTGATTGCCTGTTTGCTTGACTGTATCTTCATTAGTCTGCAGCACAGACCACTTTTAATAGCTACTCAATACCCTGCTTTTGTAGCACAGTGCTTACAGTAGATGCCTCATAAGTAGGCGGTGCAAAAATTGAGGGATGACACCAGTATCTAAAGTTAGGCCTTCCCACAGACCATCCAAGCATACATGCTGGGTGCACGCCTGTCGGGGAGGGTAGACTCCACAGCGTGGTCCTTTGGGTAAGAGCGCCCCTTTCTACCTGGGCTACCCTCTGCCTTTTCTGGGGCAGACCCTTATTTCCATATCCTTGAAAATGTCCACCAGTAGAATAATTTATGCTTAATTGGGTGTCTTACAAGACATCTTGATTATTTTTTAACATGTGGCAATGCCAGCACTTTTCCTTTGGAAGGGGAAAACAATTTTTTCTCTGTTATTGTCCAATATTTCAGACCATTTTAAAAAACCAAGTTTGCAGTAAGAACAACCCCCACCCTTCCACCACCCACCTTAAGGCATGTCCTAAAAAAAGACTTAAATTCATAGTAATCTGGTGGAGGAGATGACTCACAGCTTCCCTTGGAGCTTGATGGCCAGGGTGGGCCCTCGCTCTCCCCCACCCACCCCTTAGCTGTGTTGGATTAGAACAGATTTCCCCATGGGTGAAGACACAGCTCTGCCAAGCCCAAGTGGAGCAGCTACTGAACACGCGGCACATCGCCCTACTTCCTGAGAGACCCACAGTGCTATGGCCCTGCTTCTTTACATTTTACCTACGTTAAAGGAAGCTGTAACCCCAGTTAACACTCAGCATACACAATTCAAATTAACAACATGGTGGAAAGTGGAAAACCACCCTCCCCCAACCCCAAACCCTGCCATCCTCATTCCCAGGGATAGTCACTATTAAGTTTTGGGATATCCTTTCAGAAACTTCATCATCATACATAAGCACATGAATATTCACTTTTTTTTTTTTTTGAGATGGAGTCTCGCTCTGTCACGCAGGCTGGAGTGCAGTGGCGCGATCTAGGCTTACTGCAAGCTCCACCTCCCAGGTTCATGCCATTCTCCTGCCTCAGCCTCCCGAGTAATTGGGACTACAGGCGCCCGCCACCACGCCTGGCTAATTTTTTGTATTTTTTAGTAGAGACGGGGTTTCACCGTGTTAGCTAGGATGGTCTCGATCTCCTGACCTCGTGATCTGCCCGCCTCAGCCTCCCAAAGTGCTGAGATTACAGGCATGAGCCACCGCGCCCAGCCGAATATTCACTTTTATACACACGCAGGCCTTATTTACATTCTTTTCTACAGGCTGGTGGGTTTAAAAAAAAATA